>NC_000017.11:79940081-80240491 GCF_000001405.40 Homo sapiens | reverse complement strand
TTATGACCAGTTGAGATGACTGGAAAGTCTAAGACGGGCCATCTCAGAGAGGTGAGCAGGCGAAGGTTTTAGGGGAAGGCACAGGAGCATGGATCTAAGACAGAGGTTGGCAAACTTTTTTTTTTGAGACGGAGTCTTGCTCTGTCGCCCAGGCTGGAGTACAGTGGCGCGATCTTGGCTCACTGCAAGCTCCGCCTCCCGGGTTCACGCCATTCTCCTGCCTCAGCCTCCCGAGGAGCTGGGACTACAGGCGCCCGCCACCACGCCTGGCTAATTTTTTGTATTTTTAGTAGAGACGGGGTTTCACTGTGTTAGCCAGGATGGTCTCCATCTCCTGACCTTGTGATCCACCCGCCTCGGCCTCCCAAAGTGCTGGGACTACAGGCGTGTGCCACCGCACCCAGCTGAGGTTGGCAAGCTTTTCTATAAAGGGCCAGCTTTTCTGTAAGGGACCAACTTGTCGATATTTTAGGCTTTGTGGGCCCTGCAGTCACTGCTGCAGCTACGCAACTCTGCTGTGGTGCCACGAAAGCAGCCACGGACAGCACATCCCCAAGTGGCACAGCCACGCTCCAACTGACTTTATTTGTAAACATGAGATCTGGATTTCATATACTTTTCACATGTCACAAAATATTATTATTATTTGGACTTTTTCCAACCATTCAGAAATGTAAAAACTGGCCGGGCACGATGGCTCAGGCCTGTAATCCTAGCACTTTTGAAAGCCGAGGCAGGAGGATCACTTGAACTCAGGAGTTTGAGGTCAGCCTGGGCCACAAAGTGAGACCTTGTCTCTACAATTAAAAAATTACGGCCGGGCACAGTGGCTCACGCCTGTAATCCCAGCACTTTGAGAGGCTAAGGCAGGCAGATCACGAGGTCAGGAGATCGAGACCACGGTGAAACCCCGTCTCTACTAAAAATACAAAAAATTAGCTGGGCGTGGTGGCGGACGCCTGTAGTCCCAGCTACTCGGGAGGCTGAGGCAGGAGAATGGCGTGAACCCAGGAGGCGGAGCTTGCAGTGAGCCGAGATCACGCCACTGCACTCCAGCCTGGGCGACAGAGCGAGACTCCGTCTCGAAAAAAAAAAAAAAAGAAATTACTGGAGGGCTGAGCATGGTGGCTCACACCTGTAATCCCAGCACTTTGGGAGGCTGAGGTGGGCGGATTACCTGAGGTCAGGAGTTTGAGACCAGTATGATCAACATGGAGAAACCCCATCTCTACTAAAAATACAAAATTAGCCAGGCATGTTGGTGCGCACCCGTAATCCCAGCTACTTGGGAGGCTGAGGCAGGATAATTGCTGGAACCTGGGGGGCGGAGGTTGCGGTGAGCCAAGATCACACCATTGCACCCAGCATGGGCAACAAGAGTGAAACACTATCTCAAAAAAAAAAAAAAAAAAAATTACTGGGAGGCCCAGGTGGGCAGATCACTTGAGACCAGCCTGGCCAACATAGTGAGACCCTGTCTCTACTAAAAGTATAGAATATTAGTTGGGCGTGGTGGCGCATGCCTGTATTCCCAGCTACCTGGGAGACTGAGGCATGAGAATTGCTTAAACCTGGGAAGCGGAGGTTGCAGTGAGCAGAGATCGTGCCACTGCACTCCAGCCTGGGCCACAGAGTGAGACTCTGTCTCCAAAAAAAAAAAAAAACAAAAAACAAAAAAAACTCCTTTGAAGGGGGTAAGGGTTAGAGCACTGGGACTTTGGAGAAGGAACTTTACCCTGGCACAGCCTGGGCTAGGCAGTAAACACGATTTACACAGTCACAGTAACATACACTGGTAACTGGGCTGTAACCTTTAGAATCAACATAAACCCAAACGCAAGAAGGACTAAATGACGGTGACAAGACAGAACGAAGGTGTCATCCGCACAGACAATACAAAGCTGGCAGGAGTGGAGCGAGTGAAGGACGGAGCTGCAAGGAGGGAATCTAGAGATGCTGACTCAAAACAGACACTGAAGGAGACGAAGGGTTCCCTGCCTCCCTGGGGGCGAGGAGGGGCTGGCCGATGGGCTGAGCCAGCTGAATAAAGCATGTTGCTCAATGTTTAGGAGTTTTGTGAGCCTGTTACTAAACATAGCCATTATTACCAATTAAATTAAAACTTTCAATTAAACAGATAATACAGGATCTTGTTCTGCTGCCCAGGCTGGAGTGCAGTGGCACTATCACAGCTCAATGCCACCTCGACCTCCCGGGCTCAAGTGATCCTCCTGCCTCAGCCTTCTGAGAAGCTGGTACCACAGGTGTGCTCCATGCCCAGCTAATTTTTATTTTTAATAGAAACGAGGTCTCGTTACGTTGCCTAGGTGGGTTTCAAACTCCTGAGCTCAAGTGATCCTCCCGTCTCAGCCTCCCAAAGTGTTGGGATTACAGGCCTGGGCCACCATGCCTGGCCCAAAGATAATACTTAAAACTCATCACTTCCTAATTTATTTGGCATTTGGCTACTACTGATGAGGTTATTTGCACCCACTGTATCTACATGGTGGAGACACCATAGAATATGATTGTTCATGCAGATCTCAACCCAGCTCCATGTGCAAACTCCCCTTTCAGTGACGTTACCTTAAAATCAGACAGCAGCGTTTACACCGTGGACATCGGCAAGGGCCACGAAGCAAAACCTTTTATTTCCACAAACAGCAGAGGCTGTTACAACACTCACCAGCACACCATGGGGTGGGAGGGCATGCCTCATTATAGATCCAGTTTTATCATATATACACAATACATATGTATCTATCATGAGCATGTATTACTTGGATATGAATTCAAATTTCTAAAACTAGTAACGGATAAAGGCAAGCTAGAAAGCAGGCAGGCCTAGCCCAGCCGGCGCACTGGGAGACCTGGGGTGTGGGTGACAGGCGTCTTACCGAAGGCTTTGGCCACCGCAATGCTCTCCAGGAGGCCCATCAGGGGCACCACGGCCAGCCCGGCTCCCATGTCCTGAGAGAGGAGAGAGGGATGGTGAGTGACCTTCCTAAGGGGTAGGACCCAGCAGTGACCCATGAAAGCAGCAAGGACCCACCCCGCCCCACAGGTAACAGGAGCAAGTGCTTGTCAGCTGCAGGATCCGCCTCCTTGTCTGAAGAGGCGCCAGGTGCTGGGAGGAACACGGTAAATTCATCCTCAGCTGGAGTCCAAAACAGGAGAAGCGCCCCTGAACACAAACGTGACATCCCTGAGCTCGCTGAGTTTGCATCCAACCTGGGATTCTTTAATAACTGAGATGTCCGTTCCTGAGGACTCAGCTGTCCTAACTGACCTCAGACCCCCTGGCACCCAGCAGATACATCAGGGTAGGAGCCAGGCCAGGGGCCACCGCAGCCTCAGCCACGCCATCCTGCCTCCCGGCTCCGCCCACCTGCACCATCTCGGTGAAGGAGATCGTCCCGTTGGCTGTGGTCACTGAGAAGGGCGGGATCCGGACTGGAGGGAGCCCCTCAGCTGTCTCCCCTGTTAGGATGAAAGGCTGGTATCCAGTCACCTCGAAGGAGTACGCAACCAGGGCTGCGAAGGAGACCACCAGGGCGTTGCGAGCTAGGAGAGAAGGAGAGGTGCGTCCGAGACCCTGCTCCCGGCGAGTGTGGGGTAGCGCGGCTGCCTCCAGGTTACTGGGGCAGACATCCCAGAGGCAGGAGACGCCCCCACCGGGCCACAGTCCTCACTCTGCACTCTGGGAAACACAACACAGACATAAATGCTATGTGGCAGCATAAGCAGGTGGGACGGCAGAGCTGCAGGCTGCGGACAGGTGCACATGCCACCTGCTGCCAAGCTCCAGGTGACTGGACATCGTGCACCGCGGCAAAGACTCTCTGAAATCAGGTGGCCCAGGGCACATCCACCTCAAAGCACAAAGGAGGAAGAAACCAGATTTACCCCCTTTCCCAAACAACAGAAACAATGGCCTCCAAGATGCGGGACAGTGGACATGATGGCCACTAAGACGCGGGACAGCAGCCATGACGGCCACAGGGAAACAAGGGAGGTGAGTCTATCACTGCCCCGCCGGCTGCCTACGGTTTCCCCGATGGTCCCCATGTGTATGGAGGGGACCCCCTAGCAGAGCCCAGGGGTTTCCCTGAGTTCAGGGGGCAATGCTGGGAGGAAGTCTGAGGAGGCCTGCAGCTGGAGCTGACCGCAAGGTCACAGGAGCAGAGAGGGCAGCCGGAGACAGAGCTGCAGAGATCTGCAGAGGTGCCCTCGGATGTGCAGCAGAGAACTGGTCGAGGCAAAGCTGGGCGAAAATGACCCAAACCCACAGTGGGGAAGAGTCACAAAGAGGGTTACAAGGGACAATCCCAAGGATTCACACCAGAGTAAAAAACCCTCATAATTCATGGAGCATCAGGGACTCCAGAGGGTTTTACCTCAGCAGTGGGGAAGATTAGCCCAAGGCCTGGGGTTGGCAAATGTTTTCTGTAAAGGGCTAAATACTAAAAACTTTTTGCTTTGTGGGCCATAAAGTCTCTGGCGCAACTACTCAAGTCTGTTATTATTGCATAAAACCTGACATTGACCATGTAAATGAATGGGAGTGATTTTCCAATAAAACTTTATTTACAAAATCAAGTGGTGGGCCAAATTAGGCTTGCCCTAGAATGAACACTGCTCTGGTCCAGCTCACAAAGCTTAAAAGTAAGACCTAAATGGATCGAACTGTCCTAAGTAACTTAACTGTATCCCAGAACAAAGCTCAAGAAGATTTATAGAATACAAAAATATCCAGCACGCAATAACCTCAAACTCACAAAGTCTAGCATCCATCCAAACAAAAATTACTAGGCATGCAAAGAAGCAGGAAAATATGGCTGGGTGCAGTGGCCCATGCCTGTAATCCCAACACTTTGGGAAGCCAAGACAGGAGGACTGCTTGAGCCCAGAAGTTTGAGGCCAGCCTGAGCAAATTAGTGAGACACTGTCTCCACAAAAAATAAAAAATTAGTTGAGCATGGTGGCATATGCCTATAGTCCCAGCTACTTGGGGGGCTGAGGTGAGATGATAACTTGAGCCTGGGAGGTTGAGGCTATAGTGAACCATGATCATGCCACTGTACTCTAGCCTGGGTGACACAGTGAGACCCTGTCTCAAAAAATAAAAATAAAAAATAAAAAAAAGACCCAAAAGTAACATAGTTAAAGATGACAGAATTAACAGGACATTAAAAGAGTAACTGTAACCAAATGTAATTTAGTTAATAGGACATTAAAAGAATAACTGTAACCAAATTCCATATACTTAAAAAAAAAACAGAGGAAAGATTGCAACTGTTAAGTAAAGATGTAGAAAATACATTTTAAAAGATTCAAATTGAGGCTGGGCACGGTAGCTCACGCCTGTAATCCCAGCACTTTGGGAGGCCGAGGCAGCTGAATCACCTGAAGTCAGGAATTCGAGACTGGCCCAGCCAACACAGTGAAGCTCTGTCTTTACTAAAAATACAAAAATTAGCTGGGCATGGTGGTGGATGCCTATAATCCCAGCTACCTGGGAGGCTGAGGCAGGAAAACCACTTGAAGCCGGGAGGCAGAGGTTACAGTGAGCCAAGACCGCGCCATTGCACTCCAGCCTGGACAACAGAGCGAAACTCCATCTTAAAAAAAAAAAAAAAGAAAAAAAAAGATTCAAACTGGATTTCTAGAAATGAAAACCACAGTGTCTGAGACGGAACAAGCACTTGGTGCAATTACAACAGCTGAGACATTACAGAAAAAAAAGACTAAAATGTAGCAGCAGAAACTATCCAAAATGAAACACACAAAGGAGAAGGCTGAAAATCCCAAGTGAGCTGTGGGAACACCTTCGAGGTGCCTGAAATACAGACAGGGGATTCTGCAAAGAAAGTCTGTGGAATCGCATAGGGGGACAGTACAAAGATTTCACGAAAAGATGGGTGTTTATTTTCCAAATTTGATGAAACTGCAAACCCACATGTCTAAGAAGTTCAATGAATCACAAGCATAAACACAGAAAACAAAAAACAAACAAACAAAAAAACACTACATCAAGCCACATTATGAAACTGCCTAAAACCAGTGATAAAGAATATTTTAAAAGCAGTGGATAAAAAGGTTACATACAGAGGAACAAAGAATGACAGCACACTTCTTGAAACGAAGTGGGCCAGAAGACAGCAGAATAGCATCTTTAAAGTCCTGAGGCCAGGCAAAGTGGCTCACGCCTGTAATCCTAGCACTTTGGGAGGCCAAGGAGGGCGGATCACCTGAGGTCAGGAGTTCGAAAGCAGCCTGGCCAACATGGCAAAACCCCATCTCTGCTAAAAGTACAAAAATTAGCCGGGCGTGGTAGCATGCGCCTGTAATTCCATCTACCTGGGAGGCTGAGACAGGAGAATCACTTGAACCCAGGAGGCAGAGATTGCAGTGAGCCAAGATCGTGCCACTGCACTCCAGCCTGGGTGACACAGCGAGACACTGTCTCAAAATAAAAAAAATAATAAATAACTTTTTTTTAAAAAGTACTGAAAGAAAAAAAAAAGTCTAGAATTCTATAACCAGCAAAACTATCTTTGAAAAATGAAGGCAAAATAGACTTTCAGACATACAAAAGTCGAAAGTTGAAAGAAGACCAGGAGTAGTGGCTCACACCTGTAATCCCAACATTTGGGAAGCCAAAGTGGGAGGATCCCTTGAGCCCAGGAGTAAGAGACCAGCCTGGGCAACGTAGGAAGACACCATCTCTACAAAAAGTAAAAATAAAAAATTATCCAGGCGTGGTGATGCATGCCTATAGTCCCAGCCACTCAGGAGGCTGAGGATTGCTTGGGTCTAGGAGTTCAAGGCTGCAGTGAACTATAATTGTACCACTGCATTCCAGCCTGAGTGACAGAGTGAATCCTGTCAAATAAAAAAAAAAAAATGCTGAAAGAGTTAATCACCAACAGGCCTGCAACAGAAGAAAAAATAACATCCTTCAGGTAGAAGGAAAATTATACCAGATGGAAATCTGGATTTGTACAAAGGAATTAAGAGCACCAGAAACAGTGACTACGTGGATAAATCTAAGACTGTTCCTGCAGGGAATGGTGGCTCACATCTGCAATCTCAGCACTTTGGTTGGCTGAGGCAGGAGCATCACTTGAGGCCAAGAACCTTTGATCAGCCTGAGCAACATAGCCCGTTTCTATAAAAAAATTTAAAAAATTAGCCAGATGTGGTGGTGCATGCCTGTAGACCAAGCTACTCAGGAGGCTGAGGCAGGAGAATTACTTGAGCCCAGGAGTTTGCAGCTTCAGTGACGGATCTTGGCTCACTGCAATCTCTGCCTTCCAGGTTCAAGCAATCCTCCCACCTCAGCCTCCCCAGTAGCTGGGATTACAGGCATGCACCACCATGCCTGGCTAATTTTTTGTATTTTTGGTAGAGATGGGGTTTCGCCATGTTGCCCAGGCTGGTCTTAGACTCCTGAGCTCAGACAATCTGCCTCCCTCAGCCTCCCAAAGTGCTAGGATTATAGGTGTGAGCCACTGCGCCTGGCCTGTTATAAGGTTCTTATATCACATGAAGTTGAAGTTTAATGTATACTGTAGCAAGATAAAGATGTTTACCACAAACCTTAAAGCAGTCACTTAGAAACAAACAAACAAAAACTAAATATAGCCGTTACAGCTAATCAGCCAATAAAGGATGTAAAATGGAATCATAAAAAATAATCCAATAGAGGTAGAAGGAGGGGGAAAAGGGAACAAAGAACAAATGAGACAAACAGGAAACAAACAGCAACATGGTAGATCTAAAGTCAAACAGACCAATAATCACATTAAATATAAATGGCATAAGATTCCAATTAAAAGGCAGAGATTATGAGATTAAAAACAAATCCCATCTATATGCTGCCCATAAAACATACCATTAAACACAAGAACACAAATCAATTAAATACGTTAAAAGTAAAAAGATAGGAGGCTGGGTGTGGTGTCCCAGCACTTTGGGAGGCCAAGGCAGGTGGATCACTTGAGGCCAAGAATTTGAGACCAGGCTGGCCAACATGGTGAAACCTCATTGCTACTAAAAACACAAAAATTAGCTGGGCTTGGTGGTGCAAGCCTGTAATTCCAGCTACTTGGGAGGCTGAGGCACAACAATTGCTTGAACCTGGGAGGTGGAGGTTGCAGTGAGCCAAGATCACGCCATTGCACTCCAGCCTGGGCAACAGAGAGAGATTCTGTCTCAAAAAAAAAAAAGTAAAAAGATGGGAAAAGATATGCTAACACTAATGAAAGCTGGAGTAGCTCTCTTAGTATCAAAGTAGATTTCAGGGAAGAGAATATTGCCCAGAAAAAAAAGTATCATTCCAAGAGAAAATTATAATTCTATATGTTTTTATACTAAAAAACAGAGCTTCAAAATATATGAAACAATAACTGGTAAGTAAGAAAGGAAAATAGACAAAGTCATGGTTATAGCTGAAGTTATTTCAACATTCTTCTTTTAATAATCAACAGAACAAGTAGAAAGAAAATCAGCAAGAATATAGTAGCCTGAGATAACCAACCAGACCTAACTGACATTTACAGAACATTCCACCCAATAATGGCAGAAAACATGTTCTCAAGCACACACAGAATATTCACTAAGATAGACCATATTCAGGGCCATAATACAACTCTCAATAAAGGAAAACAGATTTAAATCACTAAGTACGTTTTCTTATCACAATGGAACTAAATTAGAAATCAATGGCAAAGTACTAATTGGGAAACCCCCAACTATTTGGAAACTAAATAACTCCCATGGTTCACAGAAGAAATCATATAATCCACTTCTAAATAATCCACAGGTCAAAGGAGAAGTCAAAATGGAAATCACAAAGTATTTAGAACCGAATAAAAATTAAAGAACAGCATATATATAAAAACTGTGGGATGCAGCTAAAGTAATGCTAGGAGTGAAATTTACAGCATTTAAACAACCATATTAGAAAAGAAGAAAGGTCTCAAATCAAAGATCCAGGCTTCCACCTTAAGAATCTGAAAAAAAAGGCCGGGCACAGTGGCTCACGCCTGTAATCCCAGCACTTTGGGAGGCTGAGGCGGGTGGATCACCTGAGTTCAGGAGTTCGAGACCAGCCTGGCCAACATGGTGAAACCCCGTCTCCACTAAAAATACAAAAAATTAGCCAGGCATGGTGGCATACGCCTGTAATCCCAGCTACTTGGGAGGCTGAGGCAGGAGAATCACTTGAACCCGGGAGGCGGAGGTTGCAGTGAGCTGAGATCACACCATTGCACTCCAACCTGGGGGACAAGAGCGAAACTCCGTCTCAAAAAAAAAAAATTTTTTTTGAAAAAAAAAAAAAAAAAGGATAAAGTTAACTGAAAATAAATAGAAGAAAGGAAATAATAAAGGCCCAAGCAGAAATCAATGAACTAGAAAACCAAAGCAAAAGGGAGATCAATGAAACCAAAGGTGGTTCTTTGAGAGGATCATAACATTGACACACTTCTAGACAGACCATTCAGAAAAAAAGACAGACGACTCGGGTGAAGTCCTTGTTCTGCCTCTTCCCAGTCGTGTGGCCTTGAGAAGTTCTGTTTTATTTTTCATCTTTCATAGGCTCACTTTCCTCACTGACAAAATGGAAAAAATAATAAACTCATTCTCAAAGCTGTTATAAGAATCAAAAGCTTTTTAAGTAGTTTCCTAAGACAATGCTACACACACTGGGGAGAAAGGAGTCAGCAGCCCTACACTGTAAATGTTTCTGAAGTTTCTGTACATTACGATGTCTAGACATCTTAAAAGACCTTTCTGGCTGCGGAGACACTGCCTTCAGGGTTAGGCAAGTACTAGAGAAAAAAGCAGCCCCAAGTGTGTCTCTGATATGCCAGCTAACCCCTCTGGAGCCATCCTTCCTCCACCAGCCTGGCCTGCACCCCAGGAGGCAAGATTTTTCTGCCTTAAGCCTGAAACCCACCAAAATTCCTCCAACTGCAAGTCCTAAGCTGGTCGCCTTTCTTCACCTTGCCTTTATCAAGAAAATCTCGATAAAGGCTGTGGCCTAAACCACAGCTTTGGCTTCTCCTCCTGGCCACCCTGGTGTCCTCTGACATGGCCCTACGTGGCATGCTGTGCCTCCTGTCTCTAGGACCTGTGAGTATAATAAACTGGTTTTCTTCCTGAGCCTTTCGCTGTCTCCCCTTGTGGCCACACCTGCCTGATCATCTCATAAAGTCATACAAAACAAGTCTCTGAAAAACATGGGGTCTCTAAGCATTTCCCAAACTTTGACTTTTTTTTTTTTTTTTTTTGAGAAGGAGTCTCGCTCTGTTGCCAGGCTGGAGTGCAGTGGTGCAGTCTTGGCTCACTATAACCTCCGCCTCCCGGGTTCAAGTGATTCTCCTGCCTCAGCCTCCCAAGTAGCTGGGATCACAGGCACACACCACCACACCCAGCTAATTTTTGTATTTTTAGTAGAGACGGGGTTTGGCCAAGCTGGTTTCAAACTCCTGACCTCAGGTGATCTGCCTCCCTCGGCCTCCCAAAGTGCTGGGATTACAGGCGTGAGCCACCATGCCCGGCTTCCAAACTTTGACTTCTAAGCTGACCCCATGAATCCCCTGGGCGTGCCCTGAAGAATACAGATCCTGATTCGGAGATCTGGGGTGGGGCCTGAGATCCTGCCTTTCCAGTAAGCTCCCAGGAGATGCCCAGTGCCCAGGCTGCTGGTCCCAGGCCACACTCTGAGTCTCAAGGTTTAAGATAACAAGGCATAGGCCAGGCGCAGTGGCTCACGCCTATAATCTCAGCACTTTGGGAGGCTGAGGCGGGCGGATCACTTGAGGTCAGGAGTTCGAGACCAGCCTGGCCAACATGGTGAAACCCCATCTCTACTCAAAATACAAAAATTAGCCAGGTGTGGTGGTGCACGCCTGTAATCCCAGCTACTCGCGAGGCTGAGGCGGGATAATTGCTTGAAACCAGGAGGCAGGTTGCAGTGAGCCAAGATCACGCCAGTGCACTCCAGCCTGGGCAACAGAGTGAGACACCGTCTCCAAAAAAAACCAAAAAACAAAAGATAACAAAGATAACAAAGCATTTTCACTATTTCACGGACAACTGAACTAAAGCTCAGGAACTTTGGAAGCTACTTTGCAAGTCTAAACCCAGGCCAGGCTGGGACTGGAAGCTGGACATCTCCACTCTAAACCCAGCATCCTCTGCACCCCACCAGACTCTCAGTGTTCACCACGGCCTCAAGTCTGCTGAACAGGATCCAGGGAGAGACCACAGAGAACAGACCAGCCTGGGCAGGCAGAAGTGACTCAAGAGCTAAATCCAGCCACCCTCTCTCTTCTGTGGCTGTTGGATTTTGCAGCCCCCAAACAGCAAGACCAAGCTCGGGTTATTCTGAGCTTAATCTGTCCCCTCGGCTCTGAGAAGGTTTGGAGTCACCTATGCTTCCTGACTTTCCTGGGTGTGCCTTCTTCTCTGGGCATCCCTGCCCGGTGCTCAGCCAGGGGACCCATGCCCATCCCGGATGCACTGAGAAGAGGCTTCCACCTCCCCCAGGGTGGTCCTTCACCTGCTGACAGCCCTGCTCCTCCACGACGCAGCCCTCACCACCCCTTTCTCAAAGGACCCCTGGTTGGTTGTGGCTCAGCCTGCAGCCTCCGCGCCTGAAGCTGAAGTTGTACCCCCATAAAGCTGCACAATTCAAACAGAGCCTGTTGGTCTCCCCGGAATTTGTTCTGTCTCCCCAGGACCTGCCAGTAGACTGTGTTTCTCCACCTCGGCACCGCCGACATTTTGGGCCGGATCACTGTTTGCTGTGGAAGGCTGTGCGCCGTCAGGGGCTTAGTGGCATTCCTGGCCCCTCCTCGCTAGTTGCCAGCAACTGCCTCGCCCGGTGGTATCCACCAAAAATGTTTCCCAACATTGCCACGTGTCACCAGGGGGCAAAACTGCTTCAGGTTGAGAACGGCCACAGCTGGCCATGCATCAGTTCTCAGCTCTGACCCTGCATCAGAACCCACCGAGTTTGGCTCAGAGTTTTAAATGTTCTAGAGTTTGGGTCGGGGCGGTGGCTCATGCCTGTAATCCCAGCACTTCGGGAGGCCGAGGCAGGCAGATCACTCGAGGTCAGGAGTTTGAGACCAGTATGGTCAACATGGTGAAACCCCGTCTCTACTATAAATACAAAAATCAGTCGAGCGTGGTGGCATGCGCCTGTAATCCCAGCTACTCAGGAGGCTGAGGCAGGAGAATCACATGAACCTGGGAGGCGGAGGTTGCAGTGAGCCAATATCACACCACTGTACTCCAGCCTGGGCGACAGAGCGAAACTCTGTCTCAAAAAATAATTAATTAATTAATTAAATAAAAAGTACATGTCCCAGAGTTTGGTGTGGTGTTTTAAATGTCCCAATGCTCAAGTGACACCCAGACCAATGACGTGAGAATCCCTAGGGTGGGACTAGGACTCCCCAAGTGACCCCAACCTGCAGCCAAGGTTGCATAAGATGTCAGCCAGAGGCCCCTCACCTGTCGTGGCAGCCCAGACCAGCCCACGGCTGAGCCGCACACCAGGGGGCATCTCGGGGTGGACGGGAGGCACGTGGTCCCGCATCAGCTTCAGCACCAGCAGCAGCAGCATGCAGACCAGCCCCAGGACGGCGTCACCTACCCTGTGGACAGGCAGAGGACTGGTCACCACCCAGCTCGGCCCAGGCCTACTGCTGACTCAAGCATCCTGCTGCTGCTTAAGCTGAGAGGCACTAAGAAGCTCCCAGGGAGGCCCAATGCCCAGGCTGCTGGTCCCAGACCACAGTGAGTATCACAAGGAAATAAAGCATTTTCAATATTTTCACCATTTCACAGACACTTAACTAAAGCTCAGGAACTTTAGCAAGCTACTCTGCAAGACCAAACACAGACTAGGCTGAGATGTTTTCTCCTAAGCAATATGCATCCCTGTTCTACTTCAAAACTCAATTCAAAATTCAGTAAGTACACAGGCTTGGGCAGGACAGGCAGTGGAGAGGCCCGGGTCATGATGATGGCAGAGCGACGTGCTCACATTTTCACTCCCGTAGCTCTCTGGGACTCAAGTCTATGGAACAGGATCTGGTGAGTGACCACAGGGAATGGGGACCAGCCTGAGCAGCTGATGCTCTCTGCAGGTGGCTCTAGAACAAGTCTGCCAAACCCACAGCCTGTGGGCCATGTGCAGCCTGGGATGGCTTTGAATGTGGCCCAACACAAATTTGTAAACTTTCTTAAAACATTATGAGTTCTTTCAATGATTTTTTTGTAGCTCATCAGCTATCATTAGTGTATTTTAAGACAATTCTTCCTGTGTGGCCCAGGGAAGACAAAAGACTGGACACCCTGCTCTAGACATTCTAGAAGGCTTAGGACTAAACGGTCAGTAAGGCCCCTTTTACATGACAGCCCGTGACGCTCTCTGACTGGTCAGGCTCCGTAATCACTGCTCCCCCATCTGGCCGACCCCTGCCCACTGGTGCCTCTGAAGAGCAAAGAACCCACTGGCTTCCAGCTGGGTTCAGCTGCTGGGAAGCTTCGGCAGCAGATCAGAGGGGAGGGGAAGATGGTCCAGGATCGCCCCCACTCCCTCCAGGCCACAGCACTGGGCAGCCATCTCTATAGCTCCCCTAGATCATTTCCTCCTCCAGCCCCTTCCAGCCAGAGAGGTAGAGAGGCATCCTGCCTTCCCGCTGGATGGTCTGGCAGGGAGGTACCCCTCATCAGAGGCTTTTCTTTTCGGGGGGGCAGGGCAGGGCGGAGATGGAGTCTCACTCTATCACCCGGGCTGGAGTGCAGTGGCGTGATCTCAGCTCACTGCAACCTCCGCCTCACAGGTTCAAGCAATCCTCCTGCCTCAGCCTCCTGAACAGCTGGGACTACAGGCACGCACCATCACACCCGACTAATTTTTGTATTTTTAGTAGAGACGGAGTTTCACCATGTTGACCAGGCTGGTCTTGAACTCCTGACCTAAGATGATCTGCCCACCTGGGCTTCCCAAAGTGCTGGGATTACAGGTGTGAGCCACAGTGTCCGGCCATCAGAGGCTCTTTAAACCACCTGAGGGAAGTGCTTGGGTCGCCTCATCTCTCATCACAGCTCCACCTGCCGTCCCTGCACCACCTGCGTTCTGTCTGGGTTAGCTCCCCACGCCCTGTGTTCTCCTCCTTAACAAATCACAGCCTGGGGGAGACACACTGCCTTCTTTTTCTTTACACAGACTCTCCCCATTCCTGTCCCCCAAGAAAGCTTTGTGGAGAGAGGAACATTGCCCTGCTCCAGCTCCCCAGAGCAGAGCTTCTTGAACTCTCCCCTGCGCGCAGACCACCGGCCTCCTGTTAAAACTGTGGCTCTGATAGGGCAGGTCTGCAAAGGACTGAGAGTCTCATTTCTTGCCAGCTTGCAGGTGCTGCTGATGGGGCTGCTCTGGGGACCCCTGTTTGAGCAGTCACCAGGGGTGGGGAAACTGAGGTGGGGGCCGGGAGAGGAGGTGTGGAAGAAGGAGCTTCCTTATAGGAGGGAGGAACAAAGCCCGGGGTACCTGGTCTCTGCAATCCTGAGGAAGGTGTGGTACACCTGCAGGAAGAACGGCCTGGGGATGTTCTGTAGTCCCAGCAGGTTCTGTCCAAACACAGAGATGCTGATCAGAGGCTATGCTCCCAAACCAAGGCCATCTGTCCCCAGCTCCCCGCCCACCTCCCCTAGGGCTGAGACAGTGTCCCCCGGCCCTGCTCCCAACCCTTATTCCCGGGGCCCATCTTAGGGGCTCAGGGGTCCACCTGCCCACTCCCAACGCCCCCTAGGGCAGGAGATCAAAGCTACCCTCGTGGGAGACAGTACTTCACAATTACTGGGTCAGTGATATGTTTTTCTCTAAATTACTTTTCTCATAAAAAACAATGTAGGTGACCCCACAGCAGGCAGACAGGTTCTACAGCTTGATGGCCAGGGGCCATGGGCTGCCTGGCCCCACCCCCATTGGCTCCAGGCCACTCAGCAGCCAGGCCCCCTGCAGTGTAGACCCTTGCTGCCATTGGCTTGAGAATGTCTCCCTCACTAGGTGCCCCGCCACCCCCCAGCTCCGCTGCTGCGGGAGGAAAAATCTCTTCGTAGTGTGCAGATGTGGAGGGCTCTGAGGGGCTTCAAGAAACCAGCTTGGGGAATCCTCGGCAAAGTAGGAGCCTCCCACCACGATACCAGCTCTGAGGTCCTGGGCAGGAGAAGGCACTCTATCCTGTGTTTTAGTTTAGTTTTTTTTTCTTTAGAGAGCGGCGGGGGGTTGGGGGGTGGGGGTCTTGCTTGCTCTGTGGCCCAGGCTGGATTCGAACTCCTGGGCTCCAGTGATCCTCCCACCTCGGCCTCCCACGTAGCTGGGATCCACAGTGCAGGCACAGCTTGCACTTTAGTTCTTTACATCGCCTGAGACCCAACAGGAGTCAGAGGGGAAAGTTGAGGCCCTGGATCCCATGGCCACAGGCTCAAGGACCCTGCCCTAAAACTGCTGCGCACAGGGTGGGTGGGGTTAGGACATCCTGGGGGGCGGACTCTGGGACTGTTGGGGTAGGGTCTTCTGTCCTGGGCCTGTCAGGAGGACGCCCCTCCCCCCAGATGGCTGCAGAGTCCCTGGGCGGGGCTAGGGTTGCCAAGTATGAAGGCATGAACAAGGGATGCCTTCCACTCTCCACTCTCCGCTCTCCACTCTCACTGGGATCCTACAAAAGAACATTCTTGACACCAAAAATGATGTTTCCAGATTAAAGAACCAACCATGCCCTGAAACAGCATTTGCCAAGCTAACCCTGAGAGATGCGTGTAGATAACGTACAAATCACGCTCACCCACACCTAAGTTGGTCCCTCCTCTCTCAAATGGAAATAATGATAAATCTACCTCCCGGGGTGTGTTGAGAATTACACATGGAGAGTGTCCTGCCCAGTGCCTCGCACGTAGCAAGAGTGCAAAAAGTGTCTACTTTATTCTCACACTCACACACTCACACTCTCACACTCACACTCTCACACCCACACCCACTCTCACTCACTCACACTCACTCTCACACTCATACACTCACACACGCGCGCGCGCACTCACACTCCCTCACACCCACACCCACTCTCACACTCTCACTCATACACACTCACACTCTCTCACACACACACGCACACTCACTCACACACGCACTCACTCACACACGCACACACTCACACACTCCCTCAAACCCACTCACACTCTCACACACTCACTCATTCACACACTCACACACACTCATACACACTCTCACACACACTCTCCTGTCCTTGGTCTTCTCATGGTACCTCCATCAGGGAAGACTGTCTCAGGCCAGCCTGGAACAGGGCCTGGCTTGGGGAAGATGACCTGCAGTGACACAGGGTCAGGAGGCAGCATGTGACCCTAGTCTGCCATGAGGGCCGCATGGTCCCATCTGTGGAATTGGGCTCACTTCACTCCACACACACCCCACTGAGCACCCCCCTACTGCACCAGCCCAATGCTGGGCGGCCATGGCTGGGAGAAGGACAGTTCCTACCCTCGAGGAACTTACAACCCAGCAAAAACAGAATAAATTACACCCTCAGCTGATGACTGATTTTAGTACTTATTATAAATGTTTTAAAAGAAAATATAAAAGGCATGGCATTTAAAAAATATTAAACAGAAACCAGAAAAAAAAGCACAAAACAAAACCATCTAACTAAATTGGCATGGGGAAATAATTTGCCTATAGAAATTCTAGCAGCATGCTCATGACTGGTGGGGCCTGCTGGGTGTGCCCAGTGCAGGGAGAACAGAGCCACGTCACAGAGCCAGCCAAGCACACTGGCACGGAAACTCGGGCAAGAGCAGGGGGATGGAATTACCGGCCCCCAAGTTACCCGCTGTGAAATCCAACCATCACGTGACATCCCTCCCAGGAGGGTCATTTTATTAACAGGGGACCCATGAGAGCACCGCGTGCTTCTTGACCCATGGAAGACAATCTGAAACAGCAAGACGTCCACTGGCCACAGGGATCAGGACTGGCCTCAGTCCTGCTCCCGCCATCCCTGTGCCAACGAGCAGTGGCCAAAGAGCAGTGCCCTGGGTGGGCGCCGTGCCTACCTTGATCTGTCCAAAGCCGATGGTGACGGCAGCAGCAGAGGTGAAGCCTTTAATGACGGGGTAGGAAATGAAGTCCAGCAGGAACCCTGGCCAGCCAAGAGGGGACATCGAGCTGGTCCCGGCTCCACCCAGTCCCAGAGGATGAGGGGAGATGTGAGCTGGGGAAGGTGGCAATGGGTGGGATTGGGGAGCAGATACCGCAGCTAAGGACTGGGGGTAACACACCCTGTTTGGCTGTTTTTGGAGAGCAGAAAAGGGAGACTGGGGTCTGAGGCCACAGGCACTTCTCCAAGTGTCCTGGCCTCTAAGCAGAAAAGAGTAGACTAAGAGCCAAGTGCCCCACCCCCTCCACCACCCACCCACCTACACACACACACATACATACCCACACCCCAACACGCACACACACGCACACGGGGATAGACTTGAAATGCAAACAAGCAAATGCTGAGGTCGAGGGCATCCCCTTGGCAAGAAGGTAGAGCCTCACCCAAACGCAGGACCCCCATGGCCAGCTGGATGCAGCCGGACAGGAAGGCCAGCAGCACAGCGTAGGCGGGCTCATGGAAGGTGTAGAAGGAGACCAGGAGGGACATAATGGCGGTGGGGCCCAGAGTCACATCCCGGGAGGTGCCCAGGAAGAAATACACGAAGCAGCCCATGAAGGCAGAGTAGAGGCCATACTGTGGGGAGAGAGGGTGGTGAGCACTCAGGAGGCCGAGGCCCATCCACCAGCTCCCTAGTGTGCGTGTCCAAGCTCGGGATGTGTGGGTGTCAGCTGTGTCCAGGCCCAGGTTAAAGGTGCACCGCCCTGCCCTGTGGGTGGACCTGCAGTGATCAGGAGGCCACTTTTTTAGCAGCACTCAACTGGGGCCTCAGGGTGCAGACAGCCAGGCAGAGGGGTCGGTGCAGGCCCGTGTGCTGTGTCCAAGTCTGAGGAAGCATTCTTTTTTTTTTTTTTTGAGATGGAGTCTCGCTCTGTCGCCCAGGCTGGAGGGCAGTGGCACAGTCTCGGCTCACTGCAAGCTCCGCCTCCCGGGTTCACGCCATTCTCCTGCCTCAGCCTCCCAGGTAGCTGGGACTACAGGCACCCGCCACCACACCTGGCTAATTTTTTGTATTTTTAGTAGAGACGGGGTTTCACCCTGTTAGCCAGGATGGTCTCCATCTCCTGACCTTGCGATCCGCCTGCCTCGGCCTCCCAAAGTGCTGGGATTACAGGCTTGAGCCACCGCACCCAGCCTAATTTTTGTATTTTTAGTGGAGACGGGGTTTCACCATTTTGGTCGGGCTGGTCTTGAACTCCTGAGGCCTCCATGAGTCATCTCGCTGGCCCCTCCATAACCAGCTCAGTGTCTGTGTGTGCCAAACAGGCATAGGAGCCTGGGTCGGCCCAGAGACAATCTGCGTCACACACTGTAAACCAAAGGTTCCTTGGGGCCCAGGGGCTGGAAACCTGGAATCGCTGATGGTGTCTGGGATTGATACTGTGTATTCTGCACTGTTTCTGAGATATGGCTGGCAGCAGGGTCAGACGCCTCACCTGGGGCGGGAGTCCAGCCACTTCAGCATAGGCCAGCGCCTGGGGAATGGCAGTGAGGCCAACTGAGAGGCCGGCGACGAAATCCATCTTCAGCCACTGCAGGGAGTAGCTGGGCAGCCACGCCAGGATGGGCAGCCTCCTCTGCAGGGCCGCAGGGGAGCAGCAGCAGGCGCTCGGGGCCATCCCGGGGCCAGAGGACCTGGCCTGACCCAGCGCCGTCACCGAAGAAGGCATCTCTACGGTGGGGCTGGGGGGTGCAGGTGACACAGACCAGCAGTCAGAGCGTGGCCTTTGAAGAACCCGGCAACACTGGTCAGGGTCGGCGGGTGTCAGGAGAGGTCACTATGGGTCTCCCCTCCCCAGGGGGGCGAACGGCTCTAAGAGGAAGCCAACAATGTGTGCAAGATGGGGACTGGGCCAAGACTGGAAGGCCCACCCCGTCCCTCATCACCCTCTCTCCCTGAATCCCCCCCGTGCAAATCCTGGGTGCCTTCTGTCCCTCCATCCTCAACTCTCCCAGATAAGAAACTGATAAGCGATTCCTCATTGAGAAGTCTGAAGACTAATTAGGCTCAACACTTCTGGCCCCTGGAGAACCGACTTCCTTTGCCTTTTTTTCCGTCTCCCCAGGGAATTTAACGGGGAGCAGCGCAGAGAGAAGCTGGGCCCGCGGGCGCACCGTAGGCTGGCGGGGGGTGCGGGTGGCAGCCAGGAGATCCAGCGGGGCTCCGAGGTTTTCCAACTGCGCACCAAGGCGGGCTCCACCCGCTACGGTGGACTGCGGCGCTCGAGGGAGAGTGGGGGGGTCCTCCGCTCCTGAGGCCACGCCTCGCTCAGCCCCCACCTGTGGCTTTCACAGCCCTGGAGTTCTAGTTGCTTCTGGGAGGACATCAGAGGCGCCCGGTTAATTCAGGTGCGCAGCATCTTCCAGGGCCCCGGCGCCCGCGCGCAGAGCCGCCACCCTCACCCCCAGCCCCCCACGCCCCCGGCCGCTCCGCTCCGGGCAAAATCCACTCCCCGGCCCCCGGCCCCGCCCACAAGGCCGCTGGCTCCGGATCCTGGGGTCTCCGGAGGAGACCCTGCGCCACCTGACCGTCCGCGGTCCCTTGGCCCCGAGCAAGGCCGAGGGCCGCGGGGACCCGGGTAGGGACGCGGCGGGGGAGTGGTCCCCACGGGAGGCCCCCGCACTTCAGGACTCCGCGCTGGCCCCCGCGTCGGCTGCCCCCGGCGACCCCGGCCACTGTCCGCTCCCCCTGCCCCTGGTCCCCGCTCGCCGCCCTCGCGGGCCACGGACTCACCCACTCGGCGATGCAGCTTGGGGTCTCCTGGCGTCGCCGCAGCTGGGTCCGCAGGAATCGCCGGGGACAGGCCGGGGCGGGGTCTGGCGCGCACGTGACCGGGGTCGGGGCAGGGGGCGGGGCCGAGCGGGAGACCAGAGAGCCGGAGCCGGATCCCGATCCCGAGTCCGAGCCGCCGCCGCCATGAGCTGCCCCGTGCCCGCCTGCTGCGCGCTGCTGCTAGTCCTGGGGCTCTGCCGGGCGCGTCCCCGGAACGCACTGCTGCTCCTCGGTGAGTGCCGGCGCCGCCCCCCCACGC
This sequence comes from Homo sapiens, assembly GCF_000001405.40. Classification (NCBI taxonomy): domain Eukaryota; kingdom Metazoa; phylum Chordata; class Mammalia; order Primates; family Hominidae; genus Homo; species Homo sapiens. The sequence continues at coordinate 80,220,198 of NC_000017.11, read as the reverse complement.
CCACCTGCGGTGGCCCGGGGAAGTGGCCACTGGCCTCCTCCCCACCCGTGGTCAATGCTGACCCTAGTGTGCCCTGCCCTTGTATCCCCCGCTGCCATTCCCTCTCGTCCTCCTCTCTGTGCCGCCCCCAGACTCTTCACGGGTGTCTCCCCAGAGAGGGCAGCAAAGGCTGGAGGAGTGAGCCCCAGCATCCAGCACCCCTACACTTACCTCGTGCCGCCTGTCCCACCCTCCTCTGACCCTGCCCAGCCAGGGCTCAGGGGTCCACGGATCTCAAATCCCTCTTGGGAGGGGATCCCAGAGGAGGGGCTGGTGCTCCGGTCCCCAGAGACTGCAGACAGGGTGCCCTCCTGGCTCTCATTTCCGACCCCAGAGCCTGTGTCTCAGCTGTCTTTTCCCTTATCCCAAGGGCACAGCCCTCCACCACCCACCCACCACCGTCTCCCCCAACCCCAGTCCCTCTCAGAAACCCCAGGTTCCTCCAGAGCAAGCACCGTGCTGCTCACAAGACTTCCGGTTTAGGTAATCAAGGCTCTGGCTCATGACAAGTGACAAGGCCAAACCCAAGGCCTGCGATTCTTTCCCCTTCTGAGGTCTGGCGCCCTGCCAGTTGCCCTCTTTCTGATTAATTTTGTGGTCTCTGGGCGGGGGTTCGGCTCACTGTAACATAAACAGCTCTCCTGCCAACTCCTCGCCTCCCAGAAACACAGCAGAGAATCTGCATGGACCCTCACCTGCGGATCAGAATTCCTACAGGAGGCTGTCAGAGTCCAGGCTATGCGGCCCCTGGGCTAGGGCCTTTCTTAGCACGGACTGCCATGGATCGGCTTAAACAGAAATGTATTTCTCACAGTTCTGTGGGCTGAAAATCCAAGGTCAGGGTGCCAGCTTGGTTGGGTTCCAGTGAGGGTCCACTTTCGGCTTACAGGTGGTCACCCTCTCACTGTTTCCTCACATGACAAGCGGATGGGGGTGGTCTCACTTCCTTTTCCTTTCTTTTTCCTTTCTTTCCTTTTTTTTTTTTTTTTTTTTTTTTTGTGAGACAGGGTCTCACTCTGTCACCCAGGCTGGAGCACAGTAGCACAATCACAGCTCACTGCAGCCTCAATCTCCCAGGCTCAAGCGATCCTCCTGCCTCAGCCTCCCAAGTAGCTGGGACCTCAAGTGCACATCACCATGCCTGGCTAATTTTTGTATTTTTTGTAGAGACAAGGTCTCACTGTGTTGCCCAGACTGGTCTCGAACTCCTGGGCTCAAGCAATCTTCCTGCCTTGGCCTCCCGGGTGCTGGGCTTACGGGCATGAAACACTGCACCCGGCCCTCTCTTTCTTTTCCTTTAAGTCCACAGTCCTGTCAGATCAGGATCTCATCCTTATGATTCATTTACCCTTAATTAAGGACCCTGTCTCCAGATACAGTGATGTTGACGTTAGGGCTTCAGCATATGAATTCTGGGAGGACACAGTTCAGACCATAGCAGGCCCACAGCCAAGTGCCGAGACACTCTGGGTTTGGAGAAGGGCAGCTTTCTTCCTGGCCTGCGGGTACGGAGCACAGCCCATCCCGCTCTCCCTCCAGGTTTACGTGGCTGCCATGTGCTCACACCTGTGGGTACTGTGGGGTGGAGGATGGAAGCCCAACTGGAAGGTGCCCAGCCTCCTCTGTCCATCCATGGACCACATTGCCTCTGAGGGAGCTGGGGAAAGTGTTGGTCTGGGGGTTCCCACCAGCCTCTCCTGTGGTGCCCCCAGTGTCCTCTACTCCAGAGCAGGGGGAAGAAGCTTGGTGTGGTTGTAGGAGTTCAGCGGCCTGTCCCTGTTTCCTGCTGCCCAGTGTGTGGCCCTGGGCACTGCACCTCACCTTTCTGGGCCTCAGCTGCTTTGTGTAGGATGAAAGGGTTGAAATAGACAACCTGCAAGGTCACTAGGCCTTTGAGATGGCATCAGTGAGAAGCAGCGGTGGGACGCACACACATAGAGCTTTAGACGCGCCCTGGGCGAGGCTCTCCTGCCCTCTGCCCCATGCGGTTTCCGCTGAGCCCAGAATTGCCCAGCAGTTCTGTGGCCATGCGCTCAGCCGCTGTCTGCCTAAATGCCTAGCCGGCTAACACGCCCACCCAGGTAGCATGCCTGCTGGGGTATCATCAAGCTTGTTGGGTCATCATGCCTGCATGAGTATCTTGCCCACTTGGGTACCATGCCTGCCTGCTAACATGCCTATGCAGGTACCAGGCTTGCCTGGGTACCATGCCCATCTGCTTATACCCACCAGCTATCAGTCCAGCCTGTGTACCATGCCCACCTGCCAACATACCCACCGGGTATCATGCCTGCTTAGGGTATCATCAAGCTTATTGTGGTATGATGCCTGCTTATCATGCCCACTTGGATACCATGCCTGCCTGCTAACATACCAACCACGCATCATCCCTGCTGGATACCAGTCTACCTGCTAACATACCCACTGGTATCAGGCCTGCCTGGGTACCATGCCTACCTGCTTATACCCACCATCTATCAGTCCAGCCTCCATACCATGCTCACCTGCCAACATACCCACCATCTATCAATCAGTCCAGCCTCCATACCATGCTCACCTGCCAACATACCCACTGGGTATCAGGCCTGCCTGGGCACCCTGCCTGCTTGCTGATATACCCACCAGGTATTGTGCCTACTAGGTACCATGCCTTCTTGCTAACATACCCAGTGGGTATGGGGTCTTCTGGATACATGCCTGCCTGCTAACATACCCACCAAGTATGAGACCTGCTAACATGCCCTCTGATACCATGCTTGCCTGATGTACCCACTCGGGTGTCATGCCTCCTAGGTAATGGAGTGCTCTGTCACGATAGCATTTCGCGCTGAGTGTTCACACTGAGCCAGTACCATGCCCACCTGGGTGTCTCGCCTTCTGGCATCACAGTCCCAGCCTCCCTCACTCCCAGTGCTGTTTCTCGTGACCGCAGCCGACCGTGCACTCTCTGTCTCCCACCTCACGCAGCGGATGACGGAGGCTTTGAGAGTGGCGCGTACAACAACAGCGCCATCGCCACCCCGCACCTGGACGCCTTGGCCCGCCGCAGCCTCCTCTTTCGCAATGCCTTCACCTCGGTCAGCAGCTGCTCTCCCAGCCGCGCCAGCCTCCTCACTGGCCTGCCCCAGGTGAGGTGCAAGGGGCGGGAGGAGGGGGTGGGCAGGGAGTAGACAGGCTGCGTCCGGGGCCCAGGCCTCTGCCACGTCTCCCATCCCTGGGATCCCGGGGGGTGTTGCCCACTTTCCCTCCCACCTCCAGGAGGAGGCACAGCCTATGGCTGTGAGTGCAGACTAGGGGCTCCGACTCACCCGCCAGCCCTGGCTGCACTGCTGTGTGTGGCCTTGAGCAAGTCACCTACCTCCTTGTGCCTCAGTTTCCTCATCTGTAAGATGGTGGGTGTAATGAGATGCCACTCTAGTTATGGAGATTGGCGGGGCTAATGCTTTGTATGTAAACACTTAGTGCGAGGCCTGGTGGGCTCACTCAGCGTGAACCGCCATGGCCACAGTGTCCCAGGAACGCCATGGTGCAGGGAGCGGACACCGTTAAGGCACACATGCTCCTATTTTACTGTGGTAAAATGCACAAACATCAACATTCCCATCTTAGCCATTTTTCAGCGCACAGTTCCGGGGCATTAAGTGCATTCACAGTGTTATGCAGCCATCACCACCATCCATCTCCAGAACTTTTCCATCTACCCAAACAGAAGCTCTGTCCCATGAAACACCAGCTCCACATTCTCCCTCCCCATCCCCTGTCTCTATGAATCTGACTGCTCCAGGGGCCACATAAGAGTGGAATCACACAGGACTAGTCCTTTTTTTTTTTGAGTTGGAGTCTCACTCTGTCACCCAGGCTGGAGTGCTGTGGTGCGATCGTGGCTCACTGCAGCCTCTGCCTCCCCGGTTCCAGCGAGTCTCCTGCCTCAGCCTCCCGAGTAGCTGGGATTACAGGTGCGCGCCACCACGCCTGTCTAATTTTTGTATTTTTAGTAGAGATGGGGTTTCATCATGTTGGTCAGGCTGGTTTCGAACTCCTGGCCTCAAGTGATCTGCCCGCCTCGACCTCCCAAAGTGCTGGGATTACAGGCGTGAGCCACCGAGCCCGGCCCCCCTTTTGTGTCCTTACTTCACTCAGCACAATGTCCTCAGGGTTAACCATATGCTGTAGCACGAGTCAGAACTTCCCTCCTCTTCAGGGCTGACTCATATTCCAGTGGATGGATGGGCCCCGTATTTTGCTTCTCCATATTCATCCGTCAGTGGGCACTTGGGTTGCTGCTACCCTTTGGCTGTTGTGAATAAAGCTGCTATGAACATGGGTGTTTAAGGACACTTGTTCTTTTAGTCTCACTCTGTTGCCCAGGCTGGAGTGCAGTGGTGTGATCTCGGCTCACTGCAACCTCCACCTCCCAGATTCAAGCCATTCTCCTACCTCGGCCTCCCGAGTAGCTGGGACTACAGGCGCCCGCCACCACGCCCAGCTAATTTTTGTATTTTTAGTAGAGACGAGGTTTCACCATGTTGGCCAGGCTGGTCTCCATCTCCTGACCTCGTGATCCACCTGCGTTGGCCTCCCAAAGTGCCGGGATTACAGGCGTGAGCCACCACGCCCGGCCGGCAGTCTGAGTTTTTAAAATGTACACATCTTTTACAATATAAAATAACTAGGTAATAAAACAAGGCCTGACCCTGTCTTTTTCACTCTGTAACGTGTGATCATAACAGAAGAGTTCAAAAGTACGGATACGCAAAAAGAACATCAAGGCCACCCTCGTGTCGGTGCACGCCCTGCAGGTCCCCTTCTTTCTGGCGAAGTCCTCCTTTCACGGGAGGGACCCATGGGCCTATCGGGCAGGGAGTGGGAGGTACAGCCAGTGTCTCTGGGTGCTGGCCACTCGAAGTCTAAATCAGGGCCCCGAGAAGGCCCCTGGGGATGGGAGGGCCGTGGGAGAACAGGTGCGGCAGGCGGGCTCTGGCTGTCCGGGGGCCCCGGACCTCATGCGCCTTTGCTGGCAGCATCAGAATGGGATGTACGGGCTGCACCAGGACGTGCACCACTTCAACTCCTTCGACAAGGTGCGGAGCCTGCCGCTGCTGCTCAGCCAAGCTGGTGTGCGCACAGGTGAGGACCCCGTGCCGAGGACAGGGCGTGGGGTGAGGCACAGAGGCCAGGCCAGAGCCCAGGAGGTTCGGCACCTTGTACCAAGGCACGCTCAGCCCCCGTGGCCTGCCCTTAGCTCTTGTCCCAAAGGATCTGGGCCTGGGTCTCCTGGCTGGGCTGTGTGTCCACGAGAACCCACAGTGCGCTTAGGGCCGAGAGGGGCAGAGAAGGGAGCAGAAAGGGTTGGGAGGCTGAAGGGACTCTGGCCAGGCCTCTCTTCCCGCCCAGGCATCATCGGGAAGAAGCACGTGGGGCCGGAGACCGTGTACCCGTTTGACTTTGCGTACACGGAGGAGAATGGCTCCGTCCTCCAGGTGGGGCGGAACATCACTAGAATTAAGCTGCTCGTCCGGAAATTCCTGCAGACTCAGGATGACCGGTATGAGTCGGGGCCCCTGCCCCTTCCCCCTGGCGGCCGGTACCAGAGCACAGCCCGGAGTCTTCCGGCGGGATGCATGGGCCCCCACGTGGCTCGAATGGGGGCAGGGGAGAAGGTTCCAGGTACTCGAGTTAGCCTGGTCAGAGGGAGAAGGGACGTGGGGAAACTGAGGCAGTGAGGGTCACAGGTTGACTTCCAGATACAGAGGAGGAGGCAGAGCCGAGGGGCTTCCTGTGCCACGTGGCAGTGGCCCCGCAGCCTTGGCAATGAGCCTCCTCCCGTGCAGGCCTTTCTTCCTCTACGTCGCCTTCCACGACCCCCACCGCTGTGGGCACTCCCAGCCCCAGTACGGAACCTTCTGTGAGAAGTTTGGCAACGGAGAGAGCGGCATGGGTCGTATCCCAGACTGGACCCCCCAGGCCTACGACCCACTGGACGTGCTGGTAGGACGGCCCCTCCTGTGTTTCAGGACGCCCGTCAGCCCTGGGTCGGGGACCCTGGCCTCCTACGAGCTTGCAGCCCTGGCCCTAGATGATGAAGAAAGAGGCTCTGACCAAATCGGATTCAGGTTCCCAACCTCGGGGCCACAGAGAGAACCGTAGAGAGACGGGGTGGTCCGGAGTGAGGCTGTTCTGGGCTAACCCATTTGCAGGAGGCCCCGGGGAGAAGGCTGGACACCGCTCCCCCGGTCTGTCTGTTCTAAGCCTGGCTCCCCACCGCCTGCCCCAGGTGCCTTACTTCGTCCCCAACACCCCGGCAGCCCGAGCCGACCTGGCCGCTCAGTACACCACCGTCGGCCGCATGGACCAAGGTGGGCTTGCAGAACCGGGCACTGGAGGGGGTGCCACGGCCGGGGTCCCCCATCCTGGGCCAGCGCCCTCTTAGGTCACGGCATAATGTGGGTGAGGGTCCCAGTGTGGCAGGCCCTGTGCTGCAGCTGGCAGAGCCCACATTGAGAGGAGGGGCCTGTGGGTGGCATCAGGACCCAACCCCGGGGCTGCCCTGATGTGGACCTGCTCCTGGGCTGGGGCCTTCGGGTGCCCCAGAGGTTGCGTGAAGACTTCAGATATTTCCAGTCACAGGACCTGGGTCAGATTTGGGGGTTTGGAGTTCCTTAGCATATGCAGATGGAGATCTTGAGGTCTGTGAGTTTTTTGTGGTTGATGGCTTACAGCAACCAAAATTTGTACTCCCACAGTTCAGGAGGCCAGAAGTTTGAAATCAAGGTGTCAGCAGGGCCATGCTCCCCTGAAGGCCTAGGGGAGACCCTGCCTTTCCTCTTCCAACTTCTGGGGGCTGTGCCAGTGCTGGGCGTTCCTGGGCTGGCGGCAGAATCGCCCCCATCCCCGCTGAAGCCTTCACATGGCCTTTTTTCCTGTGTCTCCTCTTTGTGTCTCCACTTCTTCTTTTTTTTTTTTTTTGAGACTGAGTCTTGCTCTGTCACCCACGCGGGAGTGCAGTGGCGCAATCTCGGCTCACTACAACCACCACCTCCCAGGTTCGAGCGATTTTTCTGTCTCAGCCTCCAAAGTAGCTAGGACTGCAATCGCACCGCACGCCACCATGCCCAGCTAATTTTTATATTTTTAGTAGAGACGGGGTTTCACCACATTGGCCAGGCTGGTCTTGAACTCCTGACCTCGTGATCCGCCCACCTCAGCCTCCCAAAGTGCTGGGATTACAGGTGTGAGGCACCGCGCCCGGCCTGTTTCCGCTTCTTATAAGGACCCCGTCGGGTTTAGGGCCTACCTGAGCACTTCAGGATGATTTTGTCCCAAGATCTTTATTCGTGAAGTTCCCCTTTCCAAACAAGAACCCCTTCACAGATTCCAGCACACATGTCTTTTGGGGTCAGGGACGACAGGAGGTCAGGACCTTTGCCATTTCCCTATTGGTGCCATTAATTCTTAGTGAGCTGGGAAGGAGCGGGTATAGAGGAAGCCTTGTCCTCTGGCCCCAGCTGGGAAGGAGCGAGTATAGAGGAAGCCTCGTCCTCTGGCCCCTGCCCTATTTGCTCCATGGGACAGACACGAGATTCCGGAGAACTCAAAAGCCGGCGGGCACCAGGGAGCAGCTGCCTGGGGGTGACACAGAAGTGCCAAGGGATGGCTGGAGTCCCTGGAGGCCCATTCGAGGCCTGCTCAGGGAATGGGAGCTGGGCGGAGCTGGGCAAGAGCTGGGCAAGAGCCAGGGCCATTGGGAAGAACTACAGGGTGCTTTCGAATCCGGAAAGCGCTGGAGCCCAGCGGCCGGATGCAGCAGCAGGTGGGTCTACACACACCACCCGCTGCCTCCCTCCGTGTCTGCGGCTGAGCTCTGCTTCTCGGCCCCTCACCACAGGAGTTGGACTGGTGCTCCAGGAGCTGCGTGACGCCGGTGTCCTGAACGACACACTGGTGATCTTCACGTCCGACAACGGGATCCCCTTCCCCAGCGGCAGGACCAACCTGTACTGGCCGGGCACTGCTGAACCCTTACTGGTGTCATCCCCGGAGCACCCAAAACGCTGGGGCCAAGTCAGCGAGGCCTACGTGAGCCTCCTAGGTATGCCTTTGTCTGTCTCCGTCAGGAAAGGTGTGGGAGTGGATCTGGGACGGGGCCATGACCTGTCAGATGCTGCTCCACACCCATTACCTAATGTGGCTCTCATATCATCTGGGTGAGGAAGGGACTGTCACTCCCACTCTACAGAGGAAAAGAATGAGGCTCAGAGAGGTGAAGTAAGCTGCTCAGGATTGCACAGCTGGTAAGCACTAAGCTAGGATTCTCGCCTGGATCCTGCTGCTTTCAAAACCATTGCCTTTTCCCCGCCTACCTCCGATGAGCTTCAGAATCACCTGGGATGCTTGTTAATATCCAAATTGCAAATCCCAGGGTGTCCGATTCAGTAGATCTTGGCGGGCTCAAGAATTTGCATGTCTGACAAGTTCCCAGGTGATGCCGATACTGTGGGCCTGGGGACCCCTCTCTGAGCATCCGTGCACCCCATCCTGCCTTCCTGGGGGACCCAAAGCACCTCATGACCCTGCTCATTCCTAAAAAGACCTAGGACATCTAGTCCCATGTTATGGATGTGCAGACAAAGACACGGGTGCAGGAAGACTTTGTGAGGGGCTCGGGGTGACCCCTTCGGCACAGGGCAGAGGCTCGTGTGTCCTGCCCACTGCCTGGCAGAGCCTCCAGGTGGGGTGGGCCCGGGACAGCAGGAAACTCAGGTTCCCTTTCCCTCCGAGCTCGCGGCCCACATCTCTCTTGGGGCCCACATCTCTCTCTGGCCCCAAATGATGAGCCAGGAGCACTGTGGCCACACCCACCACAGGGGCTGGAGTACACGAGCTACCAAAAAGGAGACTTCTTTTCCAGTCCATGGGATTTTAGAAGGATCCTAAATGTCACCGAATCAGGGCCTCTTGTTATACCATTCAAGGCACTGAGGCCCAGAGAGATGACGTGGCGGTGAGAGGTGTCGGCTCGACAAGGCACCTCCCGCTGCTGATTGGATTGGAGAAGGGAGCCGCCCAGAGTGGCGTAGGTTCGGCCCTTCCGAGGGCAGCTCCTGTGTGCTGAGGGCTCTGCTGCTCTGAGATGCCGCGTCCCTTCCAGACCTCACGCCCACCATCTTGGATTGGTTCTCGATCCCGTACCCCAGCTACGCCATCTTTGGCTCGAAGACCATCCACCTCACTGGCCGGTCCCTCCTGCCGGCGCTGGAGGCCGAGCCCCTCTGGGCCACCGTCTTTGGCAGCCAGAGCCACCACGAGGTCACCATGTCCTACCCCATGCGCTCCGTGCAGCACCGGCACTTCCGCCTCGTGCACAACCTCAACTTCAAGATGCCCTTTCCCATCGACCAGGACTTCTACGTCTCACCCACCTTCCAGGACCTCCTGAACCGCACCACAGCTGGTCAGCCCACGGGCTGGTACAAGGACCTCCGTCATTACTACTACCGGGCGCGCTGGGAGCTCTACGACCGGAGCCGGGACCCCCACGAGACCCAGAACCTGGCCACCGACCCGCGCTTTGCTCAGCTTCTGGAGATGCTTCGGGACCAGCTGGCCAAGTGGCAGTGGGAGACCCACGACCCCTGGGTGTGCGCCCCCGACGGCGTCCTGGAGGAGAAGCTCTCTCCCCAGTGCCAGCCCCTCCACAATGAGCTGTGACCATCCCAGGAGGCCTGTGCACACATCCCAGGCATGTCCCAGACACATCCCACACGTGTCCGTGTGGCCGGCCAGCCTGGGGAGTAGTGGCAACAGCCCTTCCGTCCACACTCCCATCCAAGGAGGGTTCTTCCTTCCTGTGGGGTCACTCTTGCCATTGCCTGGAGGGGGACCAGAGCATGTGACCAGAGCATGTGCCCAGCCCCTCCACCACCAGGGGCACTGCCGTCATGGCAGGGGACACAGTTGTCCTTGTGTCTGAACCATGTCCCAGCACGGGAATTCTAGACATACGTGGTCTGCGGACAGGGCAGCGCCCCCAGCCCATGACAAGGGAGTCTTGTTTTCTGGCTTGGTTTGGGGACCTGCAAATGGGAGGCCTGAGGCCCTCTTCAGGCTTTGGCAGCCACAGATACTTCTGAACCCTTCACAGAGAGCAGGCAGGGGCTTCGGTGCCGCGTGGGCAGTACGCAGGTCCCACCGACACTCACCTGGGAGCACGGCGCCTGGCTCTTACCAGCGTCTGGCCTAGAGGAAGCCTTTGAGCGACCTTTGGGCAGGTTTCTGCTTCTTCTGTTTTGCCCCATGGTCAAGTCCCTGTTCCCCAGGCAGGTTTCAGCTGATTGGCAGCAGGCTCCCTGAGTGATGAGCTTGAACCTGTGGTGTTTCTGGGCAGAAGCTTATCTTTTTTGAGAGTGTCCGAAGATGAAGGCATGGCGATGCCCGTCCTCTGGCTTGGGTTAATTCTTCGGTGACACTGGCATTGCTGGGTGGTGATGCCCGTCCTCTGGCTTGGGTTAATTCTTCGGTGACACTGGCGTTGCTGGGTGGCAATGCCCATCCTCTGCCTTGGGTTAATTCTTCGGTGACACTGGCGTTGCTGGGTGGCGATGCCCGTCCTCTGGCTTGGGTTAATTCTTGGATGACGTCGGCGTTGCTGGGAGAATGTGCCGTTCCTGCCCTGCCTCCACCCACCTCGGGAGCAGAAGCCCGGCCTGGACACCCCTCGGCCTGGACACCCCTCGAAGGAGAGGGCGCTTCCTTGAGTAGGTGGGCTCCCCTTGCCCTTCCCTCCCTATCACTCCATACTGGGGTGGGCTGGAGGAGGCCACAGGCCAGCTATTGTAAAAGCTTTTTATTTTAGTAAAATATACAGAAGTTCTTTTTCTGAACTCATTTATGATGATACCAACCTGAATTCTAGAACAGCTTCCTGATTCTTGGACACTGCTGTCAAAATGACATTCAGTCTGCAACAGCCCCAGGAGGCAGGGGCAAGGCCAGGTGCTGGCGGACCTGGGTCCTCCCCGAGCCCTGAAGGTGGAGTAAAGATGTTTGGCCCAAGAAGGGCTGGGGTGCAAAGCCAGGTCAGGGGAAGGCAGAGTCCGCTGGGCCTTGTACGGGGGTACTGGTGCCAGGCTTCTCTGGGACACCCCCACCGAACAGGCACAGGGGCCACGGGGCACAGACCCACTGAAAGTACCGTCTCCACCACGCAGAGGCTTTATTTACAAGTAAACACACTGGTCTCTGTAAACTGGAGTTCCTGAGGCATCGCAGCCTCAGAAGCTGAGAAAAGGTGGCCAGCGTCACAGCATATGTGGGCTTCTGCCTCTGCCCCGGGCAAGGGTGGCAGCGACCTTGGGGACCACCCAGGCGCCCCACCCGCTGCCTCTGTGCTTTTGGTCACTCCAAAAGCCTTTGACACATCAAAATGTAAAAGGGAAGTGCAGCCCCCATAGATTTGAATCGGGCCTGCAGACAGGCGGTTTTCCAGAGAAGTCCGGGGCCTCCGGTTCTAGGGAAGGCATGGGAAGACGTCCCTCCTGTCCCACTGCAGAAACATTCTCAGGGTTTCCAGTTCAGACCATGCCAAGCCTGGTAAAGGGTGAAGATGTTTCCACAGAAAAGTGTGCAGTTACAAGTGGCTTCACTGTGTGTGACCTGCACGTGGTGAGGGTTCAAGGTTAGACCCCAGCCAGTGGGGAGAGCCGGCCTCATGTGCCAAGGAGCCCACAGCTGTGCCAAGAGGGCCTGGGCTGAGGAACAGGACTGCATTAACAGGCACACAGAAGCCCCCACAGTCCCGGGAAGGGGCACGGTGCATCATCGGGGGCTCTGCTCCGTCCACACCACCTTCTTCTGCTCGTCGGCGATGGCCTGGCGGACACAGCTGAGCAGGCCGTCCAGGTCGCTCCAGCCGTCAGGAGCCAGGCTGCTGTATAGACAGGGCGCCCGGTCCAGGTCTCCCTCCTCCTGCCTCGCAGCCTCCAGGAGCTGCTCCTCTGAGGTGCCCAACCGCTGTAGGCCCTTCCTGCACAGGCCAGAGTTGGGGGGGGCGGGCTCAGGGGAGAGCAAGGGCCCAGGAGCCCTGGCTAGGGTAGTGATGACATGCACCCAAACACCCCTAAACACAGGTGGCCTCGCTTTGAGGGGACCTTGTAAAGAAAATAGGCCCCAGGCCCCAGTGGTGGGAGGCAGGTTGTCTAGAACACAGCCTTGCTTCCTGGAGTAGAAAGGGCACAGTAGCAGGACATCTTGGTCTGTCCCCAGGAAACCAAGTAATTTTTTTACTTTTTTTTTTTTTGTCCTTAGCCGACAAGGATTAGATTGTGCTAGCCAAGCACCAGTAAGTGGAGGGTCAGTGGAGCTGAGGCCGGGTGGGGTTCTGGCCTTACAATGGTCCTCTGAGCTGCTCTTGGGGGAGGGAGTGCCAATTTGTTAATTTACAACTTTAAATTTCAATTATAAAATGTCATTTTCCAGTGACTAGGCTACTTTTGCCCACTGTAAAAGGCACCGTCATCCTGGTATCAAGATTCTGGAGAGGCCAGATTTGAAATCAAGTTTGTTTGGTAAGCGTGAAATCAGAGCAGTTGTTGTTGTTGTTGTTTTGTTTTGTTGAGACAGAGTCTCGCTCTGTCACCCAGGCTGGAGTGCAGTGGCGCGATCTTGGCTCACCGCAACTCCACCTCCCAGTTCAAGTAATTATCATGTCTCAGCCTCCCGAGTAGCTGGGATTACAGGCGCCCGCCGCCACACCTGGCTAGTTTTTGTATTTTTAATAGAGACAGGGTTTCTCCATGTTGGCCAGGCTGGTCTCGAACTGCTGACCTCAAGCAATCTGCCCACCCTGGCCTCCCAAAGTGCTGGGATTACAGGCGTGAGCCACCACGCCCGGCCAAAATCAGGGGAATCTCATGAGCAATCAGCGGGGCCCTTGTCCCAAAGTTGTGCGGAAACGGCCCTGTCAGCGCCTCAGCTTCCTGCAAACCGCAGAGCACACTCCAGAGGCACCTGCCGTGGGCTTTGGGGGAGCCCAGGAGCCGCTTCGAAGCCCCTGCCCAGCCCCCAGCGTGCACCTACTTGAGCTTCTTTGCCATCTTCTCGTTGACAGAGACGTGGATGACGATGGGGAAGATGTCCATCCTGTGCAGGGTGCAGACACTGTCCAGCTGGACGTCCAGGAGGGCATGGGTGTTCTTTGTGGGAGGGAGAGAAGAAGTGAGTCAAGATCACAGGCCTCAGAGGAAGCAAAGGGAGCCAACGCCCAGGTCAGAAGGGCCCTCCGGACAGGCTGAGGGCAGGGCAGGAGCTGGGCAGAGCTGAATTTTGTAGAGGAGATGAGGGAATAGAGCTTGCCACTTTCTTCTCTCTTTTTTTTATTTTTATTTTTTATTTTTTTGAGACGGAGTCTCGCTCTGTCGCCCAGGCTGGAGTGCAGTGGCGCGATCTCGGCTCACTGCAAGCTCTGCCTCCCAGGTTCATGCCATTCTCCTGTCTCAGCCTCCCGAGTAGCTGGGACTACAGGCGCCCACCACCACGCCTGGCTAATTTTTTCTGTTTTTAGTAGAGACAGGGTTTCACCGTGTTAGCCAGGATGGTCTTGATCTCCTGACCTCAGGTGATCTGCCCGCCTCGGCCTCCCAAAGTGCTGGGATTAGAGGCGTGAGCCACCGCACCCGGCCCACTTTTAATTTTTTTAGCTTTTAAATGTTTTGTAGAGACGGGTGTCTCACTGTGTTGCTCAGGCTGGTCTCAAATTCCTGGGCTCAAGCAATCTTCCCGCCTAGGCCTCCCAAAGTGTGGGGATTACAGGCGCGAGCCACTGTGCCCGGCTACTTTCTTCTCTTTTTATTTTTTAATTTTTTTTAGAGACGGGTCTCACTGTGTTGCTCAGGCTGGTCTTGAACTCCTGGGCTCAAGCGATCCTCCCACCTCGGGTTCCCAAAGTGCTGGGATGACAGGCGTGAGCCCCAGGCCCAGCTGAGTTTGCCACTTTCTAAATGAGGCTGTGTGCTATGCAGTATTAAGAGTTTCCATCCCTTTGATTTTTCACTGGGAAAATCTAGAAATTGTGAGCTCTGGGGATGAGGTGAACTTGGCATGGAGCTCCGCCAGCCCCTACAGGAGGCACGCAGATGCCAGACTCGGCTTCCCGTGCCTGTGCAGACACAAAGCTGTGGTTCACGGGGAGCTGCTTTTCACGCGTTTGCGCCTTCAAACGTGGAGAGTGTTGTTAGCTCGGATTTATTCATTCTCGAACAAATATCTATTAAACATCCCCCAAGCTGAGGAAACTGAGATTCAAGGAGTTGGGAGACCTCACCCACAGTCACGTGGATCCTAACTGGCTGAGATGAGTTTTGGGCTCCTGCTGGGCTGTTGGGACCCAGAGGTCGGCGACAAGGTCACCCAGGTCTCAGGTCGGTCCCTGTACCTTTATCTCATCCCCCTCCTCTGCATTCCTGAAACCCTTCCCAGGACAGCTCCCCTGCCCACCCCGCCCTTGACCTCACCTTTTCCATGAGGGACTCCACAGCATGGCGGGTCACCCAGCAGCGGCCCCCGGACACCTCTCCCTCCTGGATGATGTCCCCTCTCTGGCTCCAGGCCTCATACTCCTCCTGGCTCAAGTACTCTACAGGTGACATTGGACGGGGCCATCATAGACCAGCTGTGTGGGGGTCTGGGGGAGTCCCATGGTAAACACCCCTGTCCCCGTGAACCCTGCCAGCACTGGGAGAAGCTCTTCTTAGGATGTCCACTTTACAAACCTGACCCTGCACACCCCGCTCTGTGCCCTGCACCTCCATCCTGAACTATCTGGACACAGCAGGTGAGTGTGGGAATGTGCGTGGTGGGGGAGGGAAGGAGGAGGGAGGAAGGGGAGGAAGGAGGGAGGAAGGGGAGGAGGGAGGGAGGGAAGGTGGAAGGGGTAGAGGGATTCCCAGGCAACAGCATACCTGCCAGGCACTTCTTAAACCCTTGGAGGAGGCACAGTTTCTCGCTCAGGATCTTCCCAACCGCCCTGGGCACGAGGAGCACAGGCCGGGGCCGGGCGGGTCGATGGGGCCGCACCAGGGTATAGGGCACCAGGGTGAGGCAGCTCTCGGCCCAGAAGCACGTGCTGGAGCCTGTGGAGGAGAGGATCCTGAGGGTGGGTGAGGCTGCGGCAGCCCCCAGCCAGCCTACCCTGCCCCGGGAGGGACTGGGTCTGCTTTGCTCACTGCAGCAGCCCCAGCACCTAGAATTCCAGGGGCACAGGCTCAGCGGTCACAGGACTCACTCCCAGTTCCATAGCCCCTGGCTGAGCGGCTCCTTTGCACGGGGGTTACACAGCTCTGTGGCTCTCCAGGGACTGCTTTGCAGCCTGCAACTTAATCCTGTTTCCTATAGGCCCAAGGGAGGATGGCGGAAGCCAGGGTTTTCTTCCTTCCAAAGGATCTGGGAGAGTGGCACCCTTCTCCTCAGCCATCCTCCAGGGCACAGGGTCCTAGCCCTCCCTCTGTCCTGTACTCCTCTCCTGAAATTTTTTTTTTTTCCTGAGACAGAGTTTTGCTCTTATTGCCCAGGCTGGAGTGCAATGGCACCATCTCGGCTCACTGCCACCTCTGCCTCCCGGGTTCAGGCGATTCTCCTGCCTCAGCCTCCCGAGTATCTGGGATTACAGGTGTGCGCCACCACACCCAGCCCCATGATTCTTGAAGACCAGATCCTGGCCTAAATGAGTGGCATCCCCCTGCCCCAGCTGACCAACTAGCAGCAGCTCCCAAAGCCCCTCACCCACTTGGAGCCAGTGGCCCCTGTGCCAGCTCACCAGGCCTCACCCTCCATCCTGCTGGGGTCCAACTGGCCCCTGTCAAAGGACAAACGCAGAGGGCTGGCCTTGGCTTTGTCCATACTGACGATGCGGACCAGCTTCTGTGGTCCCCCAGAAGATGGCTAAAGGAGGGACAGAGAAAGGATGAGGAGGAGCTGTTGAAGCCATCAACAGGAATGGGAATTCAGGGGAGATGATTGGCACTAGGGCGACCTGGGAGTGATGCAGAGGCGCAGATGCTCTGAGAACAGCCTGAGGTGTGTCTGCACTTGTGCAAGAGCCTGCAGGCTGGGCAGGGGCTGCAGACCCTGCCCTGGTTTGAAGGGGTGCAGAGGAGAGACAGGTGGGGTTACCCTCCAATCAGCAGCCCACTCTCCACACAGTGCCTCCTGCCACCCTGCCAGCACCGAGCCCCTCTTCCAGCCCACCCCAGTGGGGTCCAGGCCCCTCCCTGGAGCCTCACCTTGCGGGTCACGGTGCACTGCTGAGTCATGTCCTGGATGAGGGCTATGAGCTGCTGCTGAGCCCTGCAGAGACCAGCAGAGGCCCTGACCCAGCTGCCTCCTGCCAGGTGAGCAGGGCAGGGGAGAGCCGAGCAGGGGAGAGTGGGGGAGATGGCCGGGTGGGAGAGAAGGGCCTCCACCTAGAGCTCCACACATCCCTTTGCTGCAGGCTGGAGCGCTCCATCCTGGCGGCCATGCCAGTCTCCAGAGCTTTCAAAAGACTCCAGGGCCTCGGCCCACCCCTGGAGATGCTGATTTACTTGTCCTGGGGCGGGACCCAGGGGGTGCTGTTGAGCAGCCAGCGTACAGGGCCCCACTCCAGGACCTCAATATTCATGGTGGGTCCCTGGCCTGCAGCCTGGAGTCACCGAGAGAGCTGTTAGAAATGCAGAGTGCCAGGCCTCTCCCTGGACCTGCTGGCTCCGATCCCCAGGGGACTTGAGTTTGCAATGAGTGATGGGGGTGCTGAGCTCAACACTCCTGCTTTCTAGCACTGTGCGTTCCGTGCACTTGAAACTTGGAGCCTCCCATAGGCTGATCTAGAACAATGGTTTCCTTTTCTTTTTTTTTTTTTTTGAGACAGAGTCTCACTCTGTCGCCCAGGCTGGAGTGCAATGGCTCAATCCCGGCTCACTGCAACCTCTGCCTCCGGGGTTCAAGTGATTCTCCTGCCTCAGCCTCCTGAGTAGCTGGGATTACAGGCACCTGCCACCACGCCCAGCTAAGTTTTTTGTATTTTTAATAGAGACAGGGTTTCACCAGGTTACCCAGGCTGGTCTCGAACTCCTGACCTCAGATGATCCACCCGCCTCGGCCTCCCAAAGTGTTTGGATTACAGGTGTGAGCCACCATGCTCGGCCTAGAGCAGTGGTTTTCAATGGAGCAAGGCAGGGGGCAATGTCACTCCCCAGGGAGGGTGACCAGCTGTCCCTGCTTGCCCAGGACCGAGGGGCTTCCCTGCAAGTGGGGCTTTCAGTGCTAAGACCAAGACAGTCCTAGGAGAACCAGGGGACCCTTGGCAACCTATAGAGACATTTCTGGTTGTCACAGCTGGGGCATGGGAGTAGTCCCGGCATCCTGGGTAGGGCGGCCAGGGATGCTGCTCTATATCCTGCAGTGCCCAGGACGGCCCCACCACAGACGGGGATCCAGCCCCAAACGTCCATGGTACCAAAGCTAAGAAACCCAGAGCTAAGAAACCCAGATCTAGAATGTTCTAGAATGAACATTTCATTTGCAATATATAAAGCATCCATCACAAAGAAACAACATCTTCAGCAGTGATCTTGGCAGGCTTCCCTCCTTAGGGGGGTCTCACCACGCCCACCCTCTATTGCTGGGCAGGAGGAGGAAGCCGAGGCAGGCTGGGTGCCATTTCCCTGTGGGCCTCTCTGGGGACGCACCGAGCTCGAGGCAGCTGCTCACCTGGAGTAGTTGGGGATGGTGCCGTGCGCGGCAGTATCCTTCATGGTGTAAGAGTTCACGCGGTGGGCATGCCAGCAGCCGCAGCCCTGGAACATGGTGTCGGTGACGTGCAGGACCTCGTTGCAATGCACCTGCAGCTCCCCTTTGGCCCTGCCCTCCATGGCCAGGTTGACCCGGATGTAGAATGAGTCCCCCGAGGTCGCCACTTTGGCCTCCAGGTCCTGGAGTAGCCTCTTATAACCTGATAAAAGGGGACATGAGCCACAGATGAGCCACAGATACGAGCCTCTGCGAGGAAGGTTGCAGAAAATTAAAGTAGGAGAGAAGGAAGGACCCTCCCAGTCTCAGAAGCTGCTCTGGCACTGGAGTCAGTGGGTGGGAGGTTTCCAGCTGGCTTGGGGGCCTCCTGGGGACCTGGGGCACAGCCTGGCTGATCCTCTCTTGGCTCTGGGGGTCCCTGGCTGCTGGGCGTGCAGAAGAACCACCAGGGACTTAAGGGTCATGGAGTCTGGCCAGGCAGCTGTGCACACGAGAGGAGTGGTATGTGTACCGTCCGTGTTGACCTTCACAGACAGGCAGCAGAAGCCGTCCACCCTCCTGAGAAGCCCCACGGCCTCCTCCAGGGTCGTGTCCTCCAGGACTGCCTTGAACAAGGGCTCTGAGGCTTCGTAATCAACCTGAGGGCAAGTCGAGAAGGTCAGTCTCTTTCCCCCGGGACTCTGAATCCAGCCAGAAGACAGAAGGCGCTGAGGGCACTGAGGCGAGGCGCGGGCCAGCCCTGCCGTAGGACCACTGCCTGCACGCCTTGGTCAAAACAAAGCCACACACCAGAGCCTCTGTGGGGCCTTCACACCTCTAGTGATGCGTGCTACACATAGTGCTGGCCAGAGAGTCAACTGCCAACCCTTCCCCAGTCGAGATCGGGGGTTCTTTGTGATAAGCACTTTCCTGTCTTGAAAAAGAAAAGAAAAGAAAAGAAAGAACCTCGGTTCTAGAACATTCAAGAGCATTCTAGATAGAGGTTTCTTAGCCTTGGGATCATTCTGTGCTGCTGCGGGCTATACCGGGCCCTACAGGATGCTGAGTGGCATCCCTGGCCTTCACCTACCCGATGCCCTGGCTCTCCACCCACAGCCTTCCCCACTGTGAAGGCCCACCCCCCAGGGCTTCCACCATCCACTTCATTTCTTCTCAATATTGTTCTAAGCTTAGGAGAGTAGATATTTTTACAATAAAAATTAAGATGTGTTTTAACACCATTAGAATCTAATTGGCCCCCTTAGGATATCGGGACTATCTCCCTGAACATCGTCAAGGGGCTCTGTTGCTTGAACTACCTCAGAGCTGATAATTGGGAACCTTAAGAGCAGGGTTCCCCAACCCCTGGGCCACATACTGGTACTGGTCCATGGTCCATCAGGACCCGGGTCACACAGCAGGAGGGGCGTGGTGGGCAAGTGAGCATTACGGCCTCAGCTCCACCTCCTGTCAGCTCAGCACAGCAGTAGATTCTCAGAGGAGCATGAGCCCTATCGTGAACTGTGCAAGTGAGGGATCTAGGTTTCACGCTCCTTATGAGAATCTAATTCCTGATGATCTGTTACCGTCTCCCATCACCCCCAGATGGGACCGTCTAGTTGCAGGAAAACAAGCTCAGGGCTCCCACTGATTCTGAATTATGGTTCAGTGTATGATTCTTTCATTACATATTACAGTGTAATAATAATAGAAATAAAGTGTACAATCAATGTAACGTGCTTGAATCATCCCAAAACCATCCCCCACAACCCGGTCTGTGGAAAAGTTGTCTTCCATGAAGCCGGTCTCTGGTGCCAAAAAGGTTGGGGACTGCTGCTTAAGAGGACAACTAGAAATGTAAAGAAGGGCTGGGCATGGTGGCTGATGCCTGTAATCCCAGCACTTTAGGAGGCTGAGGTGGGTGGATCACTTGAGGTCAGGAGTTCGAGATCAGCCTGGCCAACATGGTGAAGCCCTGTCTCTACTAAAAATACAAAAGTTAGCCGGGTGTGGTGGCGGGCACCTGTAATCCCAGCTACATGGGAGGCTGAGGCAAGAGAATCGCTTGAACCCAGGGGGTGGAGGTTGCAGTGGGCCAAGATCGAGCCACTGCACTCCAGCCTGGGCGACAGAGCAAGACTCTGTCTCAAAAAAAAAAAAAAAAAAAAAAAAATGACATGTAAAGAAAGGCTTCCCGGGTCATGTGGAGGACGTGAAGGACGCTTGAATTAGGTGCTCCATGTGCTATCATTGGAGCCCTAGGGGAGCTCAGCATTTGGACAGCCTGTTCCAAGGGGGCAGTGAGGGGTGCATGGAACACTCCTGCCTGAGGGGTTCAGACGCATCCTCTCCCCGCCTCTGTGCTCACCTTCCCACCCCAGAGCCCCCATCCCCAGTCCCCTCCTGGAGGCCGCAGGGTGAGCCTCTGGAATGAGGTGAAGCCCATCTTGCACATTTCTTGGTTTAAAATTTTTTTCATATTAAGAAAGCACTGTGCTTTCCTTTTTCTTTTCTTTTTTTCTTTTTTGAGACCGAGTCTCACTCTGTCACCCAGGCTGGAGTGCAGTGGCACCATCTCAGCTCACTGCAACCTCCGCCTCCCAGGTTCAAGTGATTCTCCTGCCTCAGCCTCCTGAGTAGCTGGGATTATAGATACCAGCTATTTTTTTTTTTTTTTTGTATTTTTAGTAGAAACGGGGTTTCACCATGTTGTCCAGGCTGGTCTCAAACTCCTAACCTCAGGTGATCTGCCTGCTCCAGCCTCCCAAAGTGCTGGGATTACAGGCATAAGCCACCGTGCCTGGCCTTTTTTTTTCTTTTCTTTTTTTTTTTTTTTTTTTTGAGACAAGGCTTTGCTCTGTCACCCAGGCTCGAGTGCAGTGGTGCAATCTTAGCTCATTGCAGCCTCAATCTCCTGGGCTCAGGCATCTGAGTAGCTAGGACTACAGGCATGTACCACTGTGCCCAGAAGTTTTTTTTTTTCCTAAAGTTTAATAATTCTGCTTTTAGGCCACATCAAAGTCACCCCCTGACCATGCAGGCGCCCACCACCACACCTGGCTAATTTTTGCATTTTTAGTAGAGACGGGGTTTCGCCGTGTTGGCCAGGCTGGTCTTGAACTTCTGACCTCAAGTGATCTGCCTGCCTCAGCCTTCTGCTGGGATTACAGGCGTGAGCCACCACACCTGGCCAGGTTGTATATTTGTGTCCATTTATCTTCTCAGCAGTTTTGTGCGTTTCGTAACAACAACAAAAAAAAGTTTTAGAAAATGTCCCCAAATTAGCCGGGCACGGTAGCGCATGCTTGTGGTCTGGTCCCAGCTACTTAAGAGGCTGAGGTGGGAGGATCAATCGAGCCTGGGGAGGTCGAGGCTGCAGTGAGCTGTGATCGCACCGCAGCACTCTAGCCTGGGTGACAGAGTGAGACCCTGTTTCAAAACAACAAACAAAAAAAAAGAAAGAAAAGAAATGCCCCAGTGGTTAAAATAGTGAATTTTATGTCACGTGTATTTTACTGTACACACCCAAAGTGACCACCCAGAGCAGCCCTGTCAAGGGGCCTCATGCAAAGACCCCTGGTCAGAAGCGCCGCATGGCAGCAGCACCACGGGTGACATGCTGGGTTCTGCACGGCACGACTCTCATCTATAAATGAGCAGAACGCTTTACGTCAGCCCAGGAAAGAGCAGAGGCCCAGCCCAGAGTGGATCTGCATCGTCTGGGGGAGGTGAAGTCTGCCTGGGTCACCCCACCCGCTGCCACTGTCCCCATGAGGAGCCCGGGGGACAGGAGGGGCCTCGCACGGCTCACCATCACAATCTGGGTGCCCGGGCGCAAGGCCATCTGGTCCGCCGCCGAGCCCGGGGTGACCCGGTGGATGAAGATGCCCGTGAGGTTCCCGCCGATGACGCTGATCTGCTCCAGCAATGCATCCCCCTGGAACGCCAGCATGGTGACCTGGCTCAGGATCCTGCGGGCTGGCCTCCGCCGCATGAGGACGCCGCTGCAGGCCGGGAGACGACCGGCTTGTGCACTGCCCAGAGCAGGAGAGCCGGCAAGGCCACCTCCCCATTGCTTCCCTCTGGCCCCAGTGTTCTGGAATTCTCCTCCCCCTCCATGGCCCCATGTGCTTGGAAAGGCTGTTGCCTCCCATTGGTAATAGGACACTCACCCTCTGCTCTGCCACTCCCTGGCCCTGGTTCCCCAGCCAGCCTCGGAGGATTCCCACCTGCTGCTTACCTCTCCGAGACATCAAGCCTTCCAGGGGAGACTGGCTGCAGGCTGCTTTCCAGCTGCGGAAGGTCTGGGAGGAAGCCAAGAGCTCACAGATCTTGGTCACCCCACTGCTGATGGGGCGTCCTGTAACCTCCTGTAACCTCAGCCCCTTCTTCACAGATCTTGGTCACCCCACTGCTGATGGGGCGTCCTGTAACCTCCTGTAACCTCAGCCCCTTCTCCCTCAGCCTCAGGCCCCACTGCCTGTTCCATCCTTTGTGCTGAGGCTGAACTTTCTCTTCCTCCACCCCTTCCTCAATGCTTGGGACCTTGATTTCATCTTTCCTAAAATCACTGTAACTAGTGAGGAGCTGCAACTGGGAGGGTCTGACCACCACATGCTATTTTGTGATATTTGAATGAGTTGCCAACATTTGAAAGACAGGGAGGTTTCACCTAAAATCTGGATTTCTGGCTTCACTTGAAAAAATATCTGCTGTAACCCTGGGGCTGCATTTCCGCACTGACCTGTATTTCTGCATGGACCTGCATTTCAGGACTGGCCTGCATTACTGCATTGACCTCCATGTCTGCGTGGGCCTGCACTGCACTGGCCTGTCTTTCTTTCTTTCTTTCTTTCTTTTTTTTTTTTTTGAGACAGAGTCTCACTCTGTCGCCCAGGCTGGAGTACAGTGCCGTGATCTCAGCTCACTGCAACCTCCGCCTCCCGGGTTCAAGCAATTCTTCTGCCTCAGCCTCCTGAGTAGCTGGGACTAGAGGCATGTGCCACCACGCCCAGATAATTTTTGTATTTTTAGTAGATACGGGAGTTCACCATGTTGACCAGGCTGGTCTCGAACTCCTGACCTCATGATCCACCCACTTTGGCCTCCCAAAGTGCTGGGATTACAGGCATGAGCCACCACACCCGGCCCTGGCCTGCCTTTCTACATGGATCTGTATTTCTTTTGTTGTTGTTGTTATTGTTGTTGAGACTGAGTCTCGCTCTGTCGCCAGGCTGGAGTGCAGTGGTGCGATCTTGGCTCACTGCAACCTCCACCTCCCAGGTTCAAGTGATTCTCCTGCCTCAGCCTCCTGACTAACTGGGACTACAGGTGTGTGCCACCATGCCCAGCTGACTTTTGTATTTTTAGTAGAGACGAGGTTTCACCATGTTGGCCAAGATGGTCTCGATCTCTTGAGCTCATGATCCGCCCACCTTGACCTCCCAAACATGGACCTGCATTTCTACCCAGACCTGCACTACTGTACTACACGGCATTTCCACACTGGCCTGCATTTCCACACTGGCCTGCATTTCCACACAGGCCTGCATTTCTGTGTGGCCGCAATCACTGGCACTGGCCAGCAGCTGCCTGCTCCTTACCCCAGACTCCTCTGCTTCCCAGCTGGTGGTGGCAGGTCTCTGAGTTGTCAATCCTAGGACTAGAGGCTCCCCAGGGTCTCCCAAGCTCTAGCATTTTACTGTACAGCCTGTGAGCCCCCGAACCAGGGAGCAGCCTGCCAGGGTCGACGGCTGCAAGTCTCACTCTGTGAACCACACAGCAGAGCCAGGGCCAGCAGAGACCTGAGAGTTCCCTAGGCCTGGCTCACAGGCAAAAACCCATTGGGATCACATTCAAAGCCAATGAAATGAGCTGTGTACTCTGGATGTATTTGAGGTCAATTCCACTAAAAGTATATGCAACCAGGGCATTACGCAGAATCCTCACAGAGGAAAAATAAAGAGGAATAAGCCCCTCTTCTCATCTCACATCTAATTTAGATATGCCTTGGGTGGTCTCTCTCGATTTATCACGATTATAAATAAAAACGTGTATGAGTCCCCAAAGATGAAGATTTCTGATTCTGCGACCCACAGAAGGCACAGGGGCAGCGCAGGGCACTTGCGCCCCCTGGTGGCCATGGGGTGAATTCCAAATGGGGAGCAAAGCACCTACTGTGTGCAAGGCCCAAGGCTGGGAGCCGGTCGCGCCGAGGTGGAAAGGATTAAGGCACCCACCCATGACGGGCCCATGGACTTGGGAAGCAGAGAGGGCCGGTCCAATCACAAACAGAAATGAGCTACAGGAGAAGCGCGAGGCCTCAGGGCCAGCGCCTGAGAGGAGAGATGCTCCCCGCAGGTAGATGTCACGCTGTGCCTCGCCTCAGCCTGGCACCACTAAGCCACCCTGCCTGCTGCCTTCTGAAACCACTGGGAAGCCCAAGCGTTACAGATCAGAGCAGGGGGCTGGGTGCTGAGCAGGGCGTGGATCAGACACAACTCCCCTGGCTCTAGGGAAAAACACAAGGACACCAGCAGACAGAGCGCAGCCGGCCTTTGGCTTACGCTGGCTGGCAGGCGGGACTTTCCCAAAGTGCAAGGTCGAGGCCAAGGTCAAGGCCCAGGGCAGAAGTTGAGCTCTGCTTCTATCTGCCCTTTCCCTGGAGAGAGGCCCCGGCTTTCTCATCAGCTCCCTGCTCTGCCCAGGGGAGGTGGACTGCTGTGGAGGTTCAGGGTTGGGCGTGCTCACCTGCCGTGTCTAGGAGCTCATAATCCAGGTGTGGGTCGCCTGCCTTAGCTCCCGGCAGGGCTCCCGGGTCTCCCTCCGGGATCTCCAGGCAGCTGCTGCAAAGCATAAGCAGCAGCAGGCTCAAACTGCATCACCTGCTCCCTCTGAGTCCCCACGCCCCAAGCACTGGCCCCCAGCACCTGCCAGCTCTGGGGCTTCGAGGGCAGGAGCTGCTGCCTGCAATACCCAGATGCCCTGAGGTCTAGGTTGGTGTCTCTGGTGAGTTGCCAGGAAGGACCCCAGTGCCACCCCAGTGCCAGGAAGGACCCCAGTGCTCTACCTGAAAGACCAGGGTTCTTCCCCGAAGTCCTCGGCCACCCGCTTGTACAGGGACTGCTGGCTGGGGGGCGCGGGGCTGCTGGAGCGGAAGCTGTCCACCAGCTCGCGGCTGGACGTGGCACTCAGGTCCGACAAGAGCTGAGACTGGAGGAGGGAGGGCAGAAGTCAGTGGGGCACGCACGAGGACACCCTGAGACTCCTCCCTTGCTCCCCCACGGTGTAGAGAGAGCCACAGTGAGAACTGACTGGAGAGGAGGCAGGAGGGGAAAGAAGGACACACATGGGGTCACATGCGCTGAGCACCTGCTGTATGCCAGACACTGGGGTCACATGCAATTAGCACACAGCACTGACACATGCTGTATGTCAGGCTCTATTAGCTGCTTGGCTTAGTTCTCACGATAAATCTGTAAGGTGGCACTGCTGTCCCATTTTACATGTAAAGTGATATAGTTTGGCCGTGTGTTCCCACTCAAATCTCGCCTTGAATTGTAATAATCCCCACATGTCAAAGGTGGGACCAGGTGGAGATAACTGAATCATGGGGTCCGTTTCCCCCATGCTGTTCTCGTGAGAGTGACTGAGTTCTCACAAGATCTGATGGTTTTATAAAGGGCTTCCCCCTTTGCTGAGCACTCATTCTCTCTCCTGCCGCTCTGCGAAGAGGTGCCTTCTGCCATGATTGTAAGTTTCCTGAGGCCTCCCCAGCCATGCTGAACTGTGAACTGTGAGTCAATTAAACTTCTTTCTTTGTAAATTACCCAGTCTCAGGTATGTGGGTATCACCAGCATGAGAACGAACTAATGCACAAAGCAACTGAGGCCCAGAGAGGTTGAGTTAGTGACTAGGGAGGGGAGGCCGCACTCAGAGTGCACACTGACAAATGTGACGTGCGAGGCGCTGAGGCCACCAGATGTGTGGGGTAGGTCTGAATCCCGCCCCTTCTTTCACTAATAAGTATTCCTGGAGTAGCTACTATGTGCCAGGTCCTTTGACAGTGTCAGATGTACATCTGAGGACAGGGACTGTCCTTGGGGTGGGGGAACCAACGGGCACCCGTGGACCAGTGAGGTGGAGTGAGGCATTCCAGGGCTGTGGGCGACATGGGCAGGGCAGGGAGGCCAGGGCGGACTCTCTGGAGGAAGTGGCATGGACAGAGGAGTGAGGTGGAGTGTGTGTGTGTTGGGGGCAGGGGGCACATTCCAGACAGAGAGAGCAACAGAGCAGTGGCACGCAGAGAGCCCATGAAGTAGGAGGCAGTCCCCCTAGAGCAGCCAGATTAGAAAGCCGGGGCAGGAGGAGAGTGGCTGGAGGGCAGCTGATCGGTCAGTTGCCCACGAGGCTGGTGAATGAGGATGGTGTGTTCTGGCGAGCCAGTTCTGAGCACCTGAGGTCCCTTCCCTCCCTGACCCAATCCACCCCTGGGGAAGGGAAACACGGCTGGCCTCTGTCCTGTGGGGAATGGGGGCACAGAGGGCGTTAAGGCAGATGCGAGAGTCGATTCAGTTGAAGGTTTGGACTGTCCTGGCCCAGGGAGGCCCAGCACCGACTGTGAAATCTTCCCCGTGTGTGCACTCAGTGTTCTGGGGAAGATCCCGGCCTCCCCCAGCTCTCTGAGTGGCCAGGGGGCAGGTGAGCCTGGGCCTGCTGCTCTTGGGCCACTGATGGGATGGTCCAGGAAGGAAACACCAGGTCCACCCCAAGGCATGGCAAAGGGATGTCAGCCTCGCCCGCCTCTCACCCTCCCTCCCTCCCGGCTCCCGGCATCCTGTGGCACTGGGGCTTTGACCCCCAGCATCCTCATGCCACATGCCCACTATGGTGGGACCACCTCTTTACTTTGCCAAAGGGTGAGGACAGATGCCAGGGTCCTGAGGCTCCAGAAACCACAGTGAGGCCGGCATCCCAGGGACCATGTGTGCCAGGTTGAATCGGGTCCCCTGGAAACTCATGTCTGGGGACTGTCTGTGCCAGGTCGAATCGGGTCCCCTGGAAACTCATGTCTGGGGACTGTCTGTGCCAGGTCGAATTGGGTCCCCTGGAAACTCATGTCTGGGGACTGTCTGTGCCAGGTTGAATCCCCTGGAAACTCATGTCTGGGGACTGTCTGTGCCAGGTTGAATCGGTTCCCCTGGAAACTCATGTCCACCCTGCAAGCTGTGAATGTGACCTTCTTTGGGAATAGGATTTCCAGACGGGTACCCTGTCAGCACTTTGACTTTGGATGTCTGGGCTCCAGGACTGTGACAGAATCAACCTCTGATGTTTAAAACTCTCGCAATAGGGCCAGGTGCGGTGGCTCATGCCTGTAATCCCAGCACTTTGGGAGGCTGAGGCTGGCAGATCATTTGAGGTCAGGAGTTCAAGACCAGCCTGGCCAACATGTTGAAACCCTCTCTACTAAAAACACAAAAATTAGCTGGGCATGGTGGCAGGTGTCTGTAATGCAGCTACTTGGGTGGCTGAGGCAAGAGAATCGCTTGAACCTGGGAGGTGGAGGTTGCAGTGAGCCGAAATCACATCACTGCACTCCAGCCTGGGTGACAGAGGAGACTCTGTCTCAAAAAATAAAATAAAATAAAACTCTCACAATCGTACCAACCTCTTCCCTGTGGGGACAGGGTGGAAGGAGGCTCACTTTCGTCCTGACAGAGAGGCCCCTGGGCTGGCCCAGAGGGTCAAGGCAGTGAGGGAGGCGGGAGGAGCGGCCGTACCTCTGTGGAGCTGACGAGGCTGCAGTCGCTGTCGTCTCTGGGGCAGATGGCATGCATCCGCACCAGCCGCTGCTTCTCCCGTGGACAGGGCTCCCTGGTCCTGGCTTCCTGCTTGAGCTGCCAAAGACAGGCCAGACAGGCTGGTTAATTCGGGAAAGGTTCCGCTTTGAGGCCCGTGGAGTTTCTACCAGGTCAGCACCACCCATTTCACCCTCCCCAGCAGTTTCCTCTCGTCAGCTTCCAGGGAAAACAATTGTGTCCCTGTCCTC
Organism: Homo sapiens; assembly: GCF_000001405.40. Taxonomy (NCBI): domain Eukaryota; kingdom Metazoa; phylum Chordata; class Mammalia; order Primates; family Hominidae; genus Homo; species Homo sapiens. The sequence continues at coordinate 80,192,350 of NC_000017.11, read as the reverse complement.
CGAGCCCATCACAGGATCACAGGCGCTGCCAATCAAAGAGACTGAAAGAAACCAGCTGGACACACAGCATTTCATTTCTTTTAGAATATGTGTGATTTACTAGTTTTACGAATAATGTATAATACACACACATACATACACACACAGAAAATTGGAGGAAGGCAAGTAGAACCAGTTAGAGAAGAAAATAAAATCCACCCGTCATCTCACACCCAGAATGAGCACAGCCTGCGTGTTGGTGCCTGCCCCGGGAGGGTTTTTCTCTGCGTGCACACGTGTGTTTCCACCGTCGGTGTGGGATGCTTGCCATGCAGGGGGTAAGGAAGGAAGGGCCGGGTGGGTTCCGCATGCGGAGGGAGGAGCTCCTTTGCCTCCCCGGGGGCCTGGAGCTGGAGCTGCCTGCCAGCCCAGAATGAGAGGCTTTCTAAGAATTCTGGCTTTCTGGGAACACGCTCCCTCCGTTACATGTAGGTCTGTCTTTCCACTCTTGGACGCTGGGCTTTTAAGCATTTCAGGAACACAGCATCTACACTGCAAATGGCTGCCTGTGGACAGCTTCAAACGCCACCTGCCACATCCATCACCACACTCCACAGGTTCCAGAACCTTCCGCTAAGCTCCCCATTCGATGATATGGAGGCAGACTCTACTTGTCTACTGGGCACCTTCGAGGTTTCACGGCACCATCCACGCGTGGGAGCCAGTGTGTCGCTCATCACAGTGACACTGGGCCGTCTCTGCAGGTGCCGCGTGTGGCCCAGCCTGGGACCCTGCCTGTCCTCCCAGTGCCTCCATGGGCCACCCTGGAGCCCAGCTCTGTCCCACTGTCACCGCAGCCCCTGCCTGGCCTCCAGCTCGGGTCAGCCGGGAACACTCACCACACCCGGAGGCTCTGCCTGCAGCTGGCGAAGCTGTGTGCGCAGCTCGCAGACCTGGTCCGTCAGCTCGAACACCTGCCTGCGGAGGGAGTCCTTCTCCACCAGGCTCTGGGAAATCTCCCTCTGAGCACTGTCCCTCGCGGAGTACGCCTGTGGGCCACGACGGGAGTAAGGAGGCCGCGCCATCACCACCGGGGAGCCTCAGCTAGAGAAGGAGAGCCCTGTTTCTAGCCTGCGCTCATCTGACATCCACTAAATGGCCCACGCTGAGCTGTGCAAACTTAAGATTCATTTCAATTCGTGTTCACATGTGCAGTGTTGATAAAACCCAGTATTTGGGGTGTACTTTCTCAGTGTCATGTACCAGGAATAAGAGCAAGAAGGATGATAGAGACAGCATGTGGACAACAGGCCTGGAGGAGTGAAGAAACTTCGTGTGGACCGAGGAAAGAGACCCTGAAATCTGGGACCAGCTGCCATCAAGGGCAGGGAGCCACGAGACTGTCCCCGGAACCAGCCCTCACCTGGGGAAGCAAGCATGGGGTGGCGGGGTGGGCCCGGCCTCTCAGGTACCTGGTCTCGCTCCTTCTGCAGCTCGCACACCTGGGCCTGCAGCGCATTCACCTTCTCCCTGTAGAGTTGGCAGGCCATCTTACTCTTCTGGAACTGCAGCAGGGTCTGTTCCTTCTCTTCCCAGTACTGGACAGAGTGGGACACATGGACCGTGAAGCTCAGCAGCTCTGAGGGTCTGGCCTTAGAAGGGGGTCGGGGAACCCAGGGGTGGAGGGAGGGAGACAGTTCTAGGGATGAAATAAGGTCAATTCTCACTCGTCTCTCTCTCTCTTTTTTTTTTTTTTTTTGAGACAGAGACTCGCTGCGATGCCAAGGCTGGAGTGCAATGGCGCAATCTCGGCTCGCTGCAACCTCTGCTTCCCGGGTTCAAGCGATTCTCGTGCCTCAGTCTCCCTAGTAGCTGGGATTACAGGCACACACCACCAGGCCCAGCTAATTTTTGTATTTTTAGTAGAGACAGGGTTTCACTATATTGGCCAGGCTGGTCTGGAACTCCTGACCTCAAGTGATCCGCCTGCCTCGGCCTTCCAAAGTGCTGACTACATGCGTGGGCCACCGCGCCCGGCCTCGCTCGTCTCTTAAGTGCTAGATTTCGAGGTGCATCTAGAAAGTTGCTTAGGCTGATTACGTCTGAATTAAAACAATGAGGGGATGTTGCATGCATAGTTGTGTTTTGCGTTTTTAATGTCCCAGAAAAACAATTTTCCCTCCCTGTCCTCTTCTCTTCTACCGTCTCCTTTCCTCCCCGTTCCCTCCTCACCTAAGTCCCTGGCTCTCCCCGGGGCCTGGGCCCTGAAATCCCCTGCGTTTGAATCACGCATCTGCCTGACCATGGTCTTAGCTGTGGGGTGCGAGTCGGTGCTTAGGGTGGCGCTGACAAAGGGACAGATGAACAGGCCGACAGATTCGTTCAGCAAAATTATGTGAGCTCGGCGTGGATGAAGGAATCTGGCTTCCCCACAGACCTGTCCGCACCCCTGAGACAAGCCCCAGGAGAGTCACAAGGGAGGAAGGGCTCACACGGCACCTGCTCTCGCTGCCTCTCGGCAGCCACGGCCCGCTCCCGCAGCGAGTGGATGCGCTCCACCAGCTCCTGTCGGCTCCCCCGCGCCTCGTCCAGGCTCTGCTCCAGAATGTCCTTCTCCGCCTGGGGCAGAGAGAGGTCAGCCTGGGGTGCTGGCTTCCCCAGAGGCCTGCCCTAGGCAAGCAGAATCCCGAGAAGATGGCGGCAACTGCACGGTCAGGTGTGTGGACGGATGCAGTCTTGCCACTCTACACCGGGCAGGAGAGAAGCCACGGAAAAGCCACCCATCATGCCTGGGAAAAGTGCAGATTCATGGCCAAGGAGAAGGAACACAGGAAGCTGGCAACCTCTGAGGACACCAGTTCCTCCCTTTACCAGGTCAGCCTTCTCCTTCAACAGATCTACCGGCAGTTTCACAGCGAGGGAGAAACCAGCAGACAGGTCATTCCCCTCTGACACTCACTTCCCAGGAAGGAGCTTATAAACAGAGACACAATCCGGGCTGCAAGATGGCCAGTGCCCTGGGCCCAGTGAATGCTTATGGAAGGAATATCTCAATAAATACCAATCTACTGAGAGGGGCCGAGGAGGAGACGCCAAGGGTCGTTGCTCACTCACTGCTCCACTTCAGAGCCCCCCTCTCTCCAGTGCACCTGAGGCCCAGAGGGCGGAGTCTTTCCAGGCAGAAAGGTTTCTTTCCCCCATCCTTAACGCGAATCCCATGCTTTACAATTGGCCAAGTCCACTCCAGAACACAGTCGCTGCAGTAAACCCACCAAGTCGGGCATTGTGATGCACCTCCAGCGGCTTTTATTTTTGTTTGTTTGAGACAGGGTCTCCCTCTGTCGCCAGGCTGGAGTGCAGTGGCGTGATCTCAGCTCCCTGCAGCCTGAAACTCCCAGGGTCAAGCGATCCTCCCACCTCAGCCTCCCGAATAGCTGGGACCACAGGTGTGCACCACCATGCCCGGCTACTTTTTGTATTTTTTGTAGAGATGGGGTCTCGCCATGTTGCCCAGGCTGGTCTTGAACTCCTGAGCTCAAGCTATCTTGCCCATCTTGGCCTCCCAAGTGCTGGGATTACAGGAATGAGCCACTGTGCCCAGTTCCAGCTTTTAATTCTGTTCCAGCAGCTTTTAATTCTGCCAATTTTGGGGTCTGGGGAACAGCAGGAAGGAAGGAGGTAAAGAGAAAGTGGGTGAGATGAGTCACTAAATTTCATCTCTTGTTCTTAGCCTCACCTTAACTAAACCACCTGTCAGAAACCCCACAGCCTGAGGGCCAAGCCCCCAAGGCAGGAGGCCGCTCTCTGCTGCGGGGACCGGAACCTACCAGGCTGAAAGTCAGCGAGCGCAGTTTCTCATTCTCCTCCTTCAGGCGGTTCAGCTCCTCATCCCCGGACTCCTGGTCGCTGGCTGTCCTCAGGGACTGCTCTTGCAATTCCAGCTCACAGGAGGAAACCATGTTGGCTCGCTGCAGCTCCTGCTTCAGTAGATACAGCTGTGCGGTGGGGAGGCGACAGGAAGGGCGATGGAAACAGCTTCTCCCCTGATCAGGAGCTGGGGGCATTTCTCACCCTTCCTCCTAATGATGCTTTTAGCACTCAGGGGGCTTCCTGCCTCGAGACTGAAAAACCCACGAAAGGGTTCACCTAATGAATAGTCCCAAATATTCAACTGGGGCTGGGAGGACAGAGGCCTTTCAGCTCTGTCTTATAGATGAGGCACCGCGGTTGAACTCCATCCAGGGTTAGGGTCCCAGGAATAGACCAAGAGGCCTTGATAACCAACTCCTGGATCTCTACAGCTGAGCAGCCGGCAGTGATGGCCAGCATGCTCCCTGGCTTCCCTGCTTGTCCATGTTCTGCTAAATACATCAAGAAAGGGAATTTGGAGTCATGGAAATCAGTAAGAAGTAAGAGAGAGGAAAGTCAGGTCGGAGGGGTAGACGTGCCTGGGAACGCGGGACCGGGGCTGTTCAGACAGCAAAGCTCCTGTGTTGACTTGCAGTCTGTGTGCAGGGCCCTGGCCTTCCAGGGACTATCCCACCAGGTCCTGCTGGCCTCCTTCCTCTGGACAGCAGCCCAAGAGAAACTTGGAGCTCGAGCCACGGGCCCGCCCTCTTCCCGTCCTGGGTGTGGCAGCCCTGGGGAGGCAGGACTTTCCCCGTGAGGCAAGCCCGGGAAGTCTGCACGTCGGGGTGGGTGCCGGTGCTCACCCCTGGGCTGTGGCCAAGAAGGACCTTTCCACCTGGACTCTCCCCTCCCGACACCCGGTTAGCACATTGTCAATTCGCAAGTTCCCAGCTCCTGCAATGGTCCAGCTGGGCTGGGCATGTCACCGTCCACAGATTCAAAAAGTAAAATCAAGTCAGAGCTGGAAGGGAACCGGAAAACATGAGACTGAAAGTGAACCAGAACAAATGAACCGAATTCTATTTCCAACAGACGCCATAACCACAACGAAGAGAGAGACAGACAGACAAGGACAGAGAGAACGAAGATACAGTGACTCACAAACACAGTGTTTGATTACAAACCCTCAGCCTTGAGCAAGATTGGCTGGCGGGGGGAGGTGAATTACAAACAAGTCCGGCACCCGTCTTAGCGGGGCTGTTAATGGCAGTGGTATGGGCAGAGTGATTCTGAAACGATTTGAGATGTGCTGCAGGACTGAGCACGGGTCTGAAGGTGCTGGTGACGCTGGGAGCAGCGTTCCCCCTGGGGAAGGAGCACACACGTACGGAACAGGAGAAGGCAAGAAAAAGCCGCAGGGCATGGGTTGGAATTAGAGGTATGGGTGAGAACCCATGATTTCTGAAGTATGCACGTGAACTATATGTATACTTCCATGCATATGAGTATGTGTGTGTACACAGACAAGTATGTGTGTGCATATGTGTATGTATATGTCCATACATGTGTGTGTGTTTCCTAGCTCTGTCCCCTGAAAGGGCTGAGAAGCAAAGACACCCTAGTAGTGATGGACACACCTACGCCCACATCTTGTTCTCTAAAAGGAGGCAGGAGGCCGGGCGTGGTGGCTCATGCCTGTAATCCCAGCACTTTGGGAGACCGAGGTGGGCGGATCACCTGAGGTCAGGAGTTTGAGACCAGCCTGGCCAACATGGCAAAACCCCGTCTCTACTAAAAATACGAAAAATTAGCCAGGTGTGGTGGTGCGCGCCTATAATCCCAGCTGCTCGGGAGGCTGAGGCAGGAGAATTGCTTGAACCCGGGAGATGGAGATTGCAGTGGGCTGAGATGGCGCCACTGCACTCCAGCTTGGGAAGCGAGTGAGACTCTGTCTCAAAAAAACAAACCAAAAAATAAAAATAAAAAAAGGAAGTGGGGCCCTCAGAGAATGGGCTGAGCCTGGATTTGGGGTAGGCCGGGTACAAGATGACCCTGGAATATCTTGTGAGGCCAGAAAAGCAGTTGGTTCTCCAAAAACAAGGGACCCGTTTTAGGACACGGAGCTGGTTGAAGGGTTCCATTGGTCACATCTGGGTCCATTTGAGACCAAAATCATTAAGGACAGTGAGAGGTCAGACCCCTGCAGAGTAGGAACCCATGAACTGCGCCAAGAACAGAGTCAGCCACGGGAGAAGGGAAGGCAGAGGCCGTGGGCAGCAGCAAAGTGGGCTGGCCTGGTCCAAAGTCAGCCAAGGGAGAAGGGAAGGCAGAGGCCGTGGGCAGCAGCAAGGTGGAGCACTGGCACGGTCGTCATTCACAGCTCCCAGGGTAGGGGCCAGCTCCCGCCAGAGTCACCACAGCTACATCCTGGGAAATGTCCACCAGGAGCAGGGTGCTTGCTGGTCTCAGCGCCCCACACCCGAGATATTTATCAGTTGCAGGGAAGAAAAGAAAGAGCCATTCTGCAGTAGAGCAATTGGCCTGCACCTTGACAAATGGTGGACGGTGTGACGTCCCCTGTGAGGGGCGACAGGACCTCGAGAGCCCTCGAGGAGATGCCCTGAGTCAGGCCAGCACCCCCTGTGCAGGGTCCCGGCCAAAGAACATAATTTCTGTATACATGTGGGAAACACAAGACAAACCCCAAATGAGAGGTCGTCTATCATCAAAGGGAAGGGGTGGGGGCTTTAAAGAGGGCCACCTCATAATAGACAAAGAAAGGCTGTGGGCTGTTCCCAAATGAAGGTGGCTAAAGAGAGGAACAGCAGAACACAGGGCCCGACCCTGGGCTGGGGGAAAGGCTGTGAAGGAGTCACTGGGACAGATGAGAAAACCAGAACACAGGCGGATTGGATAAAAACAGGGCGTCCATACCAAAAAGACTGAAGTTGAGAACTGCACTGTGGCTATATAGGGGCAGGTGCTGATTTTCAGGAAGTAGACATAAAGGGCCACGAGAGAGTAAAAGTACAAATGATAAAGCAAGGGTAGGTGGGTATTATTTGTACTATTTTTATTTGTGTGATTTAAAAATATATATTTGGAATTATTTCTAAATAAGAAGTAAAAAATTAAAAACAAACAACAAATGTCATGATTAAAGGCAAAGCGCTGGCCAGCGCAGGGGCTCACACCTGTAATCCCAGCACTTTGGAGGCCGAGGTGGGAGGATCGCTTGAGCCCAAGAGTCCGAGACCAGCCTGGGCAACATAATGAGAACCCCCCATTTCAAAAAAAATTTTTTTTTAATTAGCTGGGTATGGTGGTACAATCTGTAGTCCCAGCTACTCGGGAGGCTGGGGATCACTTGAGCTCAGGAGTTTAAGGCTGTAGTGAGCTAGGATTGTACCACTGCACTCCAGCCTTGGTGACAGAGCGAGATAGTGCCTCTAAAAAATTAAAAATAATAGTAATAATAATAAAGGTAAAAAGCAAATGCCAAAATGACAAGGAGTGCACATCCTCAGTATTTTGAGAAGCCTTACCAATCAGTCAGATCATCCTCCCCAAAGAAAAGTGAGTGAAACACACTGAGTTTCAGAGGCCTCACTTGAGAACCCTCCTGCCCTCCCCGCCTGAGTCCAGGACCAGCTGAGAAGGACAAAGGAGGACGACAGAGACCAACTATCCCGCCTGAGTCCAGGACCAGCTGAGAAGGACAAAGGAGGACGACAGAGACCAACTATCCCGCCTGAGTCCAGGACCAGCTGAGAAGGACAAAGGAGGACGACAGAGACCAACTATCCCGCCTGAGTCCAGGACCAGCTGAGAAGGACAAAGGAGGACGACAGAGACCAACTATCCCGCCTGAGTCCAGGACCAGCTGAGAAGGACAAAGGAGGATGACAGAGGCCGACTATCCCATGTCACTGCCGCAGCTGGGCAGTGGGACGTAGGCGGCCCTACAAATATGCAGCCCAGAGTGTGTCCAGACCTGCCCAGGCGTCAGCAGGATGGGCAGTTCACAGACAAGCCAGCCAGGCCACGGGCAGCTACTGGACAAGGCACACCTCGTCGCCATGCAGGCTACACAGAGGGGCCTGGGTGGCCTCCTGGGGAGGGGAAGGATCAGCTTCCCAGAGGGGTCTCAGCCAAGGCTCTCGGGGCAGGGAAGTGTTAGACAAGGAAGAGGGGAAAGGAGTTCCAGGGAGATGGACCAGCTAGTACAAAGGCCTGGGGGCAGACGACAGCAGGGTCGCGCCGGGGTGCAGGGTGTCCCCCTACCTCCTCCTGCAGGCTGCGGCAGCGTGAGGCGGCCAGCTCCTTCTCCTGCAGCGCATTGCTATAGTGCAGCGAGAGGCTGAGCATCTCGTCCTTCAGCCTCAGCACCTCATGGAAGTGTGCGCTAACCTCACGCTTCATGCGGCTGTGGTCAGCCTCCAGCTGGTGCAGGCCCTCGGCACGGGTCTCGGCCAGGCCCAGGTGCTCCTGCAGCTGCTGGCACCGCCGCAGCAGCACCTCCTTCTGCCCCTTTTCCTGGTTCAGCTCCTCCTGCAGGCTGCCGATGGCCCCAGCCAGGCACTCGGTCAGCTTGGATGTCTCCATGAGACCTGTGGGCAGATGGGCAGGTGAGCAAGTGAGCAGGTAGGGAGGTAATAGGTGGGCAGGTGGGTAGGTGAGCAGGTGAGCAGGTGGGCAGGTGAGCATGTGGGCAGGTGAGCATGTGGGCGGGTGAGCATGTGGGCGGGTGAGCATGTGGGCAGCTGAGCATGTGGGCGGGTGGGCATGTGGGCAGGTGTGCAGGTGCACAGATGGGCCGGTGGGCCGAGGCATGACTCCCATGCCCCCACAGCCTTGCCCAGACTCCCCAGCAGGCCCCCAGCTTTAACCTGCTGGTCTCCTTAAAAGCTCCTGGACCTCAAGCAGACTTGGTCTTTTGGTTGAATAAACAGCGTGACTCCCGATTTTGGCACGAGGGTTACCCACTCTGACCTTCCCCGTGAGACCCCACTGTTCAGACTTAATGACCCTCCTCGGTAGCTGAAATGCACTCAGTGCTAACTCATTTTAACGTTATCCTGAGAAAAAGATAAAAAAAGAATACGAATCCGCGTACTAGAACTCTAAAGAACATAAACACACACCGTGCTGGAACACAGGGAAAATGGTCTATTCTCCACTGTTTTGGGTCGTGTGAGTCCTGCTCCTGCTCCTTTCAATACCTAAATCTTTCAACAGCTCCTCCAGGGAAGCCTAGAATTACTCCCTGAAGGAAAATGGTGAGCAGTGCACAGAAGGCTCCGCGGCCCTGCCAAGGCCCTGTACCCTCTGGCCGGGGCCGCTCTGTCGCCTCCTAAGAGCTGAGGCTGGGCCGTTCTGGCCCCTCCAGCAAAGCCGCAAGGTTAAAGGCGGACTCCAGGAGACACTCCCTTGCCCTTTGCTTGTGTCTCTCCAAGCAGATTCTCCCCACCCTACCGCTCAGGGGTCTCCTTTTGGCACTGGGTAACTAAGGACCGACCCTTCAGAGTCAAGGCCCAGGGGCTCCTTATCCTATCCAACCCCAATACAGTGAGGGGGTTCCTCACCCTCAGAGTGCTGGGGCTGGGACAGGAACTGCAGCCTGGAGGGAAGGGGGAGTAGGGCAAATCGGCAAGTAAGCGGGGCACCTGGGGTTACCAGGAGCCTGAGGTTCCTAGAAGTGCCTGCCAAACCGTCAAAGTCGGAGCTCTCACCGCTAAAGTTACTGAAGTCAACATCAGGCTGCAGCCCGGTGACCAGGGTGTAGACGTCAGGGTTGTGGAACTTCAGGCTCTCCAGGAAGGCGATGGCCCCGTTCTTCCCTCGAGTCTTCAGCAAATCCAGCAAGTGCCCTTGGGAGGCAGAACCGTCTGTCTGGGCAGAACCCAGCTACCAAGGGGGCTGGGCTCCCTGGCTGGCTTCCCCACGGGGGAGAGGCCTGGGGCTGGGAAACCCCCCGCACATGTAAGAATCGGGAGGTGAAAGCGGTTTTCTGGGTTCTGCTGGGTGGGACGCGCCCTCACTGCTCTCACAGGCTCCCTTTACCCCCATGACCTCAGTCAGACTCGAGAAGGGCAAAGCTGGCATGTATCGAGCAACTACTGCAACCCCAGTGCTCTGGCGAGTGCGGGGGGACCGGGACGGGGTGAGGAGGTGGGTCCCTGCTTGCAAGCACCTCCCTGGCAAGCTGGTGGGTGATGCAGACGCAGGGTCCCACCACGGTGCTGTCAGCTTTGGAGCTGCGCACAGAAAGCAGAGTGGCACCCCGGGGCTGCGGGTGACAGGTCCCAGAGAGCCTCGGGGCCTTCCACGCCCAGGGCCCAGAGCCCATCTCTCTCAGCCAGAATGACCAGCGTGCATCAATCTCTCCTGTGTTTGGGGTTCGTACGCCAACATGCATGAACATTATCATGTTGACAGCTACCACCTACTGCCTGTTTTCTATGGCCCCAGCTTTGCAGTGAGTGTTTTATAAACAGTAACTCATTTGCTTCTCCTAACAACCGTATACAGTAAAGCCATTACCATCCCCATTTTTTAATGAATAAACACTAGTCAGACCATCAGAATGGACTCCAAAGACAGCTGTAGTGGTGTGAATGGTGGTTCCCCTTCAAAGACACATCCACCTGGAACCTGTCCAGATGACCTTTTTTGGGAAAAGGGCCTTTGCAGATATAAGTTAATGATTTCAAGATCAGATCATCCTGGTTATCCAGGTGGGCCCTAAAGGCAACAGCAAGTGTTTTTATAAGAGACAGGACGAGAAGAGACCCCCTGAAGACAGAGGCAGACAGTGGAGCCATGTGGGCCACGGGAAGCTGGAAGAGGTGGGGAAGAGGGAGCTGCGCTCACCGGCCCGCATGGCGCTGTTGGTGAGCCGGGGGCTGTGCAGCACCTCCTCCTCGTCCAGCTGGCACAGCACCTTGGCCTGGCGCAGGTAGGGGGTGAGGCGGCTGGGGCAGATGCAGCGTACGATCCTGTGGCGGTGGCTCTCCATCATCTCCCACAGTGTCTCCTCGTCCAGTGCCGTGAGTGCGGAGTCCCTGCGGCACAGTTCCCCCATGGCTGGGCGCTGGGAGGACCCTAGGAGGGGTGGCCATGGGGGTGGAGTTGTCAGGTAAGCAGGACCCCAGGATAGCCAGGGTGACACCGTTTTAAAATCAACTCCATCGTAAAATTAGCAAGGCGCACTCTTTGCCAGTCAGAACCCACAGTCTTGAGATGTTTACGGCAGAGGAAGCATTCCAGTGGCCATTTGCCATTCTGGTTTCTCCCTCTGTGTAAGGTTGAGTGCCACGGCCCCACCTGCTCTACCCCAATCCTAAGCAATAAAGTCACTAAATCACACTTTGTTGTGTCAGTTACAGCTTTTTCTAAAAAATTAAAGTAAATAAATACTTTTTTTTTTTTTTAGAAATTCATCTAAAATAATGGTAGTAGGCTAGGCGTATTGGCTCACGCCTATAATCCCAGCACTTTGAGAGGCGAAGGGGGAAGGATTGCTCAAGCCTAAGAGTTCGAGACCAGCCTGGCAAATATGGTGAAACCCTGTCTCTACTAAAAATACAAAAATTAGTCAGGCATGGTGGTATGCACCTGCAATCCCAGCTACTTAGGAGGCTGAGGCAGGAGGATCACTTGAGCCTGGGATACAGAGGTTGTGGTGAGCTGAGATTGTGCCACTGCACTCCAGCCTGGGTGACAGAGGGAGACCCTGTCCCGGTAAACAAACACACAAACAAACAAACAAACAAACAAATAACAGTAGGGGTGCTGCACTTTGGAAATGCTGCTTTATAAGTTCTTTATGAAAGGTAATTTTCATTAGAAGCAAGACTGTCGGCTTCTCTAGAGCCGAGATCGTGCCACTGCACTCCAGCCTGGGCAACAGAGCAAGACTCTGTCTAAAAAAACAAAAAAAAAAGTTCCCATTGTTTTCAACTACGCAGCAGGTGGTCCCTTGTTTGCAGCGGCCCAGGACAGTGACACAGAGGACTGCGCAGAGGACTCCACATGAGGGAAATGTGCTGGGGAGTGACACTGGGCACAAGTGCCTCGCAGAAGACACTTCAGGGTAGTAACGGCCAGCACGGCTCGGCTGCGGGGGGTGTGGGCTTACAAAGATGGCGAGGCAGACAGAGGGTGGACAGGTCCCCGAAAGGGCTGAGCTGCAGCTGATCTGGGGCCACCACCAGGGCTGATGTCCCAAGCCCAGGTCTGTCTGGACAGAATACACGAAGCAGGTCGCCGTTACAGCCCGGAACACCTGCTCTTCAGGGGACATGCTGGCTAGTGCAGACTCTAAGAGCTGTTGGAGGTCCTCAGCCGTCACCTGCCCAGCCTCCCATCCCAGCGAGAGATGAGCTGTGTACCCCACTGTGCCCCTGCCTGAGCCCCTCTCTGGCATCAACATGAGGCCATTAGCCCATTAATCCATCTAAATAATTTTAAAATGTTTTAAAACTGTGCACTGTTTTCAGCATATTAAAAAATCCTGCAAATAACAAATATCCACATATCTACCATGCGGATTCAACCATCTTGACATTCTGCACTTCAGGTTTCTTTTTAAGGAAATGCGAGGCAGATGGCGCCTTTTTGTTCTCTTCAGTCCCTCTTCCCTCCCTCTCTGGCCAGACATTCTAAAATCATTTAAAAATGATTTTTTTTGAGGTAGGGTCTCACTCTGTTGCCCAGGCTGGAACGCAGTAGCGTGATCGTGGCTCACTGCAGCCTTGAGCTCCCAGACCCAAGCAATCCTCCCACCTCAGCCTCTCAAGTAGCTGAGACCGCAGGCATGCGCCACCATGCCTGGCTTCTTTTTTAATTTTTGTAGAGATGGAATCTCCGTATGTTGCTCAGGCTGGTCTCGAACTTCTGGGCTCAGGTGATCTGTCTACCTCAGCCTCTGAAAGTGCTGGGATTACAGTCCAGCCTAAAAATGATATTTTAAAAATCATTTCCTACAAATGGAAGTGTGTATAAACAGTACATAGCATCTTTGCATGATACTTCGTGCAGACAGCAGCTTTACATCAACAGTGCCTTCAGTGTTAGCTGGAACTTCACAGAAACTATCGTTCTGTGCAAGGCTGTACGGCTTCTGAGGTTTCTCATACTGATACATGCAGCTTGATACATGCATGGTCCTTTAAACTGTGCACTGGATTCAATGATATGAATAACCACAGTGGACTTACGCTCCTGTGGGAGGATATCAGGTTGTGCCTAATTTTTCTCCACTGCTCACAGAGCTGCAGCCACCGCCTTTGTTAATCTCCTGGGCACAGATGGGAGCGATTCCTTACAGACCCATGAATTCCTGTGACTTGATTCTTTTCATTTGGAAGGAGAGGCTGGACCACTGGAGACAGATGCCTCTTGCAGGGATCTGTATGCTAAAAATACTTGAAAATCAGAGCAAATCAACACCTGTCATCTGAAAAATGGAAAATGGGCCGGGGCCAGTGGCTCATGCCTGTAATCCCAGCACTTTGGGAGGCCAAGGCGGGCAGATCACCTGAGGTCAGGAGTTTGAGACTAGCCTGACCAACATGGTGGAAACCCGTCTCTATTGAAAATACAAAAATTAGCCAGTCATGGTGACGGGTGCCTGTAGTCCCAGCTACTTGAGAAGCTGAGGCAGGACAATCACTTGAACCTGGGAGGCAGAGGTTGCAGTAAGCTGAGATTGCATCATTGCACTCCAGCCTGGGTGACAGAGTGAGACTCCATCTCAAAAATTAAAAGATAAAAATAAAACATGGAAAATGATCGTTGGAGAGTCGTGTGTGCAGGAGCAGCGCCAGAAGCCGTCCCAGGAGCCGGGTCTCCGGAAGTACTCACCAAGGTTCTCAGGTTTGCTTTTGCAGGAGCTCCGTGCAGCAGGGTGGGGTCCACAGTCCCCGCAGTGTCTCCAAAGCCCAGTGTGGTGCCAGCTGCCTCCTTTCTCTGCGGGCTGCTGGGTGGGACGGAGCTGGGCAGAAGGAAGAGCCTGAAGTCAAAGCAGCACCAGGTGAATTGACCGTGATTTCAAAGCCATGTGACCTGTTCCAAAACTCAAGGTTCGGTCACAACCACCGCAAGCGGCGGGGAAAAGACGTCAGACTCGGATCCGGGAAATAACTCGACGGACCTTTGACCCCTGTGGTTTTCCCAGTAACTATTGAAGCTTCCTTAGCACTTGGAAGCAGACTTCTAGAATGGACCTGGGCTTTGAACCCTAGACTACCAAGGAGAGTTGACAGGCGCAGTAGTTATCCAAAGCACCCACAGGCCTGTCTGCGGCTCCCCACAGGGCCAGGCCACTCATACCCTTCTGCTGAGTCTCCTTGCCCGGAAGGAAGAACAGCTGGAGAGGACAGTGACGGGCGCAGAGGCCGGGGTGGGCAGGTGAGGAGGAGAGGAGAACCAATCGAGGGCAGCTCTGCCTCATTCCTTCTGATCTCAGTCCTGTTTCTCACTGGAACAGGTGATTGAGGCTTGCGAGTCAGGGTGTCACTGATTGTGGCCCCCCGCAAAAGAATGCTGAAGTCTTGACCCCCAGTACCTGTAAGTAGGACCTCATTTGGGAATAAGTCTCTGCCAACGTAATCAAGTTGAGGTCATTAGGGTGGGCCCTAGTCCAGGGATGGGTGCCCTTATAACAAGAGGAGAAGGGCTGGGTGTGGTGGCTCATGCCTGTAATCCCACACTTTGAAAGGCCAAGGCGGGCAGATTGCTTGAGCTCAGGAGTTTGAGACCAGCCTGGGCAACACAGTGAGACCTTGTCTCTGCTAAAATCTGCTAAAAAAAAATTTTTTTTTTTTGAGACAGAGTCTTGCTCGTCTCCCAGGCTGCAGTGCAATGGCACAATCTTGGCTCACTGCAACCTTTGTCTCCCGGGTTCAAGCAATTCTCCTGCCTCAGCCTTCTGAGTATCTGGGATCACAGGTGCATGCCACCATGCCCAGCTAATTCTTTATTTTTAGTAGAGACAAGGTTTCACCATGTTGGCCAGGCTGGTCTCGATCTCCTGACCTCAAGTGATCCGCCTGCCTCGGCCTCCCAAAGTGCTGGGATTACAGGCATGAACCACTGCACCTGGCCTAAAAAAATTTTTTTTTTAATTAGCCAGGTGTTGTGGTGCACACCTGTAGTCGCAGCTACTTAGGAGGCTGAGGTGGGAGGATCGCTTGAGCCTGGGAGGTGTAGGTTGCAGAGCTGAGGTAGTGCCACTCCACTCCAGCCTGGACGACAGAGCAAGACCCTGTCTTAAAAAAAAAAGAAAGAAGAAGAAGAAGAGGAGGAGAAGGGCCCTAGGCCTAGACACCCCATGATCACCCCATGTTGGCAGAGGCCGAGACTGGAGTGACACGCCAAGGGTCGGTGGCAACACTAGAAACTCAAGAGAAGGCATGAAGCAGACCCTCCCTGGAGCCTTCATGGGGGTGCGGCCCTGCTCACCCCTGGAGTGTGGACTTCTGGCCTCCAGAACCATGAGCAAATACATTTCTGTTGTTTTAAGCCACCCAGTTTGTGGTAATTTATGACGGCAGCCAGAGGGAGCGTGCACAGGGGCAAAGGCGATGTGGAAATTGTCCGTCCATCTCCAGGGATGCGCTGCCAATGGGCACACTCCCACAGAAGGCTCCTGAGCTCCTGGGCCTCCACCCAGTAGAAGCCTGCGTCGCTAGAGTCTGACTCCAAGTCAGAATGATCCTCTGCCCCACTTCAGGACCAGCTATATCGTCTGTGGAGCTCAGGGCAAAATGAAAGGATGGTGCGTTTGTTTTAAAAACGTATTCAGAATTTCAAGGCAGCAATAGCGAGCAATAAAGTCAGCCCAGGGCCCCCACTCCAGCCCTGCCCTGCATCACCGAGGGGTCTTCAGGCCCCCTGTCTATCAGGATGTCAGGATGGTAGCTAAAGGTAGGGGATGTTTCCTTTACAGATGATGGAATGTCCTAAAGTTAACTGTGGCGGCGATTGCACACATCTGTGAATACACTAGAAGCATCTTAAACGGGTGAATTGTGTGCCGTATGGGTTATAGCTCTTCCTTTTTTTTTTTTTTTTTTTTTGAGACAAGGTCTTGCTCTGTTGCTCAGGCTGGAGTGCAATGGTGCAATCTCAGCTCACGGCAACATCCGTCTTCTGGGCTTAAGTGATCCTCTACCTTAGCCTCCGGAGTATCTGGGAATACAGATATGTGCCCCCATGCCAGGCTCATTTTTTTTGTTGTTGTTGTTTTTTGTAAAGAAGGGGGTCTCACTATGTTGCCTGGGCTGGTCTCAAACTCCTAGGCTCAAGTGATCCTCCCCCCTCAGCCTCCGAAAGTGCTAGGATTATAGGTGTGAGCCACTGTGTTTGGCCGTGAGTTATATTTCAACAAAGTTGTTTAAAAAAAAAAAAAAAGATCCAGGCTTGGTGCAGTGGCTCATGCCTGTAATTTGGAAGGCAGAGGCAGGAGGATCGCTTGAGCCCAGGAGTTCAAGACTAGCCTAGCAACATAGCACGATCCCGTTTTTAAAAAAAAAAAAAAAAAAAAAAAAAAAAAAAAAAAAAAAACGATCCGAGAGCAGCTGGCAATCCCACCCTGCCTCCTGCTTCCCTCTCTCATCCCTGCCAGGAAGCAGGAGGAGGGTGGGCTGAGGAGGTCCCTGCAGTGCCCGGTTCTGCCCCTGCCACCCCAGGGCCAGGGCTGGGGGTCCACAGTGCGTGGGACACCGGCACCCACTTTCCTTTCTCTTCGTTTTCAGCCTAGGCTGGGCCCCCATCCCAGCCAGGCCCTGCCTGTTCAGCGTCCCCACCACAAGCGGGGTTCCTCTCTTGCCAGCTCCTGTTCTCTGCCTGGAGGTGTCGGGCAGGAGCACGTGCTCTGGGCGTTTCCCTGCCAGCCTCCTCCCTTCCATCCCCTTGGCTTCCTCATTCCAGAATCCCTGTTCACCTCAGCTGACCCTGTGACCCCCTAGGAATGTCTCTGGCTCCTGCAGAGGCGTCTGGGCTTCCCCTCACGCCTTCTTAGAGGACAACCAGTGGGCGCAGTCGCTCTGTCACGTCAAAGTCTCCAGATCAAACCCAACAAAGGATCAGGGCAGCCTCCTGTACCTCCCTCCCCAGCTCCTGGTGAAATGAACCAAATGTTGCGTTTTAAAAAGTTAAAAAAATAAATAAGTGAATAAAGCAGCAACCACAAAATGAGGAAAGGAAAACAACTTTTCTGCCACAAACTGAAAAATAGCAGGCCGGGCATGGTGGCTCACACCTGCAATCCCAGAACTTTGGGAGGCTGAGGCAGGCAGATCGCTTGAGCCCAGGAGTTCAAGACCAGCCTGGGTGACATGGCGAAACCCTGTCTCTACAAAAAATACAAAAATTAGCCGGGCATGGTAGCGTGAGCCTGTGGTCCCCAAGCTACTTGGGAGGCTGAGGTGGAAGGATCACTTGAGCCCGGGAGGCAGAGGTTGCAGTGAAATGAGATTGCATCACTGCACTCCAGCCTGGATGACAGACTGAGACCCTGTCTTAAAAAAAAAAAAGAAAGAAAGAAAAAAGAAAAATGGCAGACAAGCCCTGAAACCAAAGGAGTGCTGCCAAGGGGCACTGGGGGCACAGGTGCCAGCGCAACCCTTAGGGACAGACTGCGGGAAGAGAGGGCTTCAGCATCCCTCTACTGTTTGGGCAGCTGAAGAGAAGTCTAGGGAAGTCAGAGAAAACGCCCCAGAGCTGCCTCCAGCTTCCCTGGGAGTCCTCAGCAGGAGTGGGGAGGGGGCTGTACTGAGCCAGGAGAGAACCCAGGCCCGGCTGTCCTTCTCAGCGCAGGGCAACCACTGGATTTCTTTAATCACACATCCAGGACTAAACTACGGTGGGAATAGAGTCTTCCAGCCAAATAAGAAGATTCTTTACCCTAAGAAATAATGCAAGCAGTAGAAATCGGGGTAGGGGGTAGGGGAAGGAAGGCATCACTTTATCTTCCATGACCCTGTGCTATCTAAAATAAAGGAAGTCCAGGCGACGTGGCTCACGCCTGTAATCCCAGCACTTTGGGAGGCAGAGACGGGCAGGTCGCCTGAGGTCAGGAGTTCCAGACCAGTCTGGCCAACATGGCAAAACCCTGTCTCTACTAAAAATACAAATATTAGCTGGGTGTGGTGGTACATGCCTGTAATCCCAACTACTTGGGAGGCTGAGGCAGGAGAATCGCTTAAACCCGGGAGGCAGAGGCTGCAGTGAGCTGAGATTACGCCACTGCACTCCAGCCAGGGAGACAGACCGAGACTCCATCTCAAATAAATTAATAAAATAAAACAAAACGCTGATTTTATTTTATTGTATTTTCCGTTTTGTGGAGAATGGGGTCTTGCTATGTTGGCCAGGCTCTCAAACTCCTGGGCTCAAGCACTCCTCCCGCCTCTGCCTCCCTAAGTGCAATGATTACAGGTCTGAGCCACCAAACCCAGCACTGTTGATTTTACATAATGTCACTAATTTATCAAGGTTTTTGTAATCTCTTATCTGAATCTTGGGGATTTTTTAGGAACTAATAGTTCTTGTCATTGTGAAACTGTTCTACTACATTTGGCATTCCATTATTATTTTTAACAATTAAAAAATATTTTTTGGCTGGGCGCGATGGTTCACGCCTGTAATCCCAGCACTTTGGGAGGCCGAGGTGGGCAGATCATAAGGTCAGGAGTTCGAGACCAGTCTGGCCAACATAGTGAAACCCCATCTGTACTAAAATACAAAAAATTAGGCAGGTGTGGTGGTGTGTGCCTGTAATCCCAGCTACTTGGGAAGCTGAGGCAGGAGAATCACTTGAACCTGGGAGGCAGAGGTTGCAGTGAGCCGAGATTGTGCCATTGCACTCCAGCCAGGGTGACAGTGCGAGACTCCATCTAAAAAAAAAAAAATGCCGAATCTGGATGCACTGCCTATGAGTTAGCCCAGCTCCTCAAGGAGCAGTACATAAAAAATAAAAATAATAAAAAAAAACTTTTGCCAGCAACATCTGAGCTGAACTAAAATTTAAGTAAAATTAAAAGTTTACATTTCAATCATGTAGAATATGATACCATTTTTATAAAATGGTGTTAGTTTATCTCTGGGAGTCCCTCAATCTATGTGCCCATCCATCCATTCATCCAATCTGCCGATCAGTCTGTCCTGTCATTCCGCGCGCGCGCGCGCGCGTGTGTGTGTGTGTGTGTGTGTGTGTGCATGAGAGAGAAAGAGAGGGGGAGAGAAATGGAGAGGCAGAGAGCAGAGGGATTCTGGAACACTCCTCACCAATGCTAATGCTTGCTGTTCATGGTGGTAGATTGTAAAGAAATCTGTTTAGGCCTGGTGCGGTGGCTCACGCCTGCAATCCAGCACTTTCAGAGGCTGAGGCAGGCAGATCACTTGAGGTCAGAGTTCGAGACCAGCCTGCCAACATGGTGAAACCCCATTTCTACTAGAAATAGAAAAATTAGCCGGCTGTGGTGGTGCTCGCCTGTAGTCCCAGCTACTCAGGAGGGTGAGGCAGGAGAATCGCTTGAACCTGGGAAGTGGAGGTTGCAGAGAGCTGAGATGGTGCCACTGCATTCCAGCCTAGGAGCCAGAGTGAAACTCTACCTCAAAAAAAAAAAAAAAAAAAAAAAAAAGAATGTTTAGAATAAGCAAGTATGGGTTCAATAAAAACCATAGTCATTATTTTAGAAAACAATAAAATTAATCCAATTGATGAAACAGAGAAGGAGATGGGCCTCATCCTAGAAGTGTTCGCCACAGAACACTGGGGTCCTAGGTTGTCTGGGACAGTCCTTTTATGACTCTTGTCCTGGAGTAATGATCAACGGTGCCACCTTTCTCTCTCAATACAGACTCGGTTTAGGGGGCATCATGGCAAGGGGAGGCGAAGGCACGCCGACGCCGAGCTCCTCCAGCTACAGCGGGGACACCAGCAGAAACGTCTCCTCTCCTGCTCCCCTCAGCCCCGATGAAAGCGGCACATGGAGAGGGTGGGAGCCCAGGGGATGACAGATACTGGCTGAAGTGGGGAAAGTTCTAGAAGAAGGAAAGCGGGAGGAAGTCTTGGCTGGTCTAGGATGCATCAGTCAGGAAGACAACTGTTTCTTCCCCTCAGGGCAGGATTTCTCAGCTTTCTACTTAGTGAAGGAGAGTGCAGCATCTTTATAAAATCCCAGTATTTGCCCCCAAATCTCTTACGAAACATCTACTTCAATAGGCATTCGGCCTGAGCCTAGAGGTTCCAAGGCAGATGGAAAATACAGGTGTCCCTAAACAGTCGCCTACAAGGCCTTTCTTTGGGGCCAATGGCCTTGTGATTAAGTTGGTGCCAAAGAGCCAATGACTGAAAAACTAGGGCTTACCGCAGTATAATGTTTGTTTCTAGCAAATGACACTCTGGCACGCTCTCCAGTATCTTACTATATCGAGTTGCCAAGGGGCCACATCTCCAGCTTGCAGCTGAAACCCTGGGAGTTCTGGACAGCCAGGTCTCTGCGGATATCCTGAGGACCAGGACTGGTGGTCAGCCGAGGACTACAGGTTTCTCGGGTGCCTTCCTGGGGCTGGGTCCAGGTGGCAACGACCGGGTCTGGGAGGGTCCTCTAGTTGGATTGTCCCTCTGCCCCTGACTTGCCCGAGCCTCACAAGACTCCTGAGGAGGGTCTGAGGGTGCTGACTGTGCCCTCCCATCAGACTGAACTCAGAAAGCCAGGGCAGCTCAAGCCAAAGCTGCCTCACCAGCAGCTGAAGACAGGGGCTCTGCAGAACTCTCCAGACCCCAGCCAACTGCCCCAGCCAGCTGCCCCTCAGGCTTCTGGAGCCCCCAGAGCCACACTGAACTTCAAGCATCAGTGGGTGGAGCTAAATAGAAGTCACTAGTCCCTTCTGCAGTTGCCATGAAGCAACTTACAGTAGTCTCCAATGGCAGTTAACAATTGCAGGAGTTTCTTTGTAACTTGTCCCAGTGTAAATAAGGGTTAGTCCTAACAGTAAAACAAAACAAAACAAAACAAAAAACCTTAGGGCTGGGCACAGTGGCTCAGGCCTGTAATCCCAGCACTTTGGAGGCCAAGGCAGGAGGATTGCTTGAGCTCAAGAGTTCAAGGCTGCAGTGAGCTATGATTGTGCCACTGCCCTCCAGCCTGGGTGACAGAGCAAGACCCTGGCTCAAAAAAAGGAAAAGAAAGAAAGAGAGAGAGAGAGAAAGAAAGAAAGAAAAGAAGAAAAGAAAGAGAGAGGAAGGAAGGGAAGGAGAGAGAGAAGGAAGGAAGGAAGGAAGGAAGGAAGGAAGGAAGGAAGGGAGGGAGGGAGGGAGGGAGGGAGGGAGGGAGGAAGGGGAGGGGAAGGGGAAGGTGAATGGGAAGGCGCCAGGAGCCGTGGCTCACGCCCGTAATCCCAGCACTTTGGGAGACCAAGATGGGCGGATTACCTGAAGTCAGGAGTTTGAGACCAGCCTAGCCAACGTGACAAAACCCTGTCTCTACTAAAAATAAAAAAATTAACCAGGTGTGGTGGCGTGCACCTATAGTCCCAGCTACTTGGGAGACTGAGGCAGGAGAATCACCTGAACCCAGGAGGCAGAAATTGCAGTGAGCCGAGATTGTGCCACTGCAACTCTAGCCTGGGCGACAGAGGGAGACTTCTGAAAAAGGAGAGAAGAGGGGAGGGGAGGAGAGGGGAGAGGAGGGGAGGGGAGAGGAGGGGAGGGGACGGGAGGGGAGGGGACGGGAGGGGAGGGGAGGGCCCAGAGATCTCTAATTCCAAACTCTGAATCTAACTGTACAGCAATTCTAGAAGAGCCTAAGATCATAAAATCCTGAGCATCTAAGATGTGGGTTCTCCTTATTTGACCCCTCCCAGGTCAACATCCTTCTCCTAACCCAAGTGTCAGTCTCTTCCCTTGCCAGTGAAGTAGGGAAGAAGGCATGTACACATACACACACGCACACGCACACACACACATGTACATACCCCATGGGGGGCAGAGGGTCACAAGCCCAGGAGGAGGGGGCACAGCTCACCTCGGCCCCCCAGTGCCATGACAGGCTGGCTGTGCCTCTGCTACCAACAGCAGCCAGCTGGTCTTGCTCACTTTGTTCTGAACTTAGACACCTTCCTTCTGCTGTCTTTCATCCCACGGCAATAGCGAAGAGATGAGAGTATAAAACAGAGATCCCTTTCATCTAGCATGACCCATGCTGTTTTAAGGCAGAACTCAGCATTCAGAGAATGTTCCAGTGATTGACCCAGCAACACAGACAAGCCGTTTTCTGTTCTCTAGTCCACATACAAGGCAGCTCCTCCACTCCTGATGAGGAAGATGCCGGCCCCTCCCACTCCCCTGGGACCACTCTCGGGCCCCATCAGACCTGTGTCGGCTGAGCCCCTCCGTAGGCTGAGCCCTCCGTAGGCTGACCTGCTCTTCGCCGGATGGACTGCGCGCACTTACCTTCCCCCTCCCAGGGAAGCGAGGACTGAATGTGGCCCAATCTCTGGCTGAACTGAACGGCAGTGGACAAGCAGGTTTGACAGGCACATCCCACAGGAGCAGTGCCTTATATGGGGCTTCTATGAGCCATCGAAGCACCAGTGCAGTCCCACAGCTAGACATTGCCGTAAGAACCACAGGGATGGCTGAGAACAGTCCGTGCATCTGGTCGACCCACAGAAGATGGTGATTGAGGGTGATTGAGGGGAAGGCTTCAGGCTTGGGGGCTGGGAATCCTCTCTCCTTTGTGAACGGTCACCCAGTTCATCATCATTTCTACCCTTGGGAAAATCCTACGAAGATCAGGATAAATTCTAGGGCCTTTCTTGGTTCTCATGATCCATTATTGGAAGTATCTGAATAATTCCAATAGATCCATCTCAAGTTAACATTTCATAACTATTGTTTAGATTTAGATGAAAGTCTTGGTCCTCCACCTTGAGATATGTCTAGAATCCGATCCATTCTCACCACCTGCATTGTGGTGTCCTGATCATGGCCCACCGGGACCTCTGTAATGGCTCCTAACTTCTTCCCACGCCCCCATCACCAGCGCTCAACACAGCAGACAGAGAAGTCCTGCTAGGGCATGAGTCAGCTCCTGTCATTCCCTTCGGTGTACAGGTCCTGGAGTCCTCAGCGTGACCATGAGGCTCTGCTTATCAGGTCCTTGCTGACCTTATCTCTCTTTTACCTGCTCCAGACACACAGCCCAACAGTCTTGACAGTCCAGGCACACTTCTGCCCCAGGGCCTTTGCACCTGCTGTTCCCACTGCCTGGAACACTCTTTCCCATCCCTCCTTCCAGACTCTACTCAAATGCTACTTCCCAGATCATCCTACTTAAGTCCGTAGACCTCCCATCCTGGCCTTCACTCCCCTTCCCTGTTCCATCTTCTCTGTGGGAATACTGCCTTGACCTAACGTGTATTCTAGTTACGTGGCTTCCTGCCAGCCTCCCCACTCCACAGTAACCTACTGAGGACAATAATTCTTGTCTTTCTTGTTCCCTGCTGTGTCCCCACCCCTAGGGCTGTGATATTCCACAAATATTGGTTGAGCGAATGAATAAACATTGGTTAGGGGCTTGGTTCCCAATGATGCAGACACTGAAAGAAGGGAAATTCACAGGTCCATGGCCTGAGAACCTTCAGGATTATCCTGCGGACAATCAAAGATCGGCCTTCAAGGTCATGTAGCTCATGGTGGCTGAGCAGTAGCTCCAACCCAAATCTCCTGGTGATGAGCCGGCTGAAGGCACAGCCAGTTGGGCAGAGCAAGTGAGAACGCAGGCCGAGGCCAGGTGCAGACATGAACTCTCCAACCAGGGTTACAGCCCCACTGGGTGTCAGCTTCCCCTCAGGCAGTTCATTTAAGCCCCTAAGGCTCAGCTCTCTTAGTTTCCTCCAGCAGACCTCATGATAAGCCCTCCCCCACAGTGGGGAAGCTTGCCAGCTCATCACACTGTGCCAGCCACACAGAGAATTCTAGTTACAGAAAACGCAAAGAAATGCCGCCATTCCCAGTAAAAGAGGGGGGCAGAAGAATGCACTGGAGATGGGAGGAGCCTCCCTAAGAACAGAAATAGCCATAGAAATAGTCAAGGTGCAGCCATAGAAAGGAATGAAGGGCCTTTGCAGAGACATGGATGAAGCTGGAAGCCATCATTCTCAGCAAACTAACATGGGAACAGAAACCCAAACACTGCATGTTCTCACTCATAAGTGGGAGCTGAACAATGAGAACACATGGACACAGGGAGGGGAACAACACACACTGGGGCCTATGGTAGGGGGAGTGGAGGGAGAGCATCAGGACAAATAGCTAATGCACGTGGGGCTTAAAACCTAGGTGATGGGTTGACAGGTGTAGCAAACCACCATGGCACATGTCTACTTATGTAACAAACCTGCACATTCTGCACATGTATCCCGGAACCTAAAATAAAATAAAATAAAAAGAAACAGTCAAGGAAGCCACAACCCTGAAGGACCCTGTGTTTTCTGAGGTCAAAAACCATATCTTAGGCTAGGTGCAGTGGCTCATGCCTGTAACCCCAGTGCATTGAGAGGCTGAGGAGGGAGGATTGCTTGAGGCCAAGAGTTCGAGACCAGCCTGGGCAACACAGGAAGACCCTGTCTCTACAAAAAATAATTTTAAAAAAAAGCCGGGTATGGTGCAACATGCCTGTGGTCCCAGCTACTCCGGAGGCTGAGGTGGGAGGATCGCTTCAGCCCAGGAGGTAGACGCTGCAGTGAGCCGTGGTTGCACCACTGCACTCCAGCCTGGGCAACAGAAGGAGACCCTGTCTCAAACAAAACAAAACAAAACGTATCTTAATCACTATGGCATCTTCAGGAGGGCCCCACTGGCAGGTCATCTATATCACACAGAATTGCAGCTGCATACACATATCCAGAGCCAATAAAGCAGCACCTCTAGTAATCTGGCCAGGTTAGGTTAGGGTATCCCTGGAAAAACTCAGAAGGGGGACCTGGGGGACAGGGGCCAGCAGGCACCAGGACAGCACCACCCAGGGGCTCTGTGCCCCGTGGCAGTGATCAGTGAAGAAACGGACATGTGCCAGACTTGGGCCAGCTGAAGAGCTCCTCTGGGCACTTTTTTTTTTTTTTTGAGACAAGTCTCACTCTGTCACCCAGGCTGGAGTGCAGTGGCTTGACCTCAGCTCACTGCAGCCTCCACCTCCCAGGTTCAAGCGACTCTCCTGCCTCAGCCTCCCGTGTAGCTGGGATTACAGCTATGTGCCACCATGCCCAGCTAATTTTTGTATTTTTAGTAGAGACGGGGTTTCACCATGGTGGCCAGGCTGGTCTCAAACTCCTGATCCCAAGTGATCTGCCCACCTTGGACTCCCAAAGTGCTGGGATTACAGGCATGAGCCACCATGTCTGGCCTCCTCTGGGCACTTTATTCATCCATAGAAGGTAGGGAGTTGGGGAAAAGCTTTGCCTTGAAATCATGATGTTGGCACCAGAAGAAGATGGAGGCGTGAGGCCCTAGAAGAATAAAAATCAGACCCTCACAAGAAAACCCCAAGATCAGGAGTTTAGGTTGATCGAGGAAGGGGGCCTCTACCTGACTCCCCTGCCATGGGTGGATGTAAATAAAGGGTCAGGGTGTATAAACAGGGAGCGTATGCGTCTTCACTCTTGTACCTGGGGGCTGGGAGGATTCCAGGACTTCTTCCAAGACATTCGAAACAGGTCCTCAACATCCTAGCTGGAGACCAGAGTAGGTGTCTCTGGCTGGGTGGCTCTGCAGCGTGGCTGGCTGTGGATGAGGATGAGTGGCAGCAGAGACCTCACGCCCACCTCTGGGCCGCAACAGTGCGTGCAGTGGGCTGGGTGGGGAATGGCAGGAAGCAGCTATTTCCATAAGAGCTGGTAAAACTGGTCACTCCTGTTGTGTTTTACAACTGCCTACCTGACAGCTCCACTTGGATGTCTAGACACCTCAAATATAACCCAGCTAAGTCACATCTATTGACTTTTTTCTTTTTCATTTTAAATATTGAGGCGAAATTCACACAACATAGAATTAACCATTTACAAATTTTTTTTTTTTTTTTATACGGAGTCTCGCTCTGTCGCCCAGGCTGGAGTGCAGTGACGCGATCTCAGCTCACTGCAAGCCCCACCTCCCGGGTTCACGCCATTCTCCTGCCTCAGCCTCCCGAGTAGCTGGGACTACAGGCGCCCGCCACCACGCCCGGCTAATTTTTTGTATTTTTAGTAGAGATGGGGTTTCGCCGTGTTAGCCAGGATGGTCTCGATCTCCTGACCTCATGATCCGCCCACCTCGGCCTCCCAAAGTGCTGGGATTACAGGCGTGAGCCACCATGCCCGGCCACAAAAAAATTTTTTTTAAATACAGGGTTTTGCTCTGTTGCCCAGGCTGGACTGCAGTAGTGTGATCATAGCTCACTTCAGCCTCAAACTCCTAGGCTCAAGTAATCCTCCTGCCTCAGCCTCCCAAGTAGTTGGGATTACAGGCATGTGCCACCACATTCAGCTAATTAAAAAAAATTTTTTTTTGTAGAGATGGGGTCTTGCCATATTGCCCAGGCTGGTCTCAAATACCTGGCCTCAAGCGATCCTCCTGTCTCAGTCTTTCAAAGTACTGGAATTACAGGTGCATGCCACCATGCCTGGCTAATTATTTTATTTTATTTTTTCTAAAGATGGGGGTCTTGCCATGTTGCCAAGGTTGGTCTTGAACTCCCGACCTCAAGTGATCCACCCACCTTGGCCTGGGATTACAGGTGTGAGCCACAATGGCCAGCCAAAATTACCATTTTTAAAATGAACAATTCAGGCCAGGTGCGGTGGTTCACACCTATAATCCCAGCACTCTAGGAGGCCAAGGTGGGCAGATACCTGAGGTCAGAAGTTCGAGACCAGCCTGGCCAACATGGTGAAACCATCTCTACTAAAAACACAAAAATTAGCTGGGTGCGGAGGCTCACGCCTGTAATCCCAGCACTTTGGGAGGCTGAGGTGGGTGGATCACGAGGTCAGGAGATTGAGACCATCCTGGCTAACACGGTGAAACCCCGTCTCTACTAAAAATACAAAAAATAGCCGGGCATGGTTGCGGGCACCTATAGTCCCAGCTACTCGGGAGGCTGAGGCAGGAGAATGGCGTGAACCCGGGAGGCGGAGCTTGCAGTGAGCCAAGATCGCGCCACTGCACTCCAGCCTGGGCGAGAGAGCTAGACTCTGTCTCAAAAAAAAAAAAAAAGAAAAAAAAAGAAAAAAACATGAAAATTAGCTGGGCTTGGTGGCAGGTGCTTGTAATCCCAGCTACTCAGGACGCTGAGACAGGAGAATCGCATGAACCCCAGAGGTGGAGGTTGTAGTGAGCCAAGATCTCACCATCGCACTCCAGCCAGGGTGACAAGAGTGAAACTCTGTCTTAAAAAGATAAATAAAATAAAATAAAATAAAATAAAATAAAATAAAATGAACAATTCAAGCCAGGCATGGTGGCTCACACCTGTTATCTTAGAACTAGAACTTTGGGAGGCCAAGCTGGGAGGATTGCCTGAGCTCAGGAGCTCGAGACCAGCCTGGGCAACATGGCAAAACCCCGTCTCTAATAAAAATACAAAAAAATTAGCCAGGGGTGGTGGTGCATGCCTGTAATGCCAGCTACTGGGGAGACTGAGGCAGGAGAATTGCTTGAACCTGGGATGTGGAGGTTGCAGTGAGCCAAGACCACGCCACTGTACTCCAGCCTGGGTCACAGAGTGAGACTCCGTCAAATAAACAAACAAAAAAACACAATTCAGTGGCATTTAGTAAATATACAACATTGTGTGACCACTATATCTAGTTTCGGAACATTTTTACCACCCAAAAAGAAACCACACACCCGTTAAGCAGCTCCTGGTCCAAGGCAACCACCAATCTGCTTTCCATCTCTGGATTTGCCTGTTCTGCACATTT
This sequence comes from Homo sapiens, assembly GCF_000001405.40. Classification (NCBI taxonomy): domain Eukaryota; kingdom Metazoa; phylum Chordata; class Mammalia; order Primates; family Hominidae; genus Homo; species Homo sapiens. The sequence goes on along the minus strand of NC_000017.11, from coordinate 80,164,549 downwards.
CATATACGTGGAGTTGTGTAATATGTGGCCTCTTGCATTGGTGTCTTCCCCTCTGCATGATGTTTTGAGGCTCTTCCATGTCATAGCCTGTGTCAGTGCCTCGTCCTGGATGTGGCCATATCATATTCCATTGTGTGAACGCCGTGCGTTGTCGATTCATTTGTCTGTTCATGGCCATCGGGCTCTCGTGAATGCTGCTATTGTAACCGTGCAGTGGGTTCATTTATCCCACTTCCCAGATAGAGCCAATTTATCAAGACAGGGGAATCGAAATAGAGAAAGAGTTTAATTCATGCAGAGCTGGCTGAACAGGAGACTGGAGTTTTATTATGACTCAAACCAGCCTCCCCAGAATTCGGAGGCTAGGAGTTTTCAAGGATAGTTTGGGGGCCCTGGGAATGAGTGCTGCTGGTTGGTTGCAGATGCAATGACAGGGGTGACAGTCTTCTTCTGGGTGAGGCCACAGGACACATTGGCAGGTCCAGGTGGAGCCATCAGCTATCAGAAATGCAAAACCCTGGCCAGGCGCAGTGGCTCACGCCTGTAATCCCAGCACTTTGGGAGGCCAAGGCAGACAGATCACAAGGTCGGGAAATCAAAAACATCTTGGCCAACATGGTGAAACCCCATCTCTACTAAAAATAAAAAATAAAAAATTAGCTGGGTGTGGTGGCACACGCCTGTAATCCCAGCTACTTTGGAGGCTGAGGCAGAAGAATCATTTGAACCCGGGAGGCAGAGGTTGCAGTGAGCCAAGATCGGGCCACTGCACTCCACCCTGGGCAACAAGAGCAAAACTCCATCTCAAAAAAAAAAAAAAAAAAAAAAGAAGAAGAAGAAGAAATGCAAAATCCTGAAAAGACATCTCAAAAGGCCAATCTTAGATTTATGCGTACACATCAGCAGAACTCAGGCTCCTTTCATCGTCCTAACTTGGTAGACTTTCATTAGCCTTATGATGACAGTTTAGTTTTGGAGAAGGGCTATTATCATTTAAACCACAAACTAAATGTCTCCCAAAGTGAACTTGGCACAAGCCCAGTTTGGAGGTTAAAGACAAGATGAGGCGTTTCGCTGGAGCCCATGAGGTTGAGGCTGCAGTGAGCTATGATTGCACCACTTCACTCCAGCCTGGGCTACTCAGTGAGACCCTATCTCTTAAAAAAATTAAAACAAAAACAAAAACAAACAAACAAAACAACCAAACTGCACACTTTGGATTCCATGTGGGATTAACAATGGAAGCTACTCCATTTTGGAGTCTGGTATTTAAAATTCTCACTGCGGCTTGGGTTTGCCTCCTGATCAGGGAATCAGTCCCTACTGGCTTCCATTTATTGATCCTTATCCCTTCCATGAACAGCTTTTGATTTCCTGCCTTCTGTCTTTGGGACACAGGGCTTTTGGACCCTTATGTGCAGGTGGTCAGCTGAGAAGCTGAGACCCTAGAGAATACAGCTGAACAGAAATGTGAGTTAGACTCCACTTGTGGCTAGTGAAACTTCACTTTCTTTGAGCTGTCTTTGGGATGGTTCTGGGTCTTATACAAAAAGAATTATCAGCTGTTTGGCCCAGCTAAAATCTGGTAACAAGAGATTTGAAAGGATTTTTTGGGGGGCAGGGGGGACAGAGTCTCACTCTGTCAACCAGGCTGGAGTACAGTGGCACAATCTCAGCTCACTGCGAGCTCCGCCTCCTGGGTTGAAGCGATTCTCATGCCTCAGCCTCCTGAGTAGCTGGGATTAAAGGCATGCACCACCATGCTTGGCTAAGTTTTGTATTTTTGGTAGAAACAGGGTTTCACCACGTTGGCCAGGCTGGTCTCGAACTCCTGGCCTCAAGTGATTCGCCCACCTCGGCCTCCCAAAGTGCTGGGATTACAGGCGTGAGCCACCACACCCGACCGATTCCCTCTCTTTTTAGACCACACGGGGTAACTTCCTGACATTGCCATGGCATTTGTAAACCATCATGGCGCTGGTAGGAGTGTCTTTTTGCATGCTAACACATTATAATTAGCATATAATGAGCAGCGAGGACAGGCAGAGGTCACTTCCATCGCCATCCTGGTTTTGGTGGGTTCCGGCTGGCTTCTTCATCGCATCCTGTTTTATCAGCAAGGTCTTTGTGACCTATATTTTGTGCCAACCTCCTATCTCATCCTCTGACTAAGAGTGCCTAACCTCCTGGGAATGCAGCCCAGTGGGCCTCAGCCTTATTTTACCCAGACCCTGTTCAAGATGGAGTCACTCTGGTTCGAACGCCTCTGACACCTCTGTTCACTTCATTTAAAAAAAATTGTTCTCCCATATACTTTTACTCCGCCCCACTCCTGCTTCCGCTGCCATATTCAGTACCATGTAAAGAGATCTAGAGATTTCTAATGACCCAAACCCCTTAAGGAACTCAGAAAAAAAAGATGCCACTCACCGTTGGTTGGAGGTCTTCTGCTTTCCTTGTGGAGTTTCAAGCACCACATGGAGAGTCTCCTGAGGTCTAACGCTCCGCTCTCTTTTGCACAGTATTACCCGATTTCTTTGGCTTTTCGGAGATACCAAAAATGACCCTGTATTGTGAGAAAACTTGACCGTGGTTTGCGTAATGGCTAGGCAAGAGATACAGTTTTAGAGGTGGCTGATGGCAGTTGCTTACAGAAAATGGTTATTACTACAGGGGGTGACAAAAAGCATGGTTTGGGGCACCAATGAGGTGGGAAATCAGCCGGATTTGTTTTCTGAGCACCGGTAATGACCCTGCTGGTCAAAGCAGGATGCAAACTGGGTGCAGTGGCTCATGCCTATAACCCCAGAATTTTGGGAGGCTGCAAAAGGAGGATCACTTGAACCCAGGAGTTTGAGACCACCCTGGGCAACATAGTGAGACCCCCATCTCTACAAAAAATTAAAAAATTAGCCAAGCATGGTGGCATGTGCTTGTGGGCCCAGGTACTTGGGAGACTAAGGCAGGAGGATTGCTTGAGCCCAGGAGGTCAAGGCTGCAGTAGGCCATGATTGTACCACTGCGATCCAGCCTGGGCAATGGAGCGAGACCCTATCTCAAAAAAAAAAAAAAAAAAAAAAAAAAAAAAAAGCAGGCTTAAATAAATAAAGAAAAAAACCAGCTGAAACCAGCAGATGGAAAGCAAAGTGACCTCCAGTTGCCCTCACTGCTCATCAGCATGAAGACCTTCCTTACGGCACTATGACAGCCTATAAATGCCATGGCAATACCCTACATGGTTCCAGAACTCCCCTACTTCTTTTCTAGAAAATTCAGAATAGCCCACCCCTTGATTAGCATATAATTAAGACCGGGTGTAATTGTGGCTAGCCAGTGCTCCCTTGTTGCAGCTGTGGCTGCCCCTGCTGCTGCTGCTGCTCCTCCTCCTGCTGCTGTTTACTGCTACTCTAGCCTCTCCCTGTGGGTTAGCCCTGCTCTTAAATTATTTCCTGAGCAAAGCCAAGAACTCTCTCAGGCTAAGCCCCAATTTTGAGGTGTGCCTGTGTTACCTAGAGGCTATGAAAACACAGCCCACCAAGGGATACGACTCCACGGGCGATAGGCTGACCACAGATTGGGATAACTGGCTTTGTTTCCGAGTACCCCCATTTTTCTAAAAGATGTTTAATTATTTTTTTCCTCTCTTTTTTTCTCCTTTTCCCAGTTCCTGACTTCCTACTTAGCCCTTTAGGTATGCAAATCTAGCCTTTTCTCCCCTCCTTCACCAGACAGTCCCTCGAGATCCCCCGGCAAGTGCATCTAACTCCTGGAGAGTTAACAGTTGATTTACAGACCAAAGCATGCCTGCTATGGAACTCCCCCATCAGGGAGTGGCCTGGAGAGATAATGGTCTGCCCACAAAAGTGCCAGCAGTCACAAGCTCGACCACCTGATAAGGCACTGGAGCTAGCATGAACCCACTCCTGCCCCTGCTCACTTCCTCCCCTGTCTTTTAGAAGTGCCCACTTTCTGTTCCAAAAGCAAAGTGGGACAGCTAAATGCAAGACAGATGCCTGTGCCACTTCCCCAAGCTACCTTTGGAATAAATAACCTTATTTGTGCCAGGCCTCATTCTAAATAATTGGACTCTGCAAGTGGCCAGCAACTAACCTACTCTACTGTTGAGTTAGAGCTCTGGGTTGCCCACCAGCCTCCAGGGAATGTCCTTACAATGAAATGCACTGTGGGGAGCATCACACCATCCCGTCCCATGACAAAATGAAATGCACTGTGGGGGTATTGCCCGGTCCAGTCCTGTGCTGAAATCAAATGCACTGTACTGTCCAGTCCCATGACAAAATGAAATGCACTGTGGGAGCATCACGCCGTCCAGTCCCGTGCTGAGATGAAATGTACCGTGGGAGGATCACACCGTTCAGTCCTGTGAGGAGATGAAATGTACCGTGGGAGCATCACGCCGTCCAGTCCCGTGCCGAGATGAAATGCACCGTGGGAGGATCACACCTTTCAGTCCTGTGAGGAGATGAAATGTACCGTGGGAGCATTGCACCGGCCAGTCCCACACTGCTCTCTTCTTTCTGGGACCCAGGATTTGGTGTAAAAATGGGATCTTTGATTTTGGAGGATCTGTGCTCTGCCTTCCAGCTGTGCCTGCTTTATGCGTATTTAAAGATTAGGCCCTAAAAACACCATGCTTTCTTTCCTCTTTTCATTAAAGGGCTCTACTCTTCAGGGTAATCTAATTTATCTAGTCATCTAATTAAGAAACAGGCCCTCTCCCTCTCCCTCTCCCTCTCCCTCTCCGTCTCCCTCTCCGTCTCCCTCTCCCCATGGTCTCCCTCTCCCTCTCTTTCCACGGTCTCCCTCTGATGCCGAGCCAAAGCTGGACTGTACTGCCGCCATCTCTGCTCACTGCAACCTCCCTGCCTGATTCTCCTGCCTCAACCTGCCGAGTCATGTTTTTGGAGATGAAAATTTACAGTTCCCTCACAATTGTTTAGGGCATGAAACAGTTAAGAGATTAATAGTCTGAAGTGAGGGAGAGAAACTATTTGAAAAATGGCAAATGAAGAATCTTATGAGTCTATAAGATCTGCTTCTGTTTGTGTGTTTGTATGTCTATGTGTTTACGTATGTCATGTGTATGTCATGTTTCACTACCAAAATACATGAAAGAGCTCTAATTAATTGGCTTAAGGAAAAGGTAAGCACTTAAATCAAATATTTTATCAGAAAAACAGAAACGTTAACTCAAATGAGTTCTAGTTCAGGTGACTCTAGCAATCTTTGGTAAATAGGGTTCTAAACTATTGGTAAAACAGGACAGTAAAATGTCTTCAGAATTTAACTTAGACATTTTTGTCTAAGTCTAATGGTCTGTTTGGTCAGATTCTGTCACCTAAATGTTTTAAAGTCATAAAACTGTTGCTTATTATTTTAATTTTTTGAAACAGAGTCTTTTTCTGTCACCCAGGTGAGAGTTCAGTGGTGAGATCTTGGCTCACTGCAATCTTTGTTTCCTGGGCTCAAGCAATCGTCCCACCTCAGCCATGTGGAGGCATAGCTGCAGGCACTGTCCTTTGTCCTGGGCTCTGCATCCAGCACATTATTAAAATTGCTGACCTTCCAGGTTTTTCTCTAAAAATAAGTGTTACTAAGAGTTCACATCATAATTAATATATGTAATTAAAACTCCAGCCTGGGCTACACAGTGAGACTCCGTCTCAAAAATAAATAAGTAAATAAAACTACTAGATATAAGAAAAACATTTCTATATGCAAAATATATGAGGAAAGTAAAACGTGTTTTTAGTAAAGGAGGTTATAAGAAGCCATACCATTGTAGTTTTTGTTAAAGGGATATTAATTTTGCCTAGTTAAGTTTTACACTGAGGGAATTTAAAAATGATAGATAAAACTAAATGTATATAGAAAGTTGAAAAAGAAAATGGAAAATTGTCAAAGGTTATAAAAGGTTTATAAAAATCTTGTGGTCAAACTGGTTAAGAATGGATGGATTTGTTTATAAAATTTTATTAAAATTAGCTTTATTATTAATAAAACACTAATGCAAATGTAAAATTTGGTTTCCTTTTTCAACAAAATTTTTGTGTAATAAGAGTACACGATGTTTGTTTACCTTTTGAGTAAACTTCAAAAAACAAAACAAAATAGGTGAGGGAGGCAGACAGATTCAGTGGCCTCATGCTGCATTTATTAGTTTTTTGGCTTTTGAATTTTTTTTCAGATGGAGTCTTGCTCTGTCACCTAGGCTGGAGTACTGTGGCATAATCTTGGCTCACTGCAACCTCCACCTCCCAGGTTCAAGTGATTCTCCTGCCTCAGCTTCCTGAGTAGCTGGGATTACAGGCATGCACCACCACGCTTGGCCAATTTTTGTAATTTCAGTAGAGATGGGGTTTCGCCCTGTTGCCCAGGCTGGTCTCGAACTCCTGACCTCAGGTGATCCACTGGCCTCAGCCTCCCAAAGTGCCGGTATTACAGGCATGAGCCACCGTGCCCAGCCTGAATTTATTAGGTTTATGATTGTTTGGGAAACTGACTCTATTAAAGAGTATATAATTTTTGCTTTTTGAAGTATTTCAATTATCATTGTGGCTCAATGACCATTTTACAGTGACCTATGATCCTATTTTGTGATATGAAGTGTTTTAAACCTTTGATATTTGACAAACTATTTTCTTTTGAGCTATTTATAGCTTTTAACAATTGAGTGAAGTATATTCTTGTGAGCAAAATTTGAAGCATATTTCTTTCTCTTCATCTGATGTCTCCAAGTTTGAAAACTATTTGTGAGTATTCCTAATTTATGGCAATATAGTTATTTGCATAAGGTCAGTAAGAATCTGTTGTCTTTCATAACAGGACACAGTTGGAGACACTGATTATTTTACCAAGGCATTGACTAGAATGGCATATTTTAGATATGACTGGACTGTTTTGAGGAATTGAGGTTAACTTATAGAGCTGAAAAAAAGACAGTTGAAAAGACTGGCCTGGTACCTTGACTCAGTGGTTCCCCTGCAAGCTTCCTGACCTGTGTTAAGTAAAGAATGTCATTTTCTGATTAGGCCCAGGAATCTCAAAATATATTTTGAGACCTCTAGAATAAGTCATCCAACTTATACAGGTATCTGTAGGCACAGATAAATCCTTGGCTTGGCTCCCAACTCATACAGGTATCTGCAGGCACAGATAAATCCTTGGCTTGGCTCAAGAGGCTTTTACAAAGTCTGACCTTGGCCAGTCATGGTAGCTCAAGCCTGTAATCCCAATACTTTGGGAGATCAAGGCAGGAGGATTGCTTGAGGCCAGGAGTTCAAAACCAGACTGTGCAACATAGTAAGACTCCATCTCTCAAAACAACAACAACAACAACAAAGCCCAGTGTAATGATATGTTTCTCTCATCCAAGCTACTTGGGAGACTGAGGTTGGAAGACCACTTGAGCATAGGCGTTCAAGGTCATTGTGAGCTATGATCACACCACTACACTCCAGCCTGGGCAACAGAGTGAGACCCTGCATCAAAAATAAATAAGGCCAGGTGCAGTGGCTCATGCCCGTAATACCAGCACTTTGGGAGGCTGAGGTGGGCAGATCTCCTGAGGTCAGGAGTTTGAGACCAGTCTGAGCAACATGGCAAAACCCTATCTGTACCAAAAATACAAAAAATACTCAGGTGTGGTGGCATGCGCCTGTAGTCCCAGCTACTTGGGAGGTAGAGGTGGGAGGATCACTTGAGCCTGGGAGGCAGAGGTTGCAGTGAGCTAAGATCATGCCACTGCACTCCAGCCTGGGTGACAGAGTAAAACTCTGTCTAAAAGAGAGAGAGACAGAGAGATTAAATAAATAGTCTAACCTTATAAAAAGTTCCAGCAAAAGCAACTTAAAAGAGCCTATATGGCCAATTACTATTTTTACTATACTTTATGCAAATAATCGGGCCAAGTGTAATAAGACTAAAACTTATTTTACCAATATATTGGTCTTACTATGATTTCTTCTTGATAACAATGGGAAACTGGAGACAGAAAAATTATGTTTCAAAAGAAAACTACAGGCTGGGTGGGAGGATTGCTTGGGGCCAGAAGTTCAATACCAGCTTGGGTGACATAGCAAGACTTCTTCCCTACAATAATTTTTTTAAAGAAAGAATACTATAGTTCACTTGTTGTTAGTTTCCAGCCTTGTCCATTGTTTTTTCAGTTTTTATTATTTTCTACAATTTGTGATGAATCCTCCATTCTTATCTGGCTACAAATCTCCAAACTAACATTTTCAAAATCTTCTTCCATCTTTCTGATGTGGACTGAATGAAATTGCTACCACATTTTCCCTGAGGCCTTGCAAGCTGAAGCTCATACTATCAGGGGAACCAGCCTCCAATAAATATTTCAACGTAGGTTCTTTTCTATTTTCCCTAAGTATTGGCTGGTCTGAGAAATAAAGAGAAAGAGTACAAAAGACAGAAATTTTACAGCTGGGCCTCTGGGGGGTGACATCACCTATTGGTAGATTCCGTGATGCTCCTTGAGCCACAAAACCAGAAAGTTTTTATTAGGGGTTTCAAAAGGGGAGGGGGTACGAACAAGGAGTAAGTCACAAAGATCACATGCTTCAAAGGGCAATAAAAGATCACAAGGGCAGAAGGGCAGAGCAAGATCACAAGGCCAGGGTGAAATCAGAATTACTGATGAGGTTCCATGTCCCACTGGGCATGCATTGTCTTGACAAACATCTTAACAGGAAACAGGGTTTGAGAGCAGACAACCGGTCTGACTACAATTTGCCAGGCTGGAATTTCCTAATCCTAGCAAGCCTGAGGGCACTACAGGAGACCAAGGTGTATTTCATCCCTTATCTTCAACCACATAAAACAGACACTCCCAGAGTGGCCATTTTAGAGGCCTCCCCCTGGGAATGCATTCCTTTTCCAGGGTTATTCCTTGCTGGGAAAAGAATTCAGCAATATTTCTCCTATTTGCTCTCTGCAAGAAGAAAAATATGACTCTGTTCTGCCCGGCCCCGCAGGCAGTCAGACCTTATGGTTATCTTCCTTGTTCCCTGAAAGTCACTGTTACCCTGTTCTTTTTTAGGATGCCCAGATTTCGTATTGTTCAAACACACGTTTTACAAACAATTTGTGCAGTTAACGCAATCATCACAGGGTCCTGAGGGGACAGACATCCTCAGCTTATGAAGATGATGGCATTAAGGGATTAAAGTAAAGACAGGTATAGGAGATTATAACAGTATTGATTGGGGAAGTGATGTCCATGAAATCTTCACAATTTATGTTCAGAGACTGCAGTAAAGATAGGCGTAAGAAATTATAAAAGTATTAATTTGGGGAATTAATAAATGTCCATGAAATCTTCACAATTTATGTTCTTCTGCTGTGGCTTCAGCTGGTCCCTCCATTCGGGGTCCCTGGCTTCCTGCAACAGGCTGAAGTTTTTCTTTTAGGTTAAAATAGAGATAAGATTGATCAAACAGACTCTTTGTGGCAATAAGATACCAAATTATAAACAAGACCTAAGGCCATGGCAGGCAAAGGCTGATTCACACCCTACTAACCATAAACCCTTGTCAAACTTTTTTTTTTTTTAATTAACCTGGTACAATGTGGCTTCCTTTCCAAACTGGTTCTGGATGAGCACACATGACAGAATGGAAATAAAAATATTTTTCTGTGAAATATATTTCTTTGACATATTTTGGAATGGCACTGCAAAGCTGTCTTTCGGCTGGGCGCGGTGAACTCACGCCTGTAATCCCAGCACTTTGGGAGGCTGAGGCAGGTGGATCATAAGGTCAGGAGATTGAGACCATCCTGGCTAACACGGTGAAACCCCGTCTCTACTAAAAAATACAAAAAAGTAGCCGGGCACAGTGGCAGGCGCCTGTAGTCCCAGCTACTCGGGAGGCTGAGGCAGGAGAATGGCGTGAACCTGGGAGGCGGAGCTTGCAGTGAGCCGAGATTGTGCCACTGCAGTCCAGCCTGGGCAACAGAGCGAGACTCCATCTCAAAAAAAAAAAAAAAGCTATCTTTTGTGGGGGAAATTAATTTGCATCTGTAGAGAATGTCCATTAACATATCCAGGCCTTGCCTGGATCTAGGAGAGATTTGCTGACAGCTTGACACCTTTAAAGTCTGAAAAGAGACATTTGCCATCCATTTTCTCGGAGGGCTGCTAGAAACCTATGAGGCTTTCATTTACATAACAAGGGCCTTCACCCCCACAACTGCCTTAACTCAAGCATTCTTTTCTACTTACTTCAGGTCTTTAGACGGTAGCTTAACTCTTTTTGACTCCCCCAAAACGTAATATAAATAATAGCTTAACTCTCTCAAATGGCAAGTAAAGAATCTGTAAAACCCACGTATGACTTGTAAGCCCCTGCTCTGGGATAGCCTGCCGTTCAGGCTGAACCAAACGTATACCTTCCATGCACTGACTTACATCTTTGCCTGTAACTCCTGTTTACCTAAAATGTATAAAAGTAAACTGTTACCAGCCAGGCACAGTGGCTACTGCCTGTAATCCCAGCACTTTGGGAGGCCAAGGCGGGTAGATCACCTGAGGTCAGGAGTTTGAGACCAGCGTGACCAACATGGTGAAACCCCATCTCTACTAAATAGAAAAAATTAGCCAGGCGTGGTACTGCACGCCTGTAATCCCAGCTACTTGGGAGCCTGAGGCAGGAGAATCGCTTGAACCTGGGAAGCAGAGGTTGTGGTGAGCTGAGATTGTGCCACTGCACTCCAGCCTGGGCAACAAGAGTGAAACTCCATCTCAAAAAAAAAAAAAAAAAAGGAAACTGTCTCACGTGTCCTTGTGAAGAGACCACCAAACAGGCTTTGTGTGAGCAACACGGCTGCTTATTTCACCTGGGTGCAGGCAGGCTGAGTCCAAAAAGAGAGTCAGCAAAGGTGGTGGGATTATCATTAGTTCTTATAGGTTTTGGGATAGGCGGTGGAGTTAAGAGCAATGTTTTGGAGGGCAGGGGGAGGATCTCACAAAGTACATTCTCAAGGGTGGGGAGAATTACAAAGAACCTTCTTAAGGGTGTGGGAGATTATAAAGAAACTTCTTAAGGGTAGGGGAGATTACAAAGTACATTGATCAGTTAGTGTGGGGCAGAAACAAATCACAATGGTGGAATGTCATCAGTTAAGGCTATTTTCACTTCTTTTGTGTATCTTCGGTTGCTTCAGGCCATCTGGATGTACATGTGCAGGTCCCTGGGGATATGGTGGCTTAGCTTGGGCTCAGAGGCCTGACAGAAACTGTTACCTGGGTACCTTGTGACCACTTAAGGCTTTTTGGGTTTGTGTTTTTTCCAGGCCACAGTCACTTCTACTGGTTCAGAATAACCCTCTTGAAAACATTTTTACAGGGTCTGGTTTTTCTGTTAACACTGCACGTGTGCTAGACTCTGACCAGCCAGTGCAGGGTCTGAGAGTCAAGACAGCAGTGAGGTGAGTTCAGGCAGCGCTCAGCAAGGTGCCTTGCCCCAGCCAGTTGGGTTTAGGCAGGGCTGTGCCTAGAAATGAACAGTGTTCACCCTTTAATACCTACGGATGGGTGGAGACTTCTGGCAGGAAGTCACTTTTAGGGGATGGTCCCTTGGATCAGATCGAGGTCACTTCTATCTAGGACATCAACTCCTGCAGTGATGAGTTACAGGAACCCAGTGCAGCCCAGCAGCACTGCCCCTGAGCCTCCTGGGCAAGAAAAGCCACCTCACCCTTTTCTACCTGATTCCTGGGAGCCGATGAAGGTAAAGGAAAAGGGACAGGTCGGCTCTGGAGGGTGGCAGACCACTGGGCTGTTCCCATTGTCACAGGGCAAACCCCCAAAGTAGGACTCAGCCTGTGAGACCACGTGGGTTCCTGGCTTCCCACGGGAAGGAACTCAAAAGTGAGCCAACAGAATGAAGTGAAAACAGGTTTATGAAGGAAGTAAAGGAATAAAAGCGTGACTACGTCATAGGCAGAGCAGCCCTGAGGGGTGCCAGTTGGCTTTTATGGTAATTTCTTAATCGTATGCTAAAAAGGGGTGGACTGTTCATGAGTTTTCCAGGAAAGGGGTGGGCAATTCCCGGAACTGAGGGTTCCTCCCTGTTTCAGACCACATAGGGTAACTTTCAGGGGTGGCCATAGCATTTGGAGACTGTCATGGCTGGTGGGAGTGTCTTTTGGCAGCTGATGCGTTATAATTAGCATATAAGGAGCAGTGAGGACAGGCGGAGGCTGCTTTCATCACCATCCTGCTTTTGGTGGAGTTTGGAGGCTTCTTTACCACATCCTGTTTTATCAGCGGGTCTTTGTGACCTCTATCTTGTGAAACAAGTCCTGCCAAATTCCTACCTCACCATCTCCCCCACAGCAACCTCCTGAGCTCACAGCGCTCCTGGCCAGCTGGGACTGCGTTGTGTCCCTCCCTCTCTCTTGCCCCAGAGGTCCACACATTGAGTAAGCCAACAACTATTTATTGAACACCTACTGAGCATTAGGGAAACAGTGGGGGCGAAACAGACATGACCCTAGCAGCCGCATTTAATGGGGTGAGTAGTCTCCCTCCCCAACGTGGAAACCATGTGGGAAGTGAGATGCCGGTGACAGCGAGGATGCTGAGACCAGGCATAGGGGTCTGTCTACCTCAGTGACCGGGAGCCTCTTTTCCTAGACACCTTGGGGGCCAGGGACAAAGGGCAGGCACTATAGCTACTGTTTAGGGAACTCTAGAGCCTGGCCTGCTTGTGCCTTTCCCTGTAGGGCGCTTGAACTTATCACACTGGGCCTTAGTGTCTCCATCAGTAAAAGAAAAAAGATACCTATCTGCATTCTCTACTTATGGAGATAATGGAGGTTTCCCATAGGAACGGAAACATTTATCCAGAATTTTAAGCAGGGGACTTGTGGATAGAAAGCTAAGCGAGGCTGTCAGCTCTCATTTTTTAAGTAGATGTTATGCATAGCACAACAGAGCTACACAGAGCCGACACTTTAACAAATCTGGTGCATGACTCACAAGGCATGTTCTCAAGACATGGCTGACACGATCCTAACTGCCTACCAGTAATAAACAGAACAAGGGGTTTGGGATCCTATTGATGCTAGGGCATCTGCTGAGCACTACATAGGCCATGGAAAAGCACGCACCATATTTCACAGCAAAAACCTCTTCTCCTGAGAGGAGCTCTTGCTGCTCTCCTACATGACAAAAACATGAGTCTCCTCCCATCTATTCACCACCTACCCACACTGCGTTTTCTAAAGCCTTTTTGGCAACAGGGATGGGTTTTGTGGAAGACAAATGTATTATTCCATTTTCATACTGCTATAAAGAACTGTCCGAGACTGGGTTATTTATAAAGGAAAGAGGTTTAATTGACAGTTCAGCATGGCTTGGGAGGCCTCAGGAAACTTACAATCATGGCAGGAGGTGAAGGGGAAGCAAGGCACCTTCTTCACAAGATGGCAGGAAGGGAAAAGTGCCAAGCAAAGGGGGAAGAGCCCCTTATAAAACCATCAGATCTCGAGACAACTATCAAGACAACAGCATGGGGGACTCATCCCCGTGATTCAATTACTCCACCTGGCTTCTCCCTCGACACGTGGGGATTATAGGGATTATGGGATTACAATTCAAGATGAGATGTGGGTGAAGACACAAAGTCTAGCCACGTCAACAACTTTTCCACAGGTGGTGGAAAAAAATTCTTCCAGAGATGGATGGGGTAGTGGTTTCGGGATGAAACTATTCCACCTCCCATCATCAGGCATTAGATTCTCATGAGGAGTGCACAACCTAGATCCCTCGCATGTGCAGTTCACAACAGGGTTCACACTCCTCTGAGTCCAGTGCTGCTGCTGACAGCAGGCAGAGCTCAGTTTAGCTCCCTTGCTTGCCTCCTGCTGCACCGCCTGGTTCCTAACAGGCCACAGACAGGTGCTGATACTGGTCCGTGGCCTGGGGTTTGGAGATTCCTGCTCTAAAAAGTGGATTTACCCTCATCATCCCAGGGCCCCTCAGCCTCTAAGAAAAGAGGCCTCTTGGTCACAAAGGTGGACAGACCCATTAAGCTCTGGGTGAGCAACCCCGTCTCCAGCACCTCATGTCCCACAATGTTTGTGTGTTGGGGAGGGGTCCATCTCACGCGATTAATCTCAAGGCAGGAGAGCCCATGTCTGTTTTATGCCCCATTGTTTCCCTAGAAAGCATCGTTCACCCAGAGACTGCAGCAAACCTCAGCAGCTCTCATCATTGTCACATTGTCATAGACTCTGGGCTAAAAAGCTACTGCTCCCCAGAAAAGTTAGAGCCCTTTAAGATGTGTGTTCAGACACCTGGCATAAACAACATTTCCAGAAAAATGGTGTAAAATGTTAGATCATCTAGTCATAAAAATATGAAGGAAAACAAATCTAAGCAGTTTGTGGATTAGATTTTAACTTTGAACAAGGTGAGAGGCCTGGTAGCTCACACCTGTGATTCCAGCACTTTGAGAGGCTGAGGTAGGAGGATCGCTTGAGCTCCTGGGCTGGGGCCAGGATGTACGGTCCTCAGTAAGGCTTCTGAATAAAACTAACTTTAATTCTTTAAAAGCTTAACTGTTTTTCTTTAGTCAACAAGGTATTTTACATTCTTCTCCTACGTTAAGTCATTGAAATCTGTGTGTATTTTACGACAAAGCGCTACAGCACGGCCTGGCAAACAGTGTGAGGCACGAAATGATCCTTTGTAGAGTGAGGAAGGTATCAGAACTTACATTTTATTCAGCTTTATAAATATTTAATATTTTGGGTAACACCAGCATCCTTACAAGGAATGTTTATCAGAAGGTCAATTATCTGTCATGGATAAATTCTGGTGCCAGAATGAGATTCACTCTTGGAGAAGGCTGCATTTACTTGTTCACCCTTGAAATACTGCAATCCACCGACTTCTTGATAAAAGGATGCTCTGGTTTTCTGTTTATTTTTGAGATGGAGTCTCTGTCGCCCAGGCTGGAGTGCAGTGGCGCAATCTCGGTTCACTGCAACCTCCACCTCCGGGGTTCAGGAGATTCTCCTGCCTCAGCCTCCAGAGTAGCTGGGACTACAGACACCCGTCACCACGGCCAGCTAATTTTTGTATTTTTTTTTTAGTAGAGATGGGGTTTCACCATTTTGGCCAGGCTGTTCTCGAACTCCTACACTCATGATCCGTCTGCCTCGGCCTCCCAAAGTGCTGGGATTACAGGCGTGAGCCACCAGGCCTGGCCAGGATGCTCTGGTTTTAACTAAAATTAACCTTCATAAAAGGAGAGCTTTTCAAGCACTCCTAGAAAGAAGCTGTGGATTAAAGATGTGCCCAGCGATGCAAGCCAGATTTGTGACCATAAGAAAGGACAGGACCGGGCTCATGCCTGTAATCCCAGCATTTTAGGAGGCTGAAGCGGGCAGATCATGAGGTCAGGAGTTCAAGACCAGCCTGACCAACACGGGGAAACCCCATCTCTACTAAAAATACAAAAATTAGCCGGGCGTGGTGGTGCATGCCTGTAATCCTAGCTACTCAGGAGGGTGAGGAAGGGGAGTCGCTTGAACCGGGAGGCAGAGGTTGCAGTGAGCCAAGATTGCGCCACTGCACTCCAGCCTGGGGAACAGAGCGAGACTCTGTCACACACACACACACACACACACACACACACACACAAAATAGCGGGGCGCGGTGGCTCACGCCTGTAATCCTAGCACTTTGGGAAGCCGAGGTGGGCGGATCATGAGGTCAAGAGATCAAGACCATCCTGGCCAACATGGTGAAACCCGGTCTATACTAAAAATACAGAAAATTAGCTGGGCGTGGTGGCGCGTGTCTGTAGTCCCAGCTATTTGGGAGGCTGAGGCAGGAGAATGGCGTGAACCTGGGCGACAGAACTTGCAGTGAGCTGAGATCGCGACACTGCACTCCAGCCTGGGCGAACCGAGCAAGACTCCGTCAAAAAAAAAAAAAAAAAAAAAAAAAAAAAAGGACAGAGCTGGCGCTCGTGGAAATACAATTTTCCCAAAGTTAAAAACATGATTCTCAACAGCATGAACTGCCCTTCAAAGATGATGGAGCTGCTTCAAAAGGCGTTAGAGGAGCTGGGTACGAAGAAGCACTTAAAGTGTCAGATAAGAAAGCGGTTAGTGGCTGCGCGTGGACACCTGTGGTCCCAGGTGCTCTGGAGGCTGAGGCGGGAGGATCGCCTGTGCTCGGGAGGTGGAGGCTGCAGTGAACCGAGATCGCGCCATGGCACTCCAGCCTGGGCGACAGGGCCAGACTGTCTCAAAACAAACAAACGAACAAACAAAAAGCAGGTTAAGATGCACAACTGGTTAAAGTTCTGCTGGGCAATTAAAAAATGATCCCGTCTGGGTTATCTTTGCTGCAGGACACGCATTAGCAGCACCGTCTACTGACAAGTGGCCTTCATTAAGAGCAAATTGCAGGCTCAGCATGTATTTTATTTATAACAGCTGCTTGCCGGGCACAGTGGCTCATGCCTGTAATCCCAGCACTTTGGGAGGCCAAGGCAGGCGGATCACCTGAGGCCCCGCAGTTCAAGACCAGCCAGGACAACCCTAACCCCCGCCTCCCCCAACCCCGTCTCTACAAAAAAATTTAAAAAATTAGCCGGGCGTGGTGGCGCGCGCCTGAGGTCCCAGCTACTCCAGAGGCTGAGGCGGAGGCTACAATGAACCCTGATCCTACCACTGCACTCCAGCCTGGGCGACGGAGCGAGACCCTGTCTCCAACTCACCAGGCAAACGGTGAAGACACACCCAGGCGCGTCCCCTAAGAGGGACGCCGGCTTCAGGGGCCCTGGCCCTCCCCAGCGCAGACCCGCCGGAGCCCAGCGCCGCGCCGGGGCCCACCACCGGCGGCCGTGAGGGTTTCCACTCGAATCTCCCCGGCGAGCTGGGCGCCTCCACTACGGGTCTGCGACGCAGTCCACCCACTGCGGGCCCGAGAGAGGACCCGTGCTCGTCATTTTTATTCGAGGCGGGGCTATCTGGGGACCCCGCCCGGAGCGGAGGCCCCTCGCGGCCCCAGCCTGTTTCCAGGGAATTCAGGTCCACACGCCGCTCAAAGAACCTCAGCGCCCCAGTCCGCGAAATCCCGCGGCCGGTACGAAACACCGCCAACTTTAGAAGTACCACCCCCTCCATCCCTTTCGTAAGGAACTGGGTGCCCCGCCCTCAACGAGATCCCGCGGGAACTGCATATGGCGCGAGAGCAGAAACACCTTACTTTTCCCTGCGGCAAACGCCCAGTTCCCTTTCACGTGACGAAGAGTGCCCCGTCCCCCAGAGGCGTGGCCGCGTCGCGCGTACGCACGTACGCACGTACGCACGCACGTCTCTCGCTTTCGCATACTTAAGGCGTCTGTTCTCGGCAGCGGCACAGCGAGGTCGGCAGCGGCACAGCGAGGTCGGCAGCGGCACAGCGAGGTCGGCAGCGGCACAGCGAGGTCGGCAGCGGCAGCGAGGTCGGCAGCGGCACAGCGAGGTCGGCAGCGGCAGCGAGGTCGGCAGCGGCGCGCGCTGTGCTCTTCCGCGGACTCTGAATCATGGCGACCACGGCCACGATGGCGACCTCGGGCTCGGCGCGAAAGCGGCTGCTCAAAGAGGAAGACATGACTAAAGTGGAATTCGAGACCAGCGAGGAGGTGGATGTGACCCCCACGTTCGACACCATGGGCCTGCGGGAGGACCTGCTGCGGGGCATCTACGCTTACGGTGAGCGGGCGCGGGCCGCGGGGGCCAGCCGGGGGCGAGTCGGGGGCGAGCCGGGGGCTGAGGGCCAGACTGGTGACTCCCGGGCCGGCCCTGCGCTCCGGAGGTCGTGGTCAGGGTCGAGGCTCGGGGGCCAGTGACGTCCGACCCCCACCCCCACCCCCGTCCTCGCCCTCACGCCTGGCTGTGTCGGCGCTTTCGGTGTGTGTCCCCCGTGCAGAGCTCGGCGCTGGGTCTGTCGGGGGCTGCAGCCGCTTCGAGGCACCTCAGCGTCCTTCATTCAGCAGATAACTGATTTCTACCTATTAGCTTTTCTAGGTACTGGGGTTTTGGCGGTAAACCGGAAGGGTTTGCGCCTTTACGGGTTTTGAATTTCGTTTGGGGGGAAAGCATACTGTCAGGTTGCCCAGGCAACCTGAAGAACCTGAAGCGGGGTAATTGAATAGAGTGGGACTGGGAAGGAGGAGAGAATTAGTAAAGCAGAGAGGTAAGGGGGTTCGCAGGAGGGGGTGCCATTTGAGCAGAGTTCTGGATGAAGGAGACTGTTATGAGAAGAGGGAAGAGCAGTTGGGGCAGAAGGAACAGCTGGTGCCAGGGCCTTGCAGCCCTTAGCCAGCTGCATTCCAGGAACTGAAAGAAGTCCCCTGTGGTGGGATTTTGGAGAGCTAGTCGGGGCAGATCTAGCAAAGACGTGTAGGGTGACGAATAATTTGAATTTCATTTAGAAATCTAGTGGGAAGCCAGTGGAAGGTTTTAAGTAGCTATGTGACACGATCACATTTACAGTTTTAAAGATTCTTCTGGGTGTCTGTAGATTTGAGGTGAGGCGAGGCAAGGCAGGAGAGGAAACAAGAGAGTTGGGAGCTTTTGCTGCAGTTCAGGGAAGAGAGGATTGTGCTGCCTTGGAGATGGAGTACCAGGGAGCTGACAGCATTGGCTGATGGATTGAACGTGAGTGACAGAAGGAGGAGAGTTGGAGTGTTTTGAGTAACCGGTGGTTGATGCTGCAAACATTTGGCTAGGTAGGCAGCACTCCAGAGAGTCAGAATCAGGAGCTGTCTCTTGGTATGTTTGAAAGATGTGAGGAAGTTGAGGGAGAGCCTGGAGAAGAGGTTGGGTTGGGCACATAGATGGGAATGACCAGCATCTGGGATAAATGGCCTGTGTTTAATGCTTGGGACAGGGACATTTTTTATCCTGTAGTTCTCTTCCTTTTCTTTCTTCCTTTTCCTTCTGACAGTCCTGCTCTTGTCACCAAGGCTGGAGTGTAGTGGCATGATCTCAGCTTATTGCAACTTCCACTTCTGGGGCTCAAGCGATTCCTTTGCCTCAGCCTCCCGAGTAGCTGGGATTATAGGTGTGGGCCACCACGTCCTACTAATTTTTGTATTTTTAGTAGGGAGGGGATTTTGCCATGTTGCCCAGGCTGGTCTTGAACTCCTGACCTCAGTGATCCACCAGCCTCAGCCTCCCAAAGTGATGGCATTACAGGTGTGAGCCACCCCACCTGGCCGTATCCTGTAGTTCTTGATGCCACAACAGTTTGGACAAAGTGAAGCGAAGTTGCTGAGGATGCGTGGTGAAAAAGCATCTCAGGCAGCCTCACAGTGAGGCTGACAGCCCCACCTGGTTTCCTGGCACTCAGGCAGTCCCTGCCCTAAGACACTGTTGTTAGTTTCCCATCTATGTGCTTGCTCTTCATGAAGAGTTTAAATCATCTGCTATATTTGCATTTGTGTTAAGATGGGAAATTGTGCTACATTTTCTTTTGTTTCTTATTTTTCGCTATGCCCCAGAACTGAGCAGAGCTACATTTAAGAGACTACCAAAAAATAATTGAAATAGAGTTTTTGTACATAAAATTTTATTTACTTGAAAAACACGTGGTTCTTCTTCAAAATAGCCTCACCCTTTGGTGTAGTAGTTGCTTTGCAAGAGAGATGGTGTGATGGTGTTGTAGTTAGTGAGCTGCATCCAGACAGAACAACATAGGACACCCTGCAGCGTGACCCACGCAGGTTAAACAGAGTTGTAGACCTGTCAGCAACACACAGACTTAATGCTAGCTAGTAGGAGAGAACAATGGCTAGAGTGACTTTCCTGTTTTTTTGTTGTTTTTTTTTTTAATTTAAAAAGTAGTATAGGTTGTTTGTAATCCAGTCAAACCTAAGGGAGTAATTAGAGTAAAAAGTAAGTTTCTTTCCACCCCTCTACTGCAGTAACTGCCAGGAACATTTTGGCACTTACACTTCCAGATGCTGCACACCCAGATTTTTTTTTTTTTTTAAACAAAACTGTTGTCTATATTCTACAATTTGGTGGTTTTTTAAAAATAGAGATTGGTCTTTACAAATAATATCCCACGTTAGTGTAGAAATCACTCAGCCCAATTCATTGAGCCCCTGGGTTTTGAGAGCTTGCTATGTTGAACACTGGGTTAGGCTGGAGGACAGGTTCAAAAAACAAACCATGTCTGCCCCTGAGGAGCTCACAGTACAGGGTTTCTATGCTGTCATTGTGGTGAGGGCTAATTTTTTGTTTTTATTTGCAGGTTTTGAAAAACCATCAGCAATCCAGCAACGAGCAATCAAGCAGATCATCAAAGGGAGAGATGTCATCGCACAGTAAGTTGTCCTGGGGTGCGGCGCAGGGCTGGATGTAAATTTGGGCAGCGCAGTGCAGTTAGATGCTCTGGGATGACTGTTTCCCTCAGCTTGTACACGCTCAGTTCCAACACTTTCCCTGACTTTAGCCACAGGGTTTAATACTTTTTTAAATTTGTGTTCTCTACTGTGGAAAGCTTTCATTTTCTTTTTGAGATGGAGTCTCGCTCTGTTGCCCAGGCTGGAGTGCAGTGGTGCCATCTCGGCTCACTGCAACCTTTGCCTCTCAGTTTCAAGCTATTCTCCTGCCTCACCCTCCCAAGTAGCTGGGATTACAGGCATGCACCACCATGCCCGACTAATTTTCATATTTTTAGTAGAGACGGGGGTTTCACCATGTTGGTCAGGCTGGTCTCAAACTCCTGACCTCAGGTGATCCACCCTCCTTGGCCTCCTAAAGTGCTGGGATTTCAGGCATGAGTTACTGCGCCCGGCCAAGGCTTTCATTTTCTTAGCCAGCTTTGCTTAGTGGTTTGCTGGCATGTGGAATTGTATATAACACAATTTCGGAAAAACAGACTGTGCTTTTCCTCTGCTCTCACACCACCACAACAGTCATCAGCACAGAAGAAGACTTCTGTGAGCAGAGGTGTGGGGCTTTTCCAGCTGGGTGTCCTCCAGTTCAACTCACACCACCTGCCTGGAGATAGGCCATATCCTGCAGGTTGACGGCTCAGTCCCCATGACTACCCTCTTTTCAGACACCAGTTATAAGTTCGGATCTCTAGAACTTCTGACCAAGCAGCTTCAAGTTGGGTTCCCAGGATCCCCTCTTTAGGTTGGATTAATTTGCTGGAACAGCAGCTCAAAGAACTCAGGGAAACACATTTAGTGGTTTATTATAAAGGGTACTGCAGAGGATACAGATATGGGGGGAGGGGTGCAGCCTCCAAGGGGCGGGTGGTCACCTCCCGGAACCTCCTTGTGTTCCACTGTCTGTGTTCAGCCATCTAGAAGCTCTTCGAACCCAGTCCTCTTGGGTTTTTATGGAAAATTCCATGAGGTCAGCATTCTTTCCCCCATAAGGGAATAGGGCAGGAGCTTTTCTGGGATAATACCATAATGCTTTTTAAAAAAAAATTTGAAATTTAAATTTTTTACATTTTTCGAGACAGGGTCTTACTCTGTCTCCCAGACTGGAGTGCAGTCGTGTGATTACAGCTCATAGCAGCCTCAAGCGATCCTCCCACCTCACCCTCCCAAGTAGCTGGGACTACAGGCACACATCACCATGCCCAATTAATTTTTGTATTTTCTGTAGAGACAGGGTTTTGTTGTGTTGCCCAGGCTGCTCTCAAACTCCTGGCAATCTGTCTGCCTTGGCTTCCCAAAGCCTTGGGATTACAGGCGTGAGCCACTGTGCCCGGCCTAAACATTTTTTTTGTTAAGATATGGGGCCTCACTTCGTCACCCAGGCGGGAATGCAGTGGTGCAGTCATAGCTCACTGCAACCTCTAACTTCGAGGATTAAGGAATCGTCCCGCCTCAACCTCCCAAGTAGCTGGGACTGCCAGAATGTGCCACCGTTCCTGGTTAGTTTTTTGTTTTGTTTAGAAATGGGGTCTCTTGCTGTATTGCCCAGGCTGGTCTCGAATTCCTGGCTTCAATTAATGCTGCCTCTGCGTCCCAGAGTGTTGGGAATACAGGCCTGAGCCACCACGCCGTGACATGAGGGTCTTTATGACTCACAATCTGAAAGGCAGGGAAGATTAGAGCCCTGCTGTGGAGCAGGTGAAAGGAGAGCAGAAGGTCAGAGAGATTGTTTCCTGAGGCCTAACCCATCAATTTAATAAGACTGTAATAAGGGCTATGGGAGCTGTGAGCCAGGAACTATGGATGAAAACTTGTATATAGCCATATCTCCTAGCACCACAAATCCTCTTTTAATAGCTTTATTCCTCGTTTGCCTAATTTCAAAAAAGACTCATTTACACAAAAATTTCTTTGGAAGAGAGAGTTAGTCCAAAATCCTAGAAGGAAAAGAGTTGTATTTAGATAAAGGGGAGTCCTCCTTTTTCTGACACCTATGAAACACCTCTTGAAGTTAGAGAGTCTGTGGCTCCATTGCCCCCGTGCAGAAGCCATGTCTACTCTCTTTCTTCATGGACACTTAACAAGCTGTGACACTGGGCCCGAGTCCTGCCTCCTCGCAGTTAAGATGTTATTAGGTACGGGGGCTTGCTGGAAGAAGGTACCTAAGTGCCTCTGGAGCCCAGGCCTTGGAGTGCAGCTGTGGCGTGGCCTGTCCTCCCTCTAATCCCACTGCTTTTGTTTCCTTGAATAGGTCTCAGTCCGGCACAGGAAAAACAGCCACCTTCAGTATCTCAGTCCTCCAGTGTTTGGATATTCAGGTAATTTGCCATTCTTAAAACAAACTGTTATGTAATTCTAGGAAATACTTGCTTTTTCTTCTGTAACTACAGTGTTCAAAAAGTACAATTTAAAATTTTCTAGTATGTATTGACTCAGCAAATTTTTACACAGAGTCTTAGTTGTACACTAATATATGCACTAATATTCTGTCATGATTTTCTATTTAACTAGAGGAAGCTCTTGTCTGCAGACGAGGATGCTGACACATTAAGTTATTGTTGGATTTGCAATTTAAATGACAATATTTGCTAACCTGTAAGAGATGAGAAGTATGATTAATATGAGATAGTATTTCTCATATAGATCTGAGTGTGAATTACTACAATCCACTTTGATAATACTGCGGATTCTCTATTTTCTGATAAATTATTTCACCAGGTTCGTGAAACTCAAGCTTTGATCTTGGCTCCCACAAGAGAGTTGGCTGTGCAGATCCAGAAGGTGAGATGGCTAAAGATAGCGGTGTCCGATTAACAAGTACTGCTTTTGTGATTTAGTTGTGAAACACCGACTTATTTATTTAATCCAATCCTGTTTTCTGATACCTCAAAATTTTCTTCCTGATTAACATTTTGCCATTAATCATTATATAAATTGCTGGTTTGTATTAAGTCATTTTTGGTGTGGCTTGTGTGCTCTCGGTAGTTTTTTACAGCCTTAGAAATGTAGATTTTTTGCGAAAAATCAATTTTAATAAAAATAAATTAGGTCGAGGTGGGTGGATCACCTGAGGTCAGGAGTTTGAGACCAGCCTGGTCAACATAGTGAAACCCTGTCTCTACTAAAAATACAAAAAATTAGCTGGGCGTGGTGGCAGGCGCCTGTAATCCCAGCTACTTGGGTGGCTGAGCAGGAGAATCACTTGAACCCGGGAGGCAGAGGTTGCAGTGAGCTGAGATTGTGCCGTTGTACTCTAGTCTGGGCAAGAAGAGTGAAACTCTGTCTCAAAAAAAAAATAAATTGTACCCATTTTATACTTAACGTAGTATAAAGATGTATGTTTAAAAAGATGTATATTAAGATGTTAATGCTGGTTTCTTCGGTGGATGGGATTATGAATTTTATATATTCTTTTCTGTTAATGATATAGCTTTTGTAATAAGAAACCAGCAGGCCGGGTGTGGTGGCTCACGCCTGTAATCCCAGCACTTTGAGAGGCTGAGGCAGGCCAATTACGAGGTCAGGAGATAACGACTCTCTGAATACACATATAGGGTGCACACAGCACGGTGTGCTAACACGGTGAAACCCCATCTCTACTAAAAATACAAAAACAAAATTAGCCTGGTGTGGTGGCGGGCGCCTGTAGTCCCAGCTACTCAGGAAGCTGAGGCGGGAGAATGGCGTGAACCCTGGAGGCGGAGCTTGCAGTGAGCTAAGATTGCGCTGCTGCCCCCCAGCATGGGCCACAGAGTGAGACTCCGTCTCAAAAAAAAAAAAAAAAAAGCAAAATTAACTTGTTTTTGTCAGAGAAAAGAGCAGGAGAATTTTGTGGTTTCGAGATAATAATGGCATAAATAATAATCGGTGATCATCTCGGAGGAGAAACAGTCTTTCTTTTTGGAAAACGTGGATGTTTCTCTCTCCCACCCTGGACGTGAACCTGTGCTTTGTTTCAGGGGCTGCTTGCTCTCGGTGACTACATGAATGTCCAGTGCCATGCCTGCATTGGAGGCACCAATGTTGGCGAGGACATCAGGAAGCTGGATTACGGACAGCATGTTGTCGCGGGCACTCCAGGGCGTGTTTTTGGTAAGCACTTTTGTCGCTAAAAATGGTGCTGCCGGTAGTATTTGTAAGAAGTGCTTAAATGGTACAGGACAGCTTTCGATTTGGTAGGCCGCACGGTAGACTTTTGCACCTGGGTCACTTGCAGGAGGTAGAGGGAAGGTCTCTGGAACCCTGAGACCAGTGGAATGATGAGCTCTTTCTTGGGAGCCTCAGGTGTGATTATTTCAAAATCTCATAGATGTGATTTGTCGTAAGTATTTCAAAATCTCATGTTATAGATATGATTCGTCGCAGAAGCCTAAGGACACGTGCTATCAAAATGTTGGTTTTGGATGAAGCTGATGAAATGTTGAATAAAGGTATGAGCAACAAAAGAATTACTCTTCTACTGACATAATTCTTAGTTCTTAAATTTTCACAGTGTAAAATTGAAACAGCCAGTGACTGTTCTGAATGTGAATAGTGTTTTCATCGTGGAAAAACAATTGTGCCTTGGCAATTATGAACAAAAAATTCCTACCTTGATTTTATTTATTTGTTCATTGTGGGTGACTCAGGCCAGCCTCTATTGCTTTTTATTTGGTATCTAGGACTCTCGGGGTGGGTTTCTTGATCCCTAGATCACTTCAGATTGAAGAAGCACCAAAGGGAAACCAGATTCCCTCAACCAGATAACACTCCGGTGGGCGGGGAGTAGGGACGGAGAGAACGCGTGGATGTGGCCTGGTGCTGTAAAAATGAGATTTCCTGTCAAACGTACCTTATCACCACTCTGCCTCTAACCCAGTGGGAACACTGGGCGTGCACCTTCCATTTCTGGGTGTGCCGCCCTAAACATCCCTCACCTGTCTTGCTCCCTGTCCCAGGTTTCAAAGAGCAGATTTACGATGTATACAGGTACCTGCCTCCAGCCACACAGGTGGTTCTCATCAGTGCCACGCTGCCACACGAGATTCTGGAGATGACCAACAAGTTCATGACCGACCCAATCCGCATCTTGGTGAAACGGTAGGAGCCCCTCTTGTCAAGTTTACTAAAACACTGGGCCGCATTTATAAAGGATTTT
This sequence comes from Homo sapiens, assembly GCF_000001405.40. Classification (NCBI taxonomy): domain Eukaryota; kingdom Metazoa; phylum Chordata; class Mammalia; order Primates; family Hominidae; genus Homo; species Homo sapiens. The sequence goes on along the minus strand of NC_000017.11, from coordinate 80,138,962 downwards.
ATGTCGTAATTTCAAAAACTTTTTATAGCCAGAGTCTGGCTGTGTTGCTGAAGCTCGTGTCAAAACCCGGACCTCAGGCTATCCTCTTGCCTGAGTGTAAAGGAATTGAAAGCATGCAAATTCTTTTAAAATTCCTGTTTTAAAAAACCAAATAGGCTGGGCAACATATAGAGACCGTATCTCTACCAATAATAAAAAATTAGCCAGGTAGGGCGGCACATGCCTATAGTCCCAGCTACTCAGGAGGCTGTGGTGGGAGGATCGCTTGAGGTCAGGAGGCTGAGGCTGCAGTGAGCTTTGATTGTGCCACTGTACTTCAGCCAGGGCAACAGAGCAAGACCCTGTCTCAAACAAAACAAAACAACCCATCTTTTATAATCCTCATTGTGGTTTGAACCAATAATTCTAAATTTAAAAATTAGGTGACTATTTATTTATCAGTGTTTCGTTTAGAATCGTATTCCATGTGGTGCACATTGTGAAATGTTAAGTAGGATACAGAATGGAGGCCTGTGTGACGGAAGTGGTGATAGGATGGAGGACAGGGCTGGGGCTGCTGGGTCTGCACCAGATATCACGGTGTGACCTTTTCCACCAGGGTCTCCCTGGATCCTGGCTTGGCCCACCCTCAAGTCCTAGAAGGAAGGATGAGTATGTAACAGGATTTGTCTTTGTCCTTCAGTGATGAATTGACTCTGGAAGGCATCAAGCAATTTTTCGTGGCAGTGGAGAGGGAAGAGTGGAAATTTGACACTCTGTGTGACCTCTACGACACACTGACCATCACTCAGGCGGTCATCTTCTGCAACACCAAAAGAAAGGTAAGAGGCACTGCACAGCATCCATGTGCTGAAGGGAAACTGCAGATTGAGTCTCTGAATGACATAAATCAAGATTTTTCAGTAAAGGGCCAGTTTGTCCATATTTTAAGCTTTCAGGGTATGTGTTCTCTTGTAAAAGCAGCTGTAGACAATATGCAAACGGTCAGACGTGGCTGTGACCATTAAAACTTCATTTACAGAACAGCGATATCAGCCACCCCTAAAGATTCAGATTTCGTTGGCTGAAGGTGGAACCCAGGCCTGAGTAGTTTTAGATCCCCAGGTGATGGTAATGTGGAGGCAGACCTGAGAACTGTCGGCCACTTTCCTGAGAAAGGAAAGGAGTTGGGCTACATTCTAACAAGATTGGAATTCAAATTTCAAATGAGAATGAGCACACCTGGCCCCCTCCCCCCATAGAGTCATTATATGGAGAAAATGAAGTAAGAGGGTTTTGTGAGTGCACCCCAACATTTTCTGGGAAAAAGTTTTTACATCCAGTTAGGATGATTCTGAGTTTTAAGAGCAGTTACCTTACGAATATTGATACTGGTTCTGCAAATGATGCGGTAAAGTCCCGAATGCACATCTCTGCTTTGGTATACTAGCTTGCAGTAGCATCTGTTGATTGGATTTGTAGGTGGACTGGCTGACGGAGAAAATGAGGGAAGCCAACTTCACTGTATCCTCAATGCATGGAGACATGCCCCAGAAAGAGCGGGAGTCCATCATGAAGGAGTTCCGGTCGGGCGCCAGGTGGGTCTGCTATGCTGTGGCTCTGCAGGTCAGGGTTTGCTAGACTGTGTCTAAGCACTTCATATGTACCGCCTAAGTGCAGGCCCCACACCCGGGGGGATGCCAAGCTTCTGCTCTGAAAGCTGAGGCCCTGGGTGAGCAGAAAACCTTCCAGTTAAGGAGGGGTCCGCTGTGCTCCTGTAATACTTAGGTTGAGGTGATAACTAGCCTTAACTAGCCAGGTTGGTCACCTTGGTTACAAGCGTGTGTCTTCTTTTCCAGTAAGTAGGGGGGTTTTCTGTTCATCGTTTCGATTAGTTTAATTCCACAGTGGTCAGAAAGCGTGGATTGGGTGGTTTCATTCATTTGAACTTGATTCAGACTTCCTTCTTTGCCCACCTTGTGGTCAGCTTAACATATGTGCTGTGTGTGTCTTTTTTTGTTTGTTTGTTTTTGAGACAGTCTCACTTCGTTACCCAGGCCGGAGTGCAGTGGCACAATCTTGGCTCACTGCAACCTCTGCCTCCTGATTTCAAGTGACTCCTGTGTCTCAGCCTCCCGAGTAGCTGGAATGGCTAATTTTTTTTTTTTTTTTTCATTTTTAGTAGAGATGGGGTTTCACCATGTTGGCCAGGCTGGTCTCGAACTCCTGACCTCAGGTGATCCATCTGCCTCAGCCTCTGGCAGTGCTGGGATTACAGGCATAAGCCGCCGCCATGCCCGGCTGAAGTTACCGTTTTTAATTTTTTGCTAGGCAAAAGTGAAGTATTTTTCCCAATTATTGGTTTAGGACCGATTAAACAAGTTAAAGATAGTCTAGTAAAAGATGTCTATTTTTTTAATCTGATGGAGCACATGACCGAAGTAACTAAATCCACCAACAGCCCCTCTGCACAGGGGTTTCTGGTGCTGTCCCTGAGGCTTCACGTTTGCAGACAGACTGTTGAGAGAGGAGAATCTCGTATATTTTGGACCTGCAGCCAGGATTCCTTAAAATTAGCAATGGAAGCAAGTCCAGTCTTACACTTGTATGAGTAATTTAATCGCCTCAAACACTCTTTCTTTTTGCAGCCGAGTGCTTATTTCTACAGATGTCTGGGCCAGGGGGTTGGATGTCCCTCAGGTGTCCCTCATCATTAACTATGATCTCCCTAATAACAGAGAATTGTACATACACAGGTAAGGTGCAAGCTCTCATTGGCTTCACTTCTGTGACACATTTACTAAATCTTGATTGTTATATATACTAACTGTAATATTATTTTATTCCTGAAGAATTGGGAGATCAGGTCGATACGGCCGGAAGGGTGTGGCCATTAACTTTGTAAAGAATGACGACATCCGCATCCTCAGAGATATCGAGCAGTACTATTCCACTCAGATTGATGAGATGCCGATGAACGGTAGGAAATCGTCCAGCTCTACTGTAATTGTAGAGGGAACTTCCCTATTCTTAGTTTGGGGCACCTGAGTTTGTTTTTTTGTTGTTGTGGGTTTTTTTGTTTTGTTTTTGAGACGAAGTTTCGCTCTGTCACCCAGGCTGGAGTGCAGTGGCGCGATTTCGGCTCACTGCAACCTCTGCCTCCTGGGTTCAAGCAATTCTCCTGCCTCAGCCTCCTGAGTAGCTGGAATTACAGACACGTGCACCATAGCCAGCTAATTTTTGTATTTTTAGTAGAGACGGGGTTTCACCATGTTGGCCAGGCTGGTCTCGAACTCCTGGCCTCAAATGATCTGCCCACCTCAGCCTCCCAAAGTGCTGGGATTACAGGCGTGAGCCACTATGTCTGGCCTGTTTTTTGTTTTGAGAAGTCTGTTGTGAGGTTTTAGTTAAATTTACGTTAACAAATTTTCATTTTGTTTGTGTTGTTCCTTAATCTGTTTCTTTCTTCACTTTCAGTTGCTGATCTTATCTGAAGCAGCAGATCAGTGGGATGAGGGAGACTGTTCACCTGCTGTGTACTCCTGTTTGGAAGTATTTAGATCCAGATTCTACTTAATGGGGTTTATATGGACTTTCTTCTCATAAATGGCCTGCCGTCTCCCTTCCTTTGAAGAGGATATGGGGATTCTGCTCTCTTTTCTTATTTACATGTAAATAATACATTGTTCTAAGTCTTTTTCATTAAAAATTTAAAACTTTTCCCATAAACTCTATACTTCTAAGGTGCCACCACCTTCTCTAGTAACTTACTGTGTAGTCTTGGGTCATTTCACTCACTTTTCTTTTTTTCTTTTCTTTTTCTTTTTTTTTTTTGAGACAGTCTCCCTCTGTTGCCCAGGCAGGAGCGCAGTGGCGTGATCTCCTCTCACCGCAAGCTCCACTTCCTGGGTTCATGCCATTCTCCTACCTCAGCCTCCCACGTAGCTGGGAGTACAGGCGGCCGCCACCATGCCAGGCTAATTTTTTTGTATTTTCAGTAGAGACGGGGTTTCACCGTGTTAGCCAAGATGGTCTCGATCTCCTGACCTCGTGATCCACCCACCTCGGCCTCCCAAAGTGCTGGGATTACAGGCGTGAGCCACTGCACCCGGCCCATTTCACTCACTTTTCTAATCTTTTTTTTTGGAAAGAGTTTCATCGTTGATGAGTTTTGCTCTGCTGCCCAGGCTGAAGAGCAGTGGCACCATCACAACTCATTGCAGCCACAACCTCCTGGGCTCAAGCGATCCTCTCACCTCACCCTCCTGAGTAGCTGGGACTACAGGTGCATGCCAGCACATCTGGCTAATATTTAAATTTTTTGTAGAGACAGGGTCTCACTTTGTGGCCTAGGCTGGTCTGTCACTCATGGGTTTAAGTGATTCTCCCATCTTGGCCTTACAAAGTGCTGGGATAACAGGTGTGAGCCACCATGCCTGGCCTCATTTTTCTAATTTTTTTTTTTTGTTGTTTTTTTGAGAGCCCAGGATCTCCCTGTCGCCCAGGCAGGAGTATAGTGGCAGGATCATGACTTACCACAATGTTGACAAACTAAAACAGATAATTATCTGTTTAAATATTTAAATTATTAAAGTATTTAAGTTATCTGTTGAAATATTTAAAGTAATTACCTGTAGCTTTATAGGCACACAGCACCACAGCTGCCCAATTTTTAATTTTTTAAATGTTTTTAAAGACAGGGTCTCCCTCTGTTGACCAGGCTGGTCTTAAACTCCTGACTTCAAGCAGTCCTCCCGCCTCAGCCTCTCAAAGTGCTGGGATTACACACATGAGCCACAGACCGGGCTCTAATATTTGAAATGGAAATGTTAAAACTGGCCCCTCCCTTCCTGAAATTAGTTGGGATGATAATCTTTATTTCCGGGTTAGGGTGAGCTTGGAAATAATTTTTAAATTTCATCAGGTGATTCTACTTGAAGGCATCTGAAATTCTATAGTTTATGAATGGAACTTCCTTTCACTGAAACTGTGACTGGACCCTTGCTAGCCAGCTGGTGGCTGGTAGACCAGCTGCATCATCAGGAGTTGGTTAGAAATGCAAGTGCTCGGGCCCTGTCCTGGCTTGCTGAGTGAGAACCTGCAGGTAACAAGACTCCCAGGTGGCACTGCTGGCCGAGCGGGAGGAGCACGAGACTACAGGCCCAGGCAGCTTAATGAGTTCCTGGCAAGGAGGAACCAGATACAGGTGTGTTCAGGGCATTTGCTCAGCAGCAGTGGGGAGTGATGCCCACCACAGCTCTGGCCAGTGCCAGCCTCAATGTCCGTATCTGCAGGCGCCTGAGCTCACTGAGGCTCACCTGGTCTCATCAGGAGCTGCTGCCAGGCTTGTGTTAGAGGTGAGGAGTGGCTCAGGTTTCCACACAGTCACTCCGGAGGACGGAAGGCCTCCATTACCAGTAAGAATGATTCTAGATGAATAAGCACGTGGTGTTACAGTGGAGGAGGCAGCATTGGTGCCTTGGGGAGGAGATGGCAGGAGAAGGGGTGGGGCTTAAGCTACCCCACACACTGTCTAGGAAAGGTCATCCTAAAAGGAAAAATACAGCACAAGTGTTCATAAAAATGTCAAACTGTACTGACAAATCAGAAATGGTATGTGATTATCCAAGATTTAAAAACCACCAGTCCTAAAGGTTGACAAGGAAAGTTTCCAGACTTTCTGGAGAGCAGCCTGGCCCTTGGGCAGTCAGTGATGAAAATGCTATTTCCCTTTGGTGGTGTGTGGTTCTGCTGTAGACAGCTGACTGGAATGTGGACTTCTCCAGGAAGTTCAGCGTTGCTCCTGCCTATACCAGGGAAGGATGCTAAGTGCTCATGGATGGGGGCATGGTGCGGGACAGGGTGGAACATTTGCAGTGATGCTGGGAAGAGAAGGATACAAGAGGTAGAGAACTCATGGAGGTTCTTGGGAGGGTGGTTTGGGGCCAGGATCCTCCCAGAGTCCAAATGGAGTCAAGTTCAGGCAGGGGGTCTGCTGAGCCTTGCTAGGTAGGTATCACTGGGCCTCTGGTCAGGTGGAAAAACTGGCTCTAGATCCTGAGGGGCTTCCCAAGGTCCCCAGCAACTAAATCCAGATGAAAAACCCCTGGGTTATGTACTTCATTACAAAAGTATAATCTCACTGAAAAAAAACATACAAATGCATAATTTGAAAAAGTCATCCTTAATCCTCCTACCCAGATATAACTCACAATTTGATGACTGTCCATCCAGTATTTTAATTTATCTTGTACATCTACCTGTACATAAAGACCTTTTTAAGCAAAAATTGTAACCCACTTTGCCATTATTAACTCAGGTTTTTGCTTAGTAATGTATCATACATATTTCACTACGTTAAAAAAAAAAAAGCTACTTTTCCAGCCTCTATACCATGGCTCCTTTGGAAGCAGTTGAAGATTAATTAGAATAATCTTTTATTTGTTTATTTTTTTGAGATGGAGTTTCGCTCTTGTTGCCCAGGCTGGAGTACAATGGTGTGATCTCGGCTCACTGCAACCTCCACCTCCTGGGTTCAAGCGATTCTCCTGCCTCAGCCTCCTGAGTAGCTGGGATTACAGGTGCCCACCACCACACCTGGCTAATTTTTCATATTTCTAATAGAGTTGGGGTTTCACCATGTTGGCCAGGCTGGTCTCAAATTCCTGACCTCACGTGATCCTCCTGCCTTGGTCTCCCAAAGTGCTGGGATTAGGCATGAGCCACTGTGCCCACCCAGAATAATCTTTAGAAGTGATTTTCTTGATCAAGGTACATGTTTCAAATTAACGTTGCAGAAAGATTTTCCACCAATTTATACTCCTAATGGTATATTTTTTTTTTTTTTGTTTTGTTTTTTTTTTTTGGGTGGTTGAAATTTATTCAACAAATACATATAGGATGCCTTGTCTTAAAGCCAGGCAATTTTCCTAAAAGAAAAACCACATAAAAAGGGTTCTAACCAAGAGCTAGAGTGTCCTGACCCTTTGAGGTATGTCTAAAGTATAGAAATAGAATGGTAATGTTGATGCTGTTGGCATGTTTCTTTGTAGTAAGATTGTTTAAAATAATACATAGACATAAAATGTATGACGAAAATAGCACAGCACCGAAGAAAGGAGTAATGGAAGTATACTGTCAAGATTCTTACACTATTACTTGAAGGCAGATTGTGATGAATTAAAGATGTGAAACATATATAAAAGTGTTAAGCAATTTTTAGGTATGAACCTTTAAAGCAATACAAAAATGTGAAACAGAAATAAACAGCCAACGTAGGAGACAAAATAAGAGTTCTAAGGAATACTTAATCTAAGAATCCTGAAAAGGAAGGAAAAGGGAACAGAGAACTTACGAGATGGACAAATACAAAACGGTAGTAGGTTGAAAACAACCGTGTCAATAATTACATTTATTGCAGATTGTCTGTCTCACCTCAAACTAAAAGAAAAGCAAGCTAAACCCAAAGGAAGCAGAAGAAAGGAAATAATAAAGATGAGAGTAGAAATAAATGAATAGAAAAATAATAGAGAAAATCAACAAAACCAACGGTTCATTCTTTGAAAAGATCAACAAAATTGACACATCTTTAGCAAGTCTAAGGAAAAATAGGTTCAAATAACTAAAATCAAGAATGAAAGAGGTGATGGCACAGCCGACTGTACAGAATACAAAGTATCAGTGCCATGGATTGTTTGCCAACAGATGAACCTTGATAAAATGGAGAAATTCCTAGGACAAACAGATTAAATCAGTAACCAAACTTTCAACAAAGGAAAGCCAAGGCTTGTGAATCCTGCCAAACTTTTACAGAATTATCACCATCACAATTTTTTTTTTTTTTTGACGCAGAGTCTCACACTGTTGCCTGGGCTGGTGTGCAGTGGCACAATCTTGGCTTGCTGCAACCTCCGCCTCCTGGGTTCAAGTGATTCCCTTGCCTCAGCCTCCCAGTAGCTAGGATTACAGGTGCCTGCCACCACATCTGGTTAATTTTTTGTATTTTTAGTAGAGACGGCGTTTTACTGTGTTGGCCGGGCTGATCTCAAACTCCTGATCTTGTGATCTGCCCCCGTCAGATTCCCAAAGTGCTGGATCACGAAATCTTTCAAAAAATATAAGGCAGAACATTTCCCAACTCACCCTGAGGCCAGCATTACCTGATACCAAAACAAAGCTACCACAAAAAAAACTAGATCAATATCATATGAATATAGATGTAAAAATCCTCAAAAAACTGGCAAAACAAATCCAGCAACATATAAAAAGGATTGTACACTGACAAAGTGGGATTTATCGCAGGAATGGAAAGTTGGTTTAATATCCAAAAATCTGTCAATGTAATACACCCTATCAATAGAATAAAGGACAAAGTCCACATAATGATTTACAGATGCAGAAAAAGCATTGGACAAAATCCAGCACCTTTTCAAGATAGAAAATAAGAATGGAAGGGGGCTGCTTCAACCTGATAAACAGCATCGATGAAAAACCACAGCATTACCCGCTAAGGTTGGGAACAAAACAAGAATGCTCTTGCCACGTCTATTCCAACATTGTACTGGAAGTTACGAGCCAGGACAATTAAGCAAGAAAAGAAATAAGGCATCCAGATCGGAAAGGAAGAATCAAAACTCTCTAGTCACGGATGACATGATTTATACCTAGAAAATCTTAAGGAATTTACACATTTAAAAAATCACTTATCAGAACTTATAAATGAGGTCAGCAAGGTTGCAGAATATATGTTCAACATAGGAAAGCCAGTGTTTCTGTACACTAGCAGTCTGAACAACCTGAAAATGAAATTAAGAAAATAATTCCATTTACAATTGCATCAAAAAGAGTGAAATATGTAGGAATAAATTTAACAAAAGAAGGGCTATACTTGTTCACCGAAAACTACAAATAGCTTGTTGAAAGGCATTGCAAACCTAAATATATAAATGTCCCAGGTTCATGGATTGGAAGATAACTTTCCCAAACTGATTGATATAGTTAGTTAGGCTTTGTGCCTCCACCCAGATCTCATCTTGAATTGTAATCCCCCTAATCCCCACATGTCAAGGGACAGACAAGGTGGAGGTAATTGAATCATGGGAGCAGTTCCCCCCATGCTATTCTTGTGATAGTGAGTTCTCACAAGATCTGATGGTTTTATAAGGGGCTCTTCCCACTTCACTTGGCACTTCTTGCCACCTTGTGAAAAAGGTTCCTGCTTCGTCTTCGCCTTCCACCATGATTGTAAGTTTCCTGAGGTCTCCCCAGCCACACTGAACTGTGAGTCAATTAAACTTCTTTCCTTTTTAAAGCACCCGGGCTCAGGCAGTTCTTTATAGCAATATGAAAATGGACTAATATACTGCTCTGCAGTGTTTAGGAGAATGTGGAGAAACTGGAACCCCCATACATTGCTAGTGGGATTGTAAACAGGCACAGCCTTTATGGAAAACAGCTTGGCAGTTCCTCAAAATGTTGAACATAGGAGTTGACCTAGCAATTCTCCTCCTAGGTCTATACTCAAGAGAATTAAAAAATCTGCACACATAAACCTAATGTGTTCATAGCATTGTTCATAAGAGCCAAAAAGTGGACACAAGCCAGATGTTCATCAGCTGTAAGCAAAACTGGTGAATCCACACAATATTACTTGGCAATAAAAAGGCATGAAGTGCTGACACACTACAACCTGGATGAACCTCGGCAATATGCTAGGTGGAAGAAGGCAGACACAAAAGGCCACACGTGGTGTGATTCCATTTACATGAAACGTCCTGAACAGGTAGATCCATAGAGAGATTAGCAGGAAACCATTCACAGTGGTTTCAGGAGCTTGAGGGGGGAGGAGGGGGATGGGTGAAACAAGGAGTGGCTGAAAATGAGTATAGGGTTTCTTTTGAAGGTGATTCTAATGTTCTGGAATTAGATAATCGTGATGGTTGTACAAGTGTACTAACAACTGAATTGCATACTTTAAAATGGTAAATGTTATGGCATGTGAATTACATCTCAGCACAAATATCATGAGGAATCTCATGCATCCTCTAAAATTACACTTAAAAAGCAAAAAGCACGAGCAAGGGAAAACAAGCAAATTGCCTACTGCAAAATTAAAAGACAGATATTGTTAGGCTGGATTATAAAGCCATACACAACTATATACTATTGCTTATGAGAAATATAAAGACAAAAGTGAAAAGATGGAGAAAAATACACCATGGTAACGCACACATCAAAATAAACCTGAAGCAGCTCTATTAATATTAGACAAAGGAGATCTCAGAGCAAAGAATATTGCAAGGGACAAAGAGAGTCATTTGATAATGATAAAGGGGTAATTCATTAAAAGGATATAACAATACTAAATACCTATGCACCTAATAACAGCTTCAAAATACAGGAAATATAGGAAGGAAAAATGGATAAAACTGCAAGGGGAAATAGACAAATCCACAGTGGCAATTGGGGCTTTCAGTAACCCTCTCAGGAACAAGGCACAGGTGTCCTCTCCCTTCTGTTCAATATTACACTGTGGATTCTGGCCAGTGCAACAAGGCAAGAGAAAGAAAAGGCCTCCAGGGTGGAAAGGAAGAAGGCTTTCTTCACAGATTATATGTTTCTCTATGTAGAAAATCCTAAGGAGTCTACCACAAAGCTACTGGAACTAATAATTGAGTTTCGGGAAGGTAGCATTCTACAAAGTCAATATAGAAGAGTCAGTTGTATTCCTATATGCCAGGAATGAACACTTGGAATGGGAAATTTGGAAAACACCACCATATACAGTACCATCAAATACATGAAATACTTGGGGGTATATTTGACAAAAGATGAGCAAGCTCTGTAATTGAAAGCTACAAAACGTTGCTGTGAGAATTAAAGATGTAAATAAATGAGAGATACACTGAGCAGATTGGAAGAGTCGATATTGTTAAGACATCAGTTCTCCCCAGGTTGATGTACAGACTCAACACAATTCCAACCAAAATATCAGGAAGCCTTTTTTGGGAGAGTGGGGATAGGGCTAAACATTGACAAGCTAGTTCTAGAAGTTATATGAAAATACAAAGGATCTAGCATAGCCAAAACAACTTTGGAAAAGTGCACCAAGCTACTACTCATACCAAGAAATATTATAAAGCTACAGTAGCAAAGGCAGTGTGGTATAGTCATAAATATAGACCTGTTGTAGATCCAGGGAAAACAGTAGAAAGTTCAGAAAGACTACACATTTATGGTCAATGGATTTCCAACAAAGGCACTTAAGCAGTTTTATGGGGAAAGCATAATGATTTTTGGTTGTGTGTGTGTGTGTGTGTGTGTGTGTGTGTGTGTGTGTGTTTTTGAGATAGTCCAGCTCTGTCACCCACACTGGAGTGCAGTGGCCACAGTTATAGCTTACAGCAGCCTCGACCTCCTGAGATCAAGGAATCCTTCCACCTTAGCCTCCTTAGTAGCTGGAACCACAGGCATGTGCTGCTGCATGCATCTAATTTTTTATTTTTTTATTTTTAGTTTTTAAATTTATTTATTTTGAGACAGAGTCTCACTCTGTCACCCAGGCTGGAGTGCAGTGGCACGATCTCAGCTCACTGCAAGCTCCACCTCCCGGGTTCACACCATTCTCCTGCCCCAGCCTCCCGAGTAGCTGGGACTACAGGCAGCCGCCACCACGCCCGGCTAATTTTTTGTATTTTTAGTAGAGACGGGGTTTCACCGTGTTAGCCAGGACGGTCTCGATCTCCTGACCTCGTGATCCACCCGCCTCGGCCTCCCAAAGTGCTGGGATTACAGGCGTGAGCCACCGCGCCCGGCCTAATTTTTTGCTTTTTGTAGAGATGGGGTCTTGCTGTGTTGCCCAGGCTGGTCTCTAACTCCTGCTCAAGAACTCCTCCTGTCCCGGTCTCCCAGTGTTGGGATTACAGGCAGGAGCCACCACACTGGCCCAATAAAGAAGCTTTATGTGGTAGGTAGAATAACTGTCCTCAAAGATTGCCAGGTCCAAATCTCTGGACCTTGTGAATATGTCACATTACATGACAATAGGGACTTTGCAGAAGTAAGTGCAGGATCTTGGATGGGGGATCCTGGATAATCTAGGTGGACACAATCTAATCTCATGAGCCCTTAAAAGTCAAGACTATTCTTTGGCTATGGTTGGTCAGAGAATGATGTGATGGAAGGAAGGACAGGCATGAGAGGGACTCAAGTCCCTCATTTCTGGGGTTGAAAAAGGCATGAGCCAAGATATGGGGGAAGCCTCTGTAGGCTGAGAAGGACCTCTGACTGACAGAAGGGAAACAGAGACCTCAGTGCTACAACTGCATGAAACAATTCTGCCAGTAGCCCATGTGGGCAAGGAGACGGATTCTCCCCTGGAGCTTCTGGAAAGGAAGGCAGCCCTGCTGACACCCCGATTTCAGCCAGGAGAGCCCTTGTATCAAATTTCTGACCTATGGAACTGTGATGAAATACATTTGTGTTATTTTAATTCCCTCAAACTGTGGTCATGTGTTACGGCAGCACTAGAAAATTGACGTATGTTATAACTCTATAATAAGGAACGACCCAGTTTAACAATGGGCAAAAGAGGCGAACAGACACTTTACCAAAGAAGATTTATGGCTGACAGATAAGTGGGTGAAAAGATGTTCAACATCAGTAGTCATTAGGGGAGTGTAAGAGCCACAGTGAGATACACAGTCACTAGAATGGCTAAAAGGAAACAGACCACGCCAATGCTGGCCCGGATACGCAGCCCCTGCCAACTCCCCTGCACAGTCGGGAGGAATGCAGAATGGTGCAGCGATTTGGAAACAGTTTGGCAGCCTCTTAAACAATGAATAGTTTACCTCCCGTATGAACTGACCACATCATCCTTGCTATTTGCCCAAGAGAAACAAAATAATGTCAAAGACTTGTCCATGACTGCTCATAGCAGCTTTATTCATAATAGCCAAAAATTGCAGAGAGGGGCTGAGGGTGATGGCCCTCGTTTGTAATCCCAGCACTTTCAGAGGCCAAGGCAGGAGGATGACCTGAGGCCAGGAGTTCCAGACAAGCCTGGGAAACACAGTGAGACACCATCTCTACAAAATATTTTAAAAATTAGCCACATGTGTTGGTGCATGCCTGTAGTCCCAGCTGCTCAGGAGGCTGAGGTGGGAGGATCAATTAAACCCATGAGGTTGAGGCTATGGTGAGCTATGATGGTGCCACTGCATTCCTGCTTGGGTGACAGAGCAAGACCCTGTTTTTGTTTTGTTTTGTTTTTTGAGATGGAGTCTCGCTCTGTTGTCCACGCTGGAGTGCAATGGCACGATCTCGGCTCACAGCAAACTCCGCCTCCTGGATTCAAGCAATTCTCCTGCCTCAGCCTCCCAAGTAGCTGGGATTACAGGCGCCCACCACCACGCCCGGCTAATTTTTGTATTTTTAGTAGAGATGGGGTTTCCCCATGTTGGCCAGGCTAGCCGTGAACTCCTGACCTCAGGTGATCTGCCTGCCTCAGCCTCCCAAAGTGCTGGGATTACAGGCGTGAGCCACCACGCGCAGCCAAGACCCTGTCTTTAAACAAACAAACAAAAAAATCAAAAACAATTCTGATATCCATAAAGGACAGATAAAGAAATGGTGGCATTTGCATACAGTGGAAAACTATTTAGCAACCAAAAAGGATGAGTTATTGATGGATAAATCTCAAAGAAATTATGTTGAGTAGTGTGTGACAAAAAAATTCCCCTTTATACAAAATTCTATAAAATACAAAGAAATATATTTTGACAAAAAACATACCAGTGGTTTCCAGTCAGTGGGTAGCTGGAGACTTTGAGGGTGATGGAGATGGTCACCATCTTAACTGTAGAGCTGGTTCACAGACATTCACATGTCAAAACGGATCAATTTGCACATTTTAAATATGTGCGGTGCATTGTCCATTGATTATATTCTCTCACGTGGGCATCACCGACAGGAGTTCTGTCTATTTCAGTCACCGTTTCACCCAACTCCTGGAACAGAGCCTGACGCAGAGCGGGTGCCCAGCACACGTGGGGAAGAACAATGAGTGTCCGGCTGCACGCATGGTTCTGACTGTGCTTCCAGCCCGGATGCTCTGCTCTTCCCACACACCCTCTTCCTTGTGAGGCAGCTGGAATCACTCTGTTGCCTGCATTCCCGGTTCCCGACGTCACACCTGGGTTGTTTGGGAGGCCAAGGGAACAGCTGTAGGTGCCACCGCAGAAGTCCGTCTTCTCTGCTAATGCTGAGCTTTTTTCTCTCTTGTCCCTGGCACGCAAATAACCAGCCTGTTCACATTCCACCCTCTCACCTGGGCCTTCCCTCTGGCCCTCACCCACCATAATCCTGGTCATGTGGCCTTCTGCAGGCACGTATGTGGGGGTGGGGTGGTATAGGGGCACCATCCCTTGTCCTAGCTCCTCTCTGAGCCTCCACCAGATCAGGAAGAGCAGGCATAAGGCCCACAGGGCCCCACAGTGGCCGCCAGAGGGCTTCTCTGCAGGCCATGTAACGGATTATTGATGTCATTGATTTGCAAAAAGGAAAGCTGGGCCTTTGTGGAGACACACCTGGAGGCTGCTGCCAGACAGCACTGATTCTTCCTTGGAGTGGGCTGGGAAGGCAATCGTCTTCCGAACGCTAAGGACCTGTGGGCTCCACGCCGGGCCTTTGACTAATGTCTTACACTTGGAGATTCTCTGCTGGTTTCTATCATCAGCCCTGGCTTTCTGATCCATTCCCCACCAGGCAAGGAAAGAAAGGAAGCGTTTATATTCATCTATACCAACGTAAACGGGAGAGAACGCACCACCCCTTGCAGGACCAGCCGCAGAATTTGCCGAGGGCCCGTCACAAAATGAAAGGCTGTGGGGCCCCTTGTTCAAAAGTTATTCACAATTTCAAGATGGTGACCGTGGAGCATTAAACCCAGCTGCAGCCTGCTGAGCTCGGGGCCTGTGGGCCTGCATGGGTCACACCTGTGAAGCTGGCCCAGCCACACGCAGTGACTCATTGCCCAGAACATGAGCCAAGAGCGTTTTGTCACCAACAGCAGGCCTTGTTTTAGAGGCTGAGCTGGGAGAGATATGAGAGGGCTGAGCCACGAGACCCCCAGGATGTCTTCTCCCAGGGCGGAGGGTGCCAGCTTGAACGCTCCCCGGCACTAAGACGTCTCCGCTACAAGGCTGCCTGGGGTCCACATCCACATTGCTTTATTTTTATTTGAGATGGACTTTCGCTCTTGTTGCCTAGGCTGGAGTGCAGTGGCGTGATCTCGGCTCACCACAACCTCCGCCTCCCGGGTTCAAATGATTCTCCTGTCTCAGCCTCCTGAGTAGCTGGGATTACAGGCATGCACCACCACACCTGGCTAATTTTGTATTTTTAGTAGAGACAGGGTTTCTCCATGTTGGTCAGGCTGGTCTCAAACTCCCAACCTCAGGTGATCCGCCCACCTAGGCCTCCCAAAGTACTGGGATTACAGGCGTGAGCCACCACACCTGGCCTATTGCTTTAAAATTCACCTAAGTTCAATAGGGTCCCACTGAGGCAGGGCCTGTATCAGGCACTGGTGAGAAACAGATGAAGCTGCCTTGAGGTGCCCACAGGCCAGCGTCCCATGTAATGGGCTGTACCGTTTGGACCACCCTGAGGAGACCCCTGGCCTCTCAGAGGATGGAAACAACTCCTCTCCCCCCTCCGACCCTGTCCCTTCCCACACAGGGAGCACTGTCCCACCCCATGCCAACCTCCTCACTCAGGACTCCTGATAGCCCTGTCCTATGGTCTGAAGGTTTGCCCCCGCCCCAAATTCCTGTTGAAACCTAATCCCCAATGACATGGTTTTAAGAGGTGGGGCTGGCCGGACATAGTGCCTCATGCTTGTAATCCCAGCACTTTGAGAGGCTGAGGCAGGCAGATAACCTGAGGTCAGGAGTTCAAGACCAGCCTGGCCAGCATGGTGAAATCCCATCTCAATTAAAATACAAATAAACTAAAATACAAATACAACTAAAGATCCAATTAGCCAGGCATGGTGGCGGATGCCTGTAATCCTAGCTCCTCGGGAGGCTGAGGCAGGAGAATCACTTGAACCTGGGAGGCAGAGGTTGCAATAAGCCAAGATTGCACCATTGCACTACAGCCTGGGTGACAAGAGTGAAACTCGGTCTCAAAAAAAAAAAAAAAAAAAAAGTGGTGGGGCTGTTGGGAGGTGATGAGTCCTGAGGGCCCTCCATCCTCATCAGTGGCATTTAGCGCTCAAGGGAGCTTGTCTTCGCCTTCTACCACGATGATGGAGAGTGCGCCATTTATGATACAGACAGCAGCCCTCACCAGACACAGAACCTGCCTCGATCTTGGACTTCCCAGCCTCCAGCCCTGTGAGAAATCCATTTCTGTTGTTTATAAATTACCCAGTCTTGGGTATTTCGTTACAGCAGCCAAGGAAGGGTCAGATCCTACAAGGGGCTAAGGCTACAGTGGCCCTGCCAGGCTGGGCGGTGGCACAGAAGGTGAGGACGCTGATGGTCGGTCCAGGCTGGCCGAGGCTACCACGCTCCATCAACCCTCCCTGAACGTCTTGGGTGTCAACTGCAGACCTGGCGAGCCTGGCAGAGCGTTAGGGCAGGTCGCCCTCAGCACCGAGACCAGGCACGCTGCTGGCCTCAAGACAAACATTCCTGCTTCTTAACCCCACATGGGACTAGGATGAGGGGAGGAAGTAACATATGTTATTGTCACTACTACGTCCACCTTACAGAGGAACTTTAGGGCGCGAGATGACTTAGTGATGTCAATCTGGATGGTAAAAGTGGCACACGGGGGTCAGGCCCTGGCCTGTGACATGGCAGAAGAGCAGTGTCCGCTTCTACAAAAGCTGACCCAGAAGACAATAGTGCTGGTCACCCAGGTAGACACACTGCCCCCCAGGGATGTCATGCTGCTCCACGGGGAAGTCACTGTACTTTCTGCTCCTGGTTTTCAGGAAGGTGGCAAAAGTAATCCATCGCTCTGCAGAGGACTTCGGGGTTGGCCACTTCTTTTGTTTTTTTTTTGAGATGGAGTCTCACTCTGTCGCCCAGGCTGGACTGCAGTGGCGTGATCTCAGCTCACTGCAGCCTCCGCCTCCCAGATTCAAGCAATTCTCCTTCCTCAGCCTCCTGAGTAGCTAAGATTACAGGCGCGTGCCACCACACCCAGCTAATTTTTGTATTTTTAGTAGAGATGGGGTTTTGCCACGTTGGTCAGGCTGGTCTCGGACTCCTGGCCTCGTGATCCGCCTGCCTTGGCCTACCAAAGTGCTGGAATTGCAGGCATGAGCCACCGCGCCTGGCCTTTTTTTTTTTTTTTTTGAGATGGAGTCTCACTCTGTCGCCCAGGCTGGAGTGCAGTGGCACGATCTTGGCTCACTACAACCTCTGCCTCCCGGGTTCAAGTGATTCTTGTGCCTCAGCCTTCTGAGTAGCTGGGACTACAGGCACACACCACCATGCCTAATTTTTTTTTTTTTTGAGACAGTCTCGCCCTGTCATCAGGCTGGAGTGCAGTGGTGCTATCTCGGCTCACTGCAACCTCCGCCTCCCGGGTTCAAGCGATTCTCCTGCCTCAGCCTTGCGAGACCAAGTAGCTGGGACTACAGGTGTGTGCCACCACACCCAGCTAATTTTTGTATTTTCAGTAGAGACGGGGTTTCACCATGTTAGCCAGGATGGTCTCCATCTCTTGACCTCGTGATCCGCCTGCCTCAGCCTCCCAAAGTGCTGGGATTACAGGCGTGAGCCACTGCGCCTGGCCTTAATTTTGTATTTTTAGTAGAGATGGGGTTTCACCATGTTGGCCAGGCTGCTCTCAAACTCTTGACCTCAAGTGAGCTGCCCGCCTGGACTTCCCAAAGTGCTGGGATTACAGGTGTGAGCCACTGCATTAATTCTAAGTGATAAACTGAAGCGTCTGACTGGCTAAGGGCAGTGATTTCTCCTGCTGTTATTTCAATAAAATGGGCTTCTTTCCCTTTCTCTGGGCTTGCCAGGGAGAACCTGGGCCTGAAATCCTCTCTAACTGCATCACTTGGGGACAGATTTCTGGCCTCTGCCTAAAGTCTTAGGCCCCACTGTTGGAAAGCCCCTTCCTTGCAGGGTCCTGTTGTCTACACAGCCCTGGGGGCCACACTCCCACCACATGCCTAACACCCACTGGACATTCCCCAGTCACCTTAGAGATGGGGGAAGCAGGAGTGTGAGGATGAATGGGGAGAGGAGGAGAGGAGGTGAGGAGGGGAGAGGGGGTGAGGTGGGGTAGGGAGGGGAGGTCAGGTGAGGGGAGGAGGGGAGGGGAGGAGGGGAGGGGAGGTGCGGTGGGAGGGGAGGAGAGATGACATAGGGAGGGGAGGTCAGGTGAGGAGGGGAGGTGAAGTGGGATGGGGACGGGAGGTTGGGAGGGGAGGAGAGGTGACATGGGAAGGGGAGGTCAGGTGAGGAGGGGAGGGGAAGGGAGGTGGGGTGGGAGGGGAGGTGGGGAGGGAAGGGGAGGTGACATGGGGAGGGTAGGTGAGGAGTGGAGGGGAGGGGAGGTGGGGAGGGGAAGGGAGGTGACATGGGAAGGGGAGGGGAGGTGAGGTGGGGTGGGGAGGGGAGGGGAGGGGAGGTGGGGAGGGGAGGTGAGGTGGGGAGGGGAAGGGAGGTGACGTGGGGAGGGGAGGTCAGGTGAGGAGGGGAGGGGAGGAGGGGAGGGGAGGTGAGGTGGGGTGGGGAGGGGAGGTGAGGTGAGATGGGACGTGAAGGTGACATGGGGACATGAGGTAGGCATGTGAGATGGGGGTATGGGACACAAAGGTGACATGGGGCTTTAGGTGATGCGGGGACATGAGGTGACGGGATGTGAGGTGAGATGGGGACAGGACATGAGGTGATGTCAGGCCTCGTGACATGGGAACATGACGTGATGGATGCCGGCTTGAGACAGAGGACGGCGCACACCCACTGTGGGAATGTCTGGGGGCCTGCTGAGGACAAAGGAGCTGCCTCTGTTCCAGGGCCCCTGGATACATCCTCCCTGCCCTGAATCCCAGAGAGACCCGCAGAAGCTGATTCCAAATGCCCCTTTTATTAAAAATAATTGCACTTAAGATTTAGAATCTCCCAAGTCCTGTGAATTTTCCTGAGTTCCCAGGCTTGCTCGGGGACCGGCAGGCATCCAGCCCTCTGGGCAGCCGGGCAGCGGTCGCGTTGGGGCAGAGCAGCAGGCGCGAAGCAGGAGCTCAGGTGCATACCCCACACCTCCACCTGAGCACCCCCTTCTCCGGTGCTGGGAACAGATGGAGGGGGGTGGCTAATACTACCCGCATGCCGGCAACAGGTGAGGAGGGCAAACCTTACAATCTTATTAACACAGAGCAGCCCTCCAGGGCCCCGGCCCACAGTGCGATCTAGGGAGAAAGCTCTCCTAGACACGTTGGGGGCCAGAGCCCCGGCCCAGGAGGTGGAAACAAGCGATGCGGCGGCTTGGAATGGTTAGTGCCCAGCTCCAGGTGACACATGCAACCCCCAGGCCCGCACACAGCTGCTGCCCGCACACAGGCTCTGCTTCCCTGGGGAACCAGCCTCCCTCTGGAGAGACTAACACACTCCGCCCGGCTAACACCAGCTGACGAGAAACTGCTCTCCCATCAACAGCGAGACACAGATGTCCAGGACCTGGAAAAGAGAGAGCACAAATGGAGCAGCCCGAGATCCCAGCAGCAGTGAGACCCCAGCGCTCAGAAGGCGGCTCCATCTGGCCCCGAGATCCCAGCAGCAGCGAGGCCCGGCGCTCAGGGGGCAGCTCCGTCTGGCCCTGGGATGCTTCGCACCCGGTTCCTCCCCGGCAGGCGCAGGGGGACCCCGGCTCTCAGTGCGGGTCACCTTAACGCACGCCAGAAACGCGGTGCTGCTTCAACACGGCTCAGAGGTCGTCATTGTGGCCCCATCACCCACGTGTAGACACAGGAGGAGGAAAGGCACAGCCTGTGTGGCCTGACCCTTCCCACTCCTCCCCAAAGACCCCCTTGGGAGGTCCCAGCATCCTCTGTTCCTGGCATCGGTCACCAGGACGCCCAGCACCTTCTGCCCCCTGCACCACGGCTGGGGGACGCGATCCCTGTGCCACTCTGGGCCCTCTTGCCTTGGTGTCGGGGCTGTAGGTGAAGTTGGAGACAGGGACACCGTTGGAGAGGACCTGCTGGGGCGCCGTGGCCACGCCCAGGACAGTCACCTTCTGCAGCTGCAGGCCAGCTCCCTCACTGGTCACACGTACCAGCTCATTCACGATCGTGTTCTGGGCCGAGCAGAGAGAGATGAAAAGGCAGAGAATGTGGAGGTGTCAGCAGACAGCTGGGGCAGGAACACCCATGAGAACAGGGACTCATGATGGCATCAGGGAGGTGACCTCCCTCTGTGTACACGAAAGGGCAGAGTGCACGGCCCCACTGCTCACTCTAGGACCCCAGGCCACCTGCTAGAGTGTCCTAGTGGCAGGTAGCCATCGTGGGACCCCCAAGCCCAGGTCCCCTCACCCCTTCTCAACCCCGAGCCGGCCCCTGCCCACCAGCCTGAGCAGCCCCAGGACTCACATTCCTGGCCAGGAAGATGACCTGTGTGTAGGCCCCTCGCTCCAGCACTTCCAGGCTCTCTCCATCGTCCCAGAACAGCTCCCCTCGGGCCTCCCCACCCTTGGTCAGGGCCACAGCCAGGGCCATGGGCTGCTGGCGGGACTCTGTGGTTGTGAGGCCAGGGCCCTGGAAAGGGAAGGACACGTGATGTCATCATCCCCACCCTGGTGGAGGTGGAGGCCTCCAGGGCCCGGGAATGCTAGGCTGGTACAGCACCAGGCTGCCAGTAACTAGGATCTGCAGGAACACCTGCGGCCGCAGGGGCTGGAACCCCGTGGTGATGACCCAAGACCTTCCCCACCTCAAGTGCTATCCCACGGCTGCCCGAGGCCGGGCCCGGCAGAACCTCCACCATGCAGACCACTGAGCTCCTGCCGGCCATGCTCCACGCCTTTGTGGGGCTGTGCCCTCCCCACCTCACTGGCCTGGCTGGCTCCTTGATAACCTACACTGCGGGGGGCGGCCCCTCAGAAGCCCCACCTGGGCCTCTCCCCCACCATCTCCCTGTGCCTCCCCCAGCTCTGCAGTGTGCTGTCCACACCCCCACCATAGCCGCCTGGCCCAGGTACCTGCAGGGGGATGATGTACCCAGCCCGGAGGTGGACGTTGATGGTGTCCAGGGGGGCCGGCAGCGTCACCCACTGCCCCTCGCTGTGGATGGCTGGCTCACGGGGAGCTGCAGGTGGGGGTGGGAGGCTGCCAAGGGCCTCTACTGGCACCTGGAGGGAGATGTTGCTTTGAGGATTCTGGGCCGTGCCGAGGCCCCCATGCTGTCCTCAGGAACCACGCTCTCCATCTCCCGGGGCTCCACGTGGAGGCCTAGGAGGCCTGGCACAGACGGGCTGAACTGTGACTTCAGGCGCAGACTCAGGGCTCACTGTAGGTAGGGACCCTCCTGGCTACTGAGTGGGGACAGTGCCTGAGAGGCCTGGGTATGCCAGCTCAGCACAGGCACAGCCTGTGATGGCCGTGGGACTTGGCCAGGTTCTGCAAGCAGGCCTCAGTCTGCTCATCTGGGAAATGGGGATGGTGTGAGGAGCGGAGAGGCTGATGGGTGCGGAGCAGCCGGGTGGGGGCCTGGCACATGGCCGGGACTCAACACATACGTTCCTCTTTCCGCCACCTGGTCACACCAACTGGGTGGAGGGGGCAGGTGGGAGGGCTGCTCTGGTCTCCCGTCTCCCCAGGGCTTAGGGTCCCCAGACTCACCGTCTGCAGGTCGTACCATGTGCCCAAGGGGAAGTAGCCAGTCACTTCGGCCTTCCCGGCCTGGAGCACTGGGGTGATGAGCAGGGCCTCCCCCCACAGGAGCTGGTGGTCCACAGTCCAGGTGCTAGAGTCCTTGGGGAACCTGCAAGGGGGATGGGCACACAGGCATACGGGTGATGAATGGGATGGGGCTGGCTCATATGCCCACCCTGGGGAGGCACAGGAAGAGGCTGAATTCTGCTCTCTGGAGCTCAAGGTGCCGGAGGACTTGGAGGACTCAGGTCAGACGGGCAGGGATGATTCCAGCAGATAGAAGTCAATGCCGGAGCTGGGAGAAGCCTTCTCCCCGGACATGCCGGCAGCTGGGCTCAGGGCAGGAATAGGGGCTTGTGCTTGAGGCACCAGGATGGACACAGCACTGGCCTCACTTTGCTCGCTCACTTATCCTCCGGTAACCAAGGCAGCATGTGCTCATCAGTCAAGTATTTGGAAAGTACGAAAAAGTATCAACAAAGAGAAAAGATCCTCCCAGTCCCACAACCAAAGGCAACTTGAATTAACATCTGACAAAAAGATGAATGTACATGTGCAAGCAGCTCTACGGAGGATTCTCCGTCTAACGGAGACTGTCCTGCCCTGTGACGCAGCTCTGCCCTGTCCTGTTTCCTGCCCCCGGACGTGCAGGGGGCATCCAGTGCTCAGCTATGATCCCTGCATGGATACATTCATGGAGCGTTCATGCCTTTTGAGGTGACTTCTTTAGGCCCTATTTCTATTTGTAAAATTAACGCATCAATGTGAATCTCAAAAACATTGACTGATATGTACTGTTGCTTTCCACAAATGTGCCAATTTATATTCCACCCTACTGTGTCACTGTGTTCTTGCCAGCAAGGGATAGTCTTATTTTCTCTAATGTATTCTAATTCATGGGCAAAATAAATGGTGTCTTTCTGCTTCAAAATATTTCTTGCAAAATACATTTCTTGGAGTGATGTCAGTGAAGATGGTGGAGTAAGCCCCTCTCAAGATCCTCTCCTCTGTGAAAACAGGAACATCGGCAAAAATGGTCAGAGTTGACATTTTTAGGACTCTTGAAACTAACCAAGGGTTTGCAGCCATCTGGGGAGCATGTATTTAACAAAATGGCTGAATCTTTGTAAGAACAGCAAGAATCCTTGGCCTAGCTAAGTGTTGACGGTGCTCCCCACCTCGCCCCAGCAAAGGCTGGGAGACTCACGGATGCCATCTGTGAAGGATATCTGACCAATTATTGGCTGTCCACTAAGCTAGTCAAGCAGAGACTTTGGTGGCCACACACAATGAAGAACACAGACCTTATGGAATTAGCTCAAGAAAGTCACAAAACAATCAGCAATAGCAACGAGACCTGAGGGGGATGGGGAATCTGATGACCACAGCAGCTGCGTTTAAAATGTCCAGTCTGAAACAAAAATGTATGAGACACGCAAAGAAACAAGAAAGTATGGCCCACAGATGGGGGGACAGTAGTTAATAAAAATTGTCCCTAGAGAAGCCCAGACATTGGACTTACTAGACAAAGAGTTTACGTCAGCTACTTTAAATGTGTTCAAAGAGCTCAGCGAAACCGTGTCTGAAGAACTAAAGGAAAGTGTGAGAACATGACTCACCAGATAGGGAATATCCTTAACGAGAGAAACGTAAAGGAATGAAACAGAAATTCTGGAGTTGAAAAGAGAGCAACTAAAATGAGAAGTTCACTAGAGGGGCTCAACAGCAGATGAGAACTGGTGGAAAAAAGAATCAGTGACCTTGAAGACAGGGCAGTCAGACTAAGCAGTCTGAAGAACAGAAAGAAAACACAACGAGGAAGGAGTCAACAGAGCTGCAAAGACCCCTGGGCACCGTCAAGCATACCAATGTGTGGAACGGAAGTCCCAGAGTAGAAGACAGAAAGGGGCAGAAAAAATATTTTATGAAGTAATGGCTGAAAAACCGCCCAAGTTTGATGAAAAACATCAATGCATACGTCCAAGAAGCTCAACAAACTCCCAGTAAGATAAACTCAGAGATCTACACCTAGACACACCATCGGGACTTCAAAGGCCAAAGACAGAGAATCTGGGAAGAGGCAAGACAGAAGCTACTCAGCAGAAACCACGGAGGCCATGGGCTGACAAGTTCAAAGTGTTCAGAGAAACGACCGCCAGTCAAGAACCCTACGTTGAGCAGAACTTTCAAAAAATGAAGGAGAAATTAAGAGACTCTGAAGTCAACAAAAACTGAGAGAATTCATCACTAGCAGAACTGCCCTACAATAAATACTAAAGGGAGTCCTTCTGCTGTAAATGAAAGATGTTAGACAAGAAGTCAAAGCCACATGAAGAAATAAAACCATGGGTAAAGGTAACTACATCAGTAAATATAAAAGGCAGACAGTGTGTATGTACTTTTTGTTTGTAACCCATTTTTCCCTCCTATTTGACTTAAAAGATAATTGAATAAGGCGGTCATTATAAATCTGCGTGGATGGGCTCATCATGGATACAGACGTGTAACAGCACAGAGGAACGAGAGGCAATGGAAACCACATAGAAGCAAAGCTTTTTTATGCTATTGAAAGCAAGTTGGCATCAGTTCCAACGAGGCTAAAATTAAGATGTTAATTGTAATCCCTAGGGCAACCACTAAAAAAAAAAAAAAAAAAGTGTAGTGACAGAAACAACAAGGTCATTAAAATAGTAATTAAAACACAAATTGCGTTTCTTGGATTTCCGGGTGAAGAATGTGTGGATACCATTCGTATCTCCTGTTTTGCAAACAGTGTTCCTCCAATTTGGTTCTTAGTCTTGGTCTTACCAACGTATGAGTTCTCTACCTATTAGGAAGAGTAGCTATTTGCTGTTTTATTGACAATGCCTTCTCTGCTGTTACAGTCCATGTTCAGAGCAGTTTTAATCTTTTTGTGTTTATATTCAGAGATTTACATTTTTTTTTCTGCTATGGTCAAATAAAGTTCACCTTTTTTTTTTTTTTTTCTCTAAATGAAACCTTTCCCCAGAGATACACATTCACTTATCTTTTCCTGTGGAGTCTTTCACAGCTTGGTTTTTTTTTTTTGAGATGGAGTCACACAGGCTGGAGTACAGTGGCGCGATCTCGGCTCACTGCAATCTCCTCCTCCCAGGTTCAAGGGATTCTCTGGCCTCAGCCTCCTGAGTAGCAGGGACTACAGGCGCCCACCACCATGCACGGCTAATTTTTGTATTTTTAGTAGAGATGGGTTTCACCATGTTGGCCAGGCTGGCCTCGAACTCTTGACCTCAGGTGATCCACTCGCCTCAGCCTCCCAAAGTTCTGGGATTACAGGCGTTAGCCACCGTGCCTGGCCTCCACAGCTTGATTTTTGACATTAACTATTTAATTTATCTGGAACTTATGTTTCTATGGTATGCAAGAAAAATAAATTGACTTCTGCAAATAGTTAACTAATCACCTCACTCTCTGGGAATCCTCCCTCAACACACTGATGTGCAGGGCTGTTGTTAGGAACTCCTCGTGTGTACTACGGCCTGTCTGGGGGATATTACTGGGTTTTCTTGCTGCCCTTCCCCCTTAAGCCAGGCCCAAATGTTGTCTCACTCAGCGGCAACCTGCTGGGTCCTGGGGAACACAGCCCACAGCAGGACAGGGCTGCCTGGGAGTTACGTGCCCCTCCCCCAGGGCACACATGGGCCACCGCCCCTGCCTAGGTCACTCACTCCAGGAAGAGGGGCCGGGCCACGGTCTCCCCCGCGACGTGGGCCTGGTGGAACAGTGTGTAGAGGTGGGGGAGGAGTGCGTAGCGCAGGGTGAGGGCCTTCCTCATGGCCTGCTGGGCCGGCTCGCTGAAGCTGTACGGCTCCTGGGGCTGCAGGGCAGGCGGGGGCAAAGGAAGCACTTGGGTGCTGGGGCCGCGGTCCCCTGGAGTCCCCGCCTCGGGAGAGCTGCACTTCTCAGCCACCCAGCATGGGGTGCTTCTCCAGCAGGGGTGGGATTCCCAGGGGAGAGTCTTGGGTGGGTGGGATCGCCCACCTGCCATGCCGCCACCCCCACCCTACCAGACTGAGCAGGCTGTTGTGGTTCCGCATGAAGGGGTAGAAGGCCCCCAGCTGGGTCCAGCGCACACACAGCTCCTCTGAGGTGTTGCCCAGGAAGCCGCAGACGTCGGCCCCGACCAGAGGCACCCCCAGCAGGTTAAACTGCAGGATTTCTGGGAGGGCAGAGTCAGGCTGGTCCTCAGGCTGCTGCAGCAGAGCCAGCTCAGGCCAAGTGACCCAGAGCCCCACCTGCTAAGTGGGTGGGGGGCCCCGGCAAGCCTCCCATAGAGGCCCCCGGCTCTACTCTGCTGAGCAGCCCCTCCTGGTAGGAGCTCACCTGGCACGGAGGAGGCGAGCTGCTCCCAGGAGCTCCACACGTCCCCCGTCCAGTGGCCGGCGTATCGGCCGTGGCCAGCAAAGGTCGAGCGGGAGATCACAAATGGGCGTGTCCCCCGAGCCTTCACCAGCGCCCTGGGGTGGTGGGGGACACCGTGAGGGCTGTGTGGAGCGGGGTCACTCGGGAACCCTGTCACCAGCAGGGCAGAGCTGGGAGCAAGGAGCTTTCTGGGATGAGGCAGAGGCTGGGGAGGAGGACGGCGAGGCTACTGCCCATGTCTGCGGGCACAGTTGCCTCTGTCTGGGCCACCTGATGCCTGTAGGTGAGCCAGGACCCCCCCCAGCCTCACAGGAGTCATGAGGTCCCCGCTGATGCAGACTCCTGTCAGCATCCAGGGTCCTTCCTCTCCAAGCCCCAGGCATGAAGTGGGAAGGAGCGCTCCAGCTTCAGGCTGGGGTGCAGGCAGCGGGTGGGGAGAGCACTCGGGCCGCCAGCGGGCCCCGGGTGGTCTGGGCCTCCGCTTTTCCTCCTCCCTGAGGCCCTGCAGAGGCCCCAACCTTGTAGGACAGGCTGTGAGGGCAGAGCCCAGTGGGGCGGGACGTGGCCCTCACCTGTGGGAGGCGATGGCTTCGGTCAGGCCGTAGAGGTTGTGCAGGTTGTAGTGTGTGGAGAGAAACTGGTGGCTGGAGGCACAGATGGTGGCCGCCTGGAGGGTCCCCCCAACCACCCCTGGAAGAGGCGGGGGCTGGTTTCCAGGGAGCTTCCTCCCGGCAGGCTCCAAGGTGCCCTCCCTGCCCCCCACCTCCCAGGAGCCCCTGTGCAGGTCGCTGCCTCTTCAGGCTGGCCCTGGAGGTGCACCTGCAGCCGCTCCCCACGCCTCTGTGGGGCTGGCGTTACCCGGGAACCTGGGTAATCATCTCCACTGCTTCTAAGACAGGGCTGGGCGGGTGCTGGAGCCTGGGCTCTGCAGACCCCCAGACTTCACATCCACCGTCTCTTGGCCCATTTCAAGCACTCCCCTGCCTGTTTACCTAAGCCCAAAACCCCATCCTCTCACTGATTCTTTGCTGGGCCAAACTATAGCCTCAGGCCCCCAAACCTTCTCCCAGGCCCATCCTTGTACTTCCTTGTAAAACCCAGTTTCTGCCATTCCTGCTAAGACAGTTTGGCGAGAAGCCCCAACCTCCACCACCCCTCAGGCGATGTCTGGTCACCCTGGCCTGCCTTCAGCAAGAATCCTGCTGGGTCAGTTCAGCCAGAATCCCCCTGACCCCCATGCTTCTTCTTGGTAATTCCTGCCTCTGAGCCCACCCTGCTCCCTGGCTAGAAATCCACTTGCCCGTGCTGCATTCGAGTTGGGCCTGACCTCTCCCCACGGGTGGGTAGGTCTCCGCTGCATGGTCCCTGCGCCTATCGAGACGGCTCTGAGTCGAGTCGGCCTCACTGTGCTCTGGCAAGCACCTGTGAGCGGCGTCTCCTCCGGCAGGGCCTGTGCCTCTGCACCCACCCTGTCTGCACTGCTTGGCTGAGTCTCCCAGCCTGAGCCTTTCTCCTGGGGATCCCCCCCCCGCCCCTTTCCCCGCTGGCCCATCTGCTTCTCAGAGATGAGGGTGCTAAGTCTCCCAGGCCAGACAAGGGAGTCTCTGATTTGATTAAGTCCCCAGGGTAGGTGGGGGGCGAGCTGACCAGGCACGTAGGGTGGGTTCTCCAGCTCATTGTTGGGGCAGCCGTCCTCAGAGCCCCTGATGAAGTTGGAAGGCTCGTTCATGTCCTGCAAGAGAAGCGCTGCTGGTAGGTGACTCTGCCCAGAGTGAGGAGGGTGGGGTAGTCCCCAGAGGCCTTGGGGATGCTCAGGAGGGGGCCACACTTACAATCCACATGCCGTCGAAGGGCACCTGGTCATGGAACTCAGCCACCATGTCCTCCCACCAGGCCAGGGCTGTGGGGTTGGTGAAGTCGGGGAAGGCAGTGGACCCGGGCCATACCTGGACAACGAGAGGCTGCAGTGGGGAGACCCGGCCCCACCCAGGGCCTGCATGGAAGCCCCACTGAGCCTCAGCCTGAGCAGAGGGGCAGCCTCACTCTTAGTGGACGCCCACATTTGCAAATCTGAGAGACCTGCACCCTGGAGGTCAATGAGCAGCTCTTTCTCCACAAGGCACTGATGCGGGGCCAAGGGGCCTCAACCCTGGGAAAACGAGGGGTCACCCCCAACACGTCCACCCAGGGGCTGGGCTGCAGAACCAGAGAGCGTCAGGGAGAAGGGCAGCGGAGACGGCCCCGTGCAAGCCCTGCCAGGCAGCCTCACATCCGCACCAGACCCTCCCTAGCTGCTCCCTCAGCGGGGGCCCTGCCTGGAGGCCCCTGGGGGGCTGGGAGGACAAGGAGGACCCTAAGGCCTCACTGAGGGTCTGCAGGGCTTGTGCCTGGGCCAGGCCCAGCTGCCCATGAAGTCAAAGGCCTGCTGATGGAAGAACTCACGGGGCCATTCCTTGTAGGAGCCACCATCGTCACGGGCCACTGTGGCCCATTCCTCTCAGCTGTCCCACTGGGCGTGATGGCTCCTCAAATCCCACCGTCTTCCTGAGCAGCTGCCGGCTCCCCCTGGCTGGAGGCCTCTGCTTTCTAACCCCCGTCCCCTGGACCCTCGCCCTACCTTCCCAATCAGCGGCTGGCCGGTCTCGTTGGTGATGAAAACCCCCCTCCGCAGACCCTCGTCGTAGGGCCTGTAGCTCCCGGCAGGGCCCGAGCTGCTGATGGCAGGATCCTGGGAAGAGGGAAACCTGTCAAGGTGAGGGTGGCCCAGAGCCCTGGCGCCAGCCACGGGGAAAACTGAGACAGTGAGAGGATGAGGCTGGGGATGACATCATGCGTGTGTACAGCATGCCTGCCTGTGTACCTGCACATGCCTGCACACGCCTGCCTGGAGAGGAGCCAGGGCCGGGCGAGTCAGGACCAGCTGGCTGATGAGGGGCGCGCCGGAATGGAAGCTTTACCTTTACCTTTTCTTTAAACCTCTAGAGTTTCCCAAGTGTTCTACAGTAATCACTTTTCTTTTATAATTAAAAAAATGTGAGAAAGAAAAAAGTCTGTGTTTCCACTCCTGCTCTTAAGGGCTACTACTGTTTGCTGCCTGCAGAAGGCAGGGATGGAAACAGGCAGCATCAGCACAGCCCCACATCTCATCTGTGCTTCCTCTGCTGAAGTGGATCTTCCGGGCAGGAACTGTTGGATCTTTTCAGCTCGCCCTGCCTCCCACCTCCTCCTCTGGCCATCGTGCCGGACACCAGACTCGGGCTGGACCAGCCCCCAAACTGCATCCTTCTGGCTGTGGGACTGGCTCAGGGAAGGGCCTCTTTGTGCTGGGTGACTCAAGAGTCCTGCTTTGGGACTTTTCTATGGGAGCTGATGGGAAGAAGTCTCCGCTCTGTGGTGCCAGCATGAGGGCTGGAAGCTGCCCTCACTCACGCCGTCCTTTCCAGGGATTCAGAGCCGGCCAGAAGGAGAGGCACGGCCAGAAGGCACACGGAGCCTCCACAGTTCCAGCGATACCCATGCCCAGGCCCACCGGGCCCTCCACTTTCCAGGACCAGGTGACATCAGTTTATCATGCCCCTGGCCTTTTGCTTTAAGGCAGTTCAAGTAACCTACATCTGACAGAACCCTGAGTAGCACCCGGCCATTTCTGGGGACCCTCAAACCCGACCTCCCTGGACAGCTGGGGCCAAGCCTGCAAACTTCTTGATATTCCCTCGATATCACAAAGACCCTCAGAAAACATCCTCGGCGACCACACAGGCACGAGGATGACGCTGCACAGAGAAGGAGCCACTGGGCACCGGGCGGCCCCCTTCCCAAAGACCCACAGTGTGGGGGCACACACCACGATCATCATGTAGCGCCGGCCGCCCTGGTGCAGCTCCTGCACCATGGCCGGGAAGTCCCGGAAGCCATCCTTGTTGAACGTGAAGTCCCTCCGGGAGTCCATGTAGTCCAGGTCGTTCCACTGGACGTCCTGCAGCCACAACACGGGACCGTCTGCTGGGGCCTGAGGAGACGCGTCCCGGCCAGCCCCTTGCCTCCCCTGCCACCACCCCAACTCACCAGGGGGAAGTGGGCCCTGGTCATGTTCTCCACCACCTGGCGGGTGATAGCGGTGGAGGAGTAGCCCCAGCGGCACAGGTGGAAGCCCAGGCCCCAGTATGGCGGCATGAACGGGTATCCTGCAGGCCAACGCCGACTTCATGAGGGAGGGAGGAGGGAGCCTTGGGGCGGGGGCCGCGGCCAGGGAGCAGGCCCTACCCACAACGTCCAGGTACTGCTGCACCACGCTCTTGGGCTCTGGGCCCAGGAAGATGTAGACATCCAGGATCCCACCTGTCGACCTCCAGCTAAGGGCAGGGCTCGGCTGCAGGACCACATCTGGAAGGGAAGCAGCTCTGGGGTTGGGGGACAGATTCTTCACTTGGAGGGCTCTGCACCCCACAGATGGGCCAATCACAGGCGGAGAGTTGAGGCTCTCTCCCCACGAGGAGCTCAGAGTGGCCTGGGGAAGCCGTGCTAAGCCTGACTCAGGAGGAACCTGGCATGGGACGGAAAGATATGTGGTGCCAGCCCACCTCCAGGCAGGGCCCCAGAACCCTCCTTAGGAGCACAGAAGGCCAGAGTTGGGAGAGGCATCAGCCCATAGGACTCATTTCCCAGAAAACACAAGGCCCAGCACCGTGCCCAGGGCCCCTCATGCGGACCTCCAGTCTCCAGGGCAGGCAGCACGGAGGAGACCCCGGCCCGGGCGCTGGGCGGCGGGCAGCTTACCCATGGCATTGCTGTTTAGCAGGAACACCCCGTGTGCCGACCCGCCGTCCTCCAGCGCCAGGTAGAAAGGGTGAGACCCGTAGAGGTTCGCACCGGGCTGGGACATGCAGGAGACGGCGCTTCAGCACCTGCGCTCCCCAGCTCAGTGCCCCCGCCCGCCGCCCGCCGCTGTACCGTGGGCGCAAGGTCCCGGTTCCACAGGGTGATCCTGGTCCAGCTGGTGCTGAGCATCAGGGGACTGAGGTGCTCGGCGAGGCCTGTGATATACTGCGAGGGCAGCGAGGTGGACAGCTGAAGGAACTGGTCCGCAAAGAACAGGGGCGCCACCGTCGTGTTCAGCCTGCGGGACAGAGGCCAGCCAGGCTTGCTCACACCCAAGGGGCCACACGAGCCTGAGAGCACCCAGAGAGCACCCCCGGGCCCTGGTGCCCTGGGAGGGCGGAGTGGCCTGGCCAGCCCTGCAGCACACTGACCCTGGGACAGGCGGCCGTGCCGAGCCCTGCAGCCCTTGGCACCCTGGCACCAGCGTGATCAACTCTCAGGGCATATCAGAAGAGGCGCACCGCCTGGCTGGGCCCACACCACCCCTGAGGGGCCCCCAAGGGGCTGACCTCCAGGAACTGGCTGGTACCGGAACTGGCACACATGCCTGTCCCATGACCCCAAGCAAGGCTGGGCAGGGGCTGAACAGAACCTTTCCAGGCCTAGGAGCTTGTGGCCAAAGTCCTCCCAGATCCCAGCCCAGCCATGCCTGAGAAGGACCCCTGAGGTTTGCTGGGGGTCAAGTGCAAGGCAAACAGCACCTCCGAGAAATGAAAGCCGCAGATAAACCCGGTCCACAGGAAGACGCGTCCTCTGTTAACACAGCACAGCTAATTTCGCAGGACGGGCTCACACCGCACCCACCCTCCCCTGGGCAAGACTACGCTGAGTGCTTTCAAGACCGAGATCTGATAAGATGCCTGTTTGTTGTTTGTTTTTTGAGACGGGGTCTTCAGCAAGGCTGAAGTGCAGTGGCAAAATCATGGTTCACTGCAACCTCGAACCCCTGGGCTCAAGGGATCCTCTTGCCTCAGCCTCCTGAGTAGCTGGGACCACAGGCATGTGCCACAATTCCCAGCTAATTTTTTATTTTTATTTTTTAAGAGATGGGGTCTTGCTATGTTGCCCAGGATGGTCTTGAACTCCTGGGCTCAAGTGACCCTCTCGCCTTGGCCTCCCAAAGTGCTGGAATTGCAGACATGAACCACCATACCTAGCTTGATAAGATGCTTTGAGAAACTTCTCTTGGGTCTCTCTACTCAGAGGTCAGCTCAGAGAGGCCACCCCTGTCCCCTGCATCTGCACAGCTGGTTTCCAGAGTGGCCTCCCCACCCCCCACTCCTGCACAGCTGGCTTCCAGAGAGGCCACCCCTGCCCCCAACATCTGCACAGCTGGCTTCCAGAGAGGCCATCCCTGTCCCCTGCGTCTGCACAGCTGGCTTCTAGAGGGGACCTCCCTGCCCCGTGTCTGCACAGCTGGCTTCTAGCGTGCTCTCTGCATGACCACTCCCTGACGCTGTGTCTGCATGGACTTGCTTATGGCTTCCCCTCACTGTGTGTCTGTCCCCGGGAGCAGGATCCAAACCACCCGGCACGGAGGGTCAGTGCGTGGACACTGAGTAAATGAATGAGCAAAAAAAGAAAAACGCATTTCCGAAGGCAACTTCTCTTAAGATTAAGGCAAATCCAAGTGCTGTCGTTCCTGAGAGTTTTCCTGAGTTAAATGACAAGCAGGGGCTTGGTGAGTCCTGAACACGTGTTTACATGGGATTTAGACCTATGTGAGTAAAAGACCCAGGGAGCGCCCTGTGAGAAATGCCCGTCGCCCTCCCCGCCGTGTGAGAAACAAACATGTGTCGCCCTGCCCATCGTGTGAGAAACAAACGCGTGTGGCCCTCCCTGCCGTGTGAGAAATGCGCGTCGCCCTCCCCATCATGCTGGCACAGAGCCCAGAACTCACAGCACGCGGCCGTCCAGCTGCCGGCGCACGATCACCCCGAAGGGCTCCTCGGAGAACTCCACGCTGTAGAGTGGGGACGGTGCCCGGCTGTGGACATGCGGGGTCTCCAAGGGCACCTCGTAGCGCCTGTTAGCTGGATCTTTGATCTAGAAGAGATGGGGGTTTATTGATGTTCCCCACAGCCACCTTACTCTCCAGAGAACAACCCGCACGCCAAGGACAGGTCAGGTCCTGGTGCAGCCACACATGGATGTGGGACCATGGGCAGCACATTCAGCCTCTCTGAGCCTCGGCTCCCTCATCTGCAGAGCCAGGAGGAGGACGCCTCCCCCAGGATGGAGGTAAAATACAGAACACCTGATAACTCTGAATTTCAGATAAACAACAAGCAGCTTTTCTAGTATAAATACATCCCAAATTTTGCATCCTTACACAAAAAAACAAAGTCATGCCTGGGGTATCTGCAATTCGGGTTTACTGGGCATCCTGTTTTCATTCGCAACCTCTGGCAGCCCTACTCTACCTGACCCACCTTTTCATAAAGATGAATGAGCCCCGAGCCCTGCCTTCTGGAGTACCTGTCACCGTGGTGTCCCCACTGCTCCCCGAGGGGCGCTGCCATTGTCTGCTCACACCTCCGCTCCCAGCAAGGGCCCAGCACACAGTGGTGCAACATGCACCCCACCCTTGTGAGGTGCGTGGGTGTCGATGTCCACGCGCACCCTCTGCCCTGGCCGCCGCCCCCGCCCCTGCCCTGCCCACCGTGAAGTGGAGGCGGTTCTCAGTCTCCATCATCACGTCCAGCCGCAGGGTCAGGATGTCCTTGGGGAAGAAGGTGGGGGTGGTACGGGTCAGGGTGGCCGTGTAGCCCATTTCAGAGGAGCTCAGGTTCTCCAGCTTGTAGCTGGGGTAGCTGGGTGGGAAGAAGCACCAGGGCTGCCCCATCTGGGCTCCCTGCAGCCCCTGCTTTGCAGGGATGTAGCAACAGCCGCGGGCCTCGCACTGTTCCTGGGTGATGGCCTTGTCAGGGGCGCAATCGAAGCGGCTGTTGGGGGGGACGTCGCACTGTGTGGGCACTGCTCTGGGACGGCCGGGGTGTGCCTGGGCATCCCGGGGCCCTGGTCTGCTGGCTCCCTGCTGGTGAGCTGGGTGAGTCTCCTCCAGGACTGGGGAGGAGC
The DNA here is from genome assembly GCF_000001405.40 of Homo sapiens. Lineage (NCBI taxonomy): Eukaryota > Metazoa > Chordata > Mammalia > Primates > Hominidae > Homo > Homo sapiens. The sequence continues at coordinate 80,104,716 of NC_000017.11, read as the reverse complement.
CACTCAGCTCTCGGGGAACCAGCAGGAAATCATGGAGTAGGATGTGCCCCAGGAGTGCAGCGGTTGCCAAGGACACGAGGGCGCAGACGGCCAGGAGCCGGTGGGAGCAGGGCGGGTGCCTCACTCCCATGGTTGGAGATGGCCTGGACAGCTCCTACAGGCCTGCGGGAGAAGAAAGCGGGCTCAGCAGGGAGGCGGGAGGGGCGGCACTCACGGGGCTCTCAAAGCAGCTCTGAGACATCAACCGCGGCTGGCACTGCAGCACCCAGGCAGGTGGGGTAAGGTGGCCAGGGTGGGTGTTGCCCTGCTGTCTAGACTGGGGAGAGGGCCAGAAGGAAGGGCGAGAAAAGCTCCAGCAGGGGAGTGCAGAGCACTTGCACAGTCTGCTAAAATGTTACAAATCAAACACGCTTAGAATGTCCCCAGGAAGACCAGCAAGGCAGGTAGACACTTGAAACAGGCCAAACAGCTGTCGCCTGGGCCAGAGTGCTGTGGTGAGATCCTGGCTCACTGCAACCTCCACCTCCCAGACTCAAGCAATCCTCCCACTTCAGCCTCCTGAGTAGCTGGGACTGTAGGCACACACCACCGCACCCAGCTAATTTTCTGTATTTTTGTAGAGACGGGATTTTGCCATGTTACCCAGGCTGGTCTCGAACTCCTGAGCTCAAGTGATCCACCCCCCTTGGCCTTCCGAAGTGCTGGGATTTCAGGAGTGACCACGCCTGGCTGGGAGCCCCACTTCTGCATAAAGGTGCGGCTTGGTCCACTGGGTGTCAGCGGAAGTGATTCTGGCAACTCGTATGTCCTTAGGGGGACCCAGTACCTTTCCTTGCTCCCTTTCCTATTGACTGGTGCACGGACATACCACAGTGGGGAATCCTGGGCACCGCAGCTGAGGGTGACACTCCAGGGGTGGCAAAGCCACAAGAGAGAAAGGACTTAACCTCTGGCGACTTTGCAGATCAGAACCCCTCCCGGCCCCCGAGGTACATGGGGAAGAAACACAGTCTCTGTAACAGTGGCTGCACCTGGAGCCTCGGGTACAGACACAACAAGGATGTCGCGTGCAGATGAGATATGGGGGTTCGCTTTCATTATTCTGCTGGTAAGGTTAACAAGTACCAACGACCTTTGTTTCGCTTCTCTGTACATTAATATTTTATGGCAAACATTCTATTAGCCTGGCTCCTCCCAGGAGCAGCCGGAACCCACATGCGATTCAATATGCATGGATTTCAATAGGGGAGTCCCTTTGGTGTGTGTAATACACCATGGGGAGGGCGTGGGGAAGGCTGGGAGAGCCACCGCACCTAGGCAAGTCTGACCCCAGGGAAAGGAGGAAGAAGGTGTCCTAGGAGCAAGGCCATGGGGGAGGGATGCAGAGAGGTCCTCAAACCAAAGTCAGCCATCAGAGGGGTCTGCGTCTCTGAGGAACGGGCCTTGGAGCAGAGGCAGGCAAGGATTTCAGAAAGCAGCCCCTGGCCAGTGAAGCTCCTTGGAGCAGAGGACTGTGCAACCTTCTCTGGTACTGGGAGCTGGTCACATACCAGGAAGAAGTGAACTCAGGGCCCGAGGGAGTCTGACCTGTCATGTCATGTTACAGAAGGCTTGGCTGGGAACGCTCTGCCCCCGGCCGGACGTGGTGTTCCACCGTGGGCCACTGGTAAATTAGGGCTCTCTGGGCTGGAGGGTGAAACATTTTACCCACACTTCTGACATTAAATGTGTAGGGTTTTTCTCACACCCATCAATTCTGCAACTTTCTGGACACGGCTGGGTGTCCTACAATTCAATTCAATCTTGACACTACCTGGAGTCAGCACAGACTCCACAGGTTAAGGGCTCAGTCCCACAACACTGCCTTCACTTCAGAGGCCAATGGCAAATCCCAGGTTGTCACTTGTACTTTCGATCAACTAGTTATAAATTCAGAGGTTCCCAGGACTCCCTCTTCAGGGTCACAGAACTCAGGAAAGTGCGTTTCTTACAGTTGCTGGTTTATTACAAAGGATAAAACTCAGACAGCCGTATGGAAGAGATGCGTAGGGCCTGGTGTGAGGTGGGGGCAGTGATGCTGTGCTCTCTGCTCGCACCACCCTCCAGTGCCTTGGTGTGTTCCACAACCCGGCGGGAAGCCCTCTGATCCCTGTGGTTTCTTACGGGGTTCCATTGTGCAGGCATGGTTGACTAAGCCACTGGTGATTCACTCAATCTCCAGCCCCTCACCCCTTTTCCATCCCAACCCGTCATCAGGCCTTGGTCTTTCTGGCCATCTGCTTCCATCCTGAAGCCACCTGGTGTCCCCGGTCATCAGTCACCTCATGAGCAAAAGGCTCTCTCATCACTCGGTTTCCAAGGGTTTCGGGTGCTATGTGCCAGCAACCAGGGACAAAGACCAGAGACAGTCACCCCTGGCCTGGCCTAAGGGGGTCTTTGTGATTGAGACATTCAGATTTCAGAGCTGGCCCAGGGGCCCCCTCTCAGGCCACGGTGCTCCTCACCCCAGGGATTCAGACCCAGCCATGTGCGTCCTGCAGGAGCAGGAGAGGTGGCTCGGGTCCCGGCCAGGACTGAGCACTGCGTCGATCAAAAGGGGAAAGGAAACCCTAGAAACGGGAAGATGCAGCCTCCAGCCCCAAGCCCAGCACAGGAGGGCGGCTCCCCGTTCATCTCTAAGCTGAACTCAGATAAAGACCGGGAGGACTAGAGGTCTGGGGCTCAAGCTCCGCTCAGGGGAAGAGGCTGGGGGCACGGCTAGGCACGTTCAAACCCGCTTCTGGGATGTTACCGCCGGCAGCGCGGGGCAGACGTCAGGTGTCTCACCCGCTCCGTGCCTCAGTTTCCCCGTCAGCTGCGGCACGCGCAGAGCCTCCCTCGCTGAACAACGGGCGGACGAGGAGAACCTAGAGGTGGCCGGGGTCCTTCGCGTCACCGAGGTCACTGTCCTACCTGCTGCCTCATCCCCGACCTCCACCCGCGGCCCCGGCGACAACCTCAGCTTTCCCAACTGAGAGGCCGCGCGGGCAGCCGACCGCCCCACCGACCCGGCCCGCGCTCAGGGAAGCCCCGCAGCCCCGGCCCGGCTCACCTCCGCGCACGCGCGCCCTGGCCGCCCGCGGAGACTCCGGGGTCGTGCCCGGGGGCGCGCAGAGGCGGGTCACGTGACCGGCGGGAGCTCGTCGCGGGGCGGGGCCGCGGTGGGTCACGTGACGCGGCCTCCCGCGCAGGCGCCCGAGGCAAGGGTGCGCGTCCGCGCTACGCCCCCCAGTGGCGGCTCCGGCAGAGCGGGCCTGGGCGCGTCCTCGCTCTCGGAGGGGGCCTGGGGAGCGCGTCTGGCTGCGCGTCCGGCGTCCCGCGGGGAGAGGCCCACGCGTGCTGCCCGCTGCCGGTTCCTCTGGGGTCAGAGACGGGGCGAGGCCCCCGCTGGCGCAGTCCCGGCCCGGTCCCCGTGGGGTCGGAGATGGGGCGTGGCCCCCGCTGCCCCGGCCTGGGTCCCCGCAGCTCGTAGGGCTTTGTAAGGGGCTGGCCCAGCCGCGCCTTGCGCCCAGGGATTCCTCCTGCCAACGCGTCCCGAGGGCATCATCGGAAAGGCGGCCAAAGGCGCTCAGCGCCAAGTTAGAAACAGCCAACATTTGGAAAGTCCTTAAGTGTGCTCCATAACTCACAGTTATTCCAGAAAGGAATAATCAAAACATTGTGATAACCCATAAAACTGACAATTGAGAAAACATTAAACTGACACAGGGGGAATTTTTTCATAAAATGAGAAAATGCTTACATTAAGAGGAGCACATTTTTACATGTGAGATACAAAAAACACACAGTATAACCTTAACTTGCCTAATAAAATGTATGTGCAGAAAAATACAAAAGGAGCCACACCAAAACACAGAGGTGTTGTTCCTGGGTAGGGGCATAGGGGCATTAAAAGCCCCCTTTCCAGCTTGCAGCGAGCCGAGACCGCGCCACTGCACTCCAGCCTGGGCGACAGAGCGAGACTCCGTCTCAAAAAAAAAAAAACAAAAGCCTCCCTTCCACCTCTGTTGTGGTTTCTGTATTTCTACAATGTTTTAAAATAAGTAAGGCTGACTCAGAAAGGCTTACTAGATATTCAGAAAAAAGATTTTATTCTTCTGCTGAAATGTTTGAAAGTGAAATTATTTTGTAGAGCATTTTCCCTTTAAACTGCAAAGAAGCCCCAAGGTCATTGGTACTTGGAAGTCCAGGGAGAAAGAGCGCTGGGTTAATGATGGAGAAAAGATAGGTGGGCAGACTGGGGCGTAGTCCCTTGGTGTGGACGCCCCAGCGTGCTCTTATTTCAGTGCTCACCCTGTTACGTGTGTCTGGGGCCACTGACTTTCTCCTGCAAGCTGTGGATCTGAATTTAACTCAAATGGGGACATGGGGGCAGGAAAAGGGACCTGAGAGTTCTAAGGGGTGGGGATGGGAAAACTGGTAAAGAAGGTGGTTTGTGGGTTTTCAGATGCACCTAGTAGAGGGAAGTGCTGGGGGGACCAGCCTCCCGGGCCAGGCTGGCTGGAGCTGCCTTAACTTTCCCACCTCTGCTCAGCCCACCAGCTTGTGGACCTGTGGCAGCGTTGTGTTGTGAGAGGCACGTGCAGATTTGGGAGTGCTGCAAACCAAAGTGTTACCTGGACGAGTAAGCCCAGTGTGGGAGTGTGGGTGTGTGGGTCTGCAGTCACAGGCTCTGTCTTTGCGATGGGATGCCATGGGAAACGCTAGGATTTTACCTGGTTTATTAAATTGCTGAGTGGCTAAAAAGATTCCTATGGGTGGGGCTGGCTTATTTCTCTTAAACGATGCCCTTCTGAGGGTACATGTGGTTTTTAGGAACACAAAAGATTCCAAGTCCCTCATGACAAACACAATTCCGGATCTCTTCCTGGAGGCCTTGCAAGGCGGAGTCCAGGCTGCTCCCTAGGAGGGCCCTGGTGACTCGAGCTTGTTGGCGATCATCTGGCTGACCTTGTGCAGGGCCTCCTGGAACTGGGGGTACTCGTCCCGCACGCGGTCCAGGATGGTGGCGATGAGAGCCAGTCGCTTGTCCAGGCGCTGGCGCTCCAGCACTAGGGACTGCTTGGAGCGGAACAGGAACACGTAGCGCCCCTCCTTCACAGCCTGCAGGTGCTTAAGGCGTGTCTGCAGGGCCACGATCTCTGAAAGGTTCTGGGTAGGAAAAGAGACTCCATATAGGGCTATGCAAACCAGAAGAAAGACACCTGCTGGCCCCCCACAAACTCAGATTCCAGGAAATGCCGAAGAGGAGGCGAGACCTACGCCTGAAAAGGGACGGCGTGAAGGTGTTGCGCCCCTGGATCTCAGGGAAGAGGCTGAGAGGCACTGGGTCGGTGCTTTATGGGTCACCCATCATCACCATCTAGGAGGCATTCTTTTTTTTTTTTGAGATGGAGTCTTGCTCTGTCGCCCAGGCTGGAGTGCAGCGGTGCGATCTCGGCTCACTGCAAGCTCCGCCTCCCGGGTTCACGCCATTATCCTGTCTCAGCCTCCTGAGTAGCTGGGACTACAGATGCCCGTCACCAGGCCCGGCTAATTTTTTGTATTTTTTTTTTTTTTAGTAGAGACAGGGTTTCACCGTGTTAGCCAGGATGGTCTCGATCTCCTGACCTCGTGATCCGCCTGCCTCGGCTTCCCAAAGTGCTGGGATTACAGGTGTGAGCCACTGTGACCCGCCGGCATTTTTTTTTTTTTTTTTTGAGGCTGTCTCGCTCTGTTACCTAGGCTGGAGTGCAATGGCACAATCTTGGCACACTGCAACCTCTGGCTCCCGGCTTCAAGCGATTCACCTGCCTCAGCCTCCCAACTAGCTGGAATTACAGGCACCCACCCCCACCACCACGCCCGGGTAGCTGAGATTACAGGCGCCCGCCACCATGCCTGGCTAATATTTGTATTTTTAGTTGAGATGGGGTTTCGCCATGTTGGCCAGGCTGGTCTCGAACTCCTGACCTCAAGTGATCCACCTGCTGCGGCCTCCCAAAGTGCTGGGATTACAGGCATGAGCCACCGTGCCCGGCTTAGGCAACCTTCTTGACACCTGCCGTGTGTCAGGCCCAGTGCCAGGCACGTTCCCCTCATCATCTCAGTTGGCCAGGCCAGAACCTTGGAGCCATTCTCCACCTCCGTCTCTGCTCACACCACAGCCAACCCAGCAGGAATCCCATCGGGCGATGTTGGCATAACGCATATGCAGAGCCTGATGGCTTCTCGCCAGCCCCACAGGGGCCGCCCTGAAGCACTGCAAATAGCCCCAGGTGCCCCCCGCATCCATGCTTCATCCACATGCAATCTTAGAGCGCGCGGGAGCCCGCTAAAGCCCAAGTCACCTCTCAGACCCAACGCCCTCCTCTGTGTGCCCACCTCCCCAAGAGAAAAGTCCAAAGTCATGATTGTGCTCTCCCTAAGGCCGCACACAGTCTGGGCCGCCCCTCTCTGCCTGGGTCTTACATACCCTAACCTCCCCAGCCTGCCCCACTGGCCTCTAGTAGCCCTTGCGCAGTCTCAGGCTTCTGCCTTGCCGGGCTGTCCTGTCCACCTGGGGTGGTTTTGTGGGCTGTCCCCTCCTTCAGGTCTGGACTCCAATGTCTGCTCCGCAGGGCCTTCCCGCATCACCCTAACTCAAAATGTCAATCCCTCAGTTCACCCCAATGACCCTGACGCTTCTTTCTCTGGTTTATCTTCCTTCAAAGCATTTACCACCACCTAACACACCATTTCCCTTTTTCTTTTCTTTTCTTTTCTTTTCTTTTCTTTTCTTTTCTTTTCTTTTCTTTTTGAGACAGGATCTCCCTCTGTCACCCAGGCTGGAGTGCAGTGGTACAACCTTGGCTCACTGCAGTCTCGACCTCCCAGGCTCAAGCGATCCTCCCACCTCAGCCTCCTGAGTAGCTGGCACCACAGGTGTGTACCACCATGCCTAGCTACAACACACTGTATCTTTTAAAATTATTTTGCTCATCATCTGTCCTCCTGCCCCAGGAGGTAACCTCTAAGAGCACAGGAATGTTTGTTTTTTGTGTTCTATTTTGTAACCCTCGCACGCTGAACATGAGCCCAGCCCATAACAGATACTCCATCAACATTTGTCAGTGGAACAAATCACAAAGCCACAAACATGTGAGCAGCCGGTGGTGCTATTACTGGCCTGGGATCAGGAGAGGCCGTGACCTGATCAGGAGAGGCCGTGACTCGCACAGAGGGGACGCAGGACCTCTGTGTGAGTGGCATGTTCCATGGCCGTCATCCCCAGGGACCTCCTGGGACACGTTTACCTGTCGTTTGAGGGCCCCAAGCCGGGTGAGGTCGGCCTCGAGTGTGTCGAAGTCTGCCTGAATCACCGACAGCTTTTCCTGCTTCTCTAGGAGGGAGCTGCTCACATTTCTTTGTGTTTCTTCCAGTTCCAGGACGGTTTTGGTGCACTCATCGGTGGCCTAGGAGAATCACAGGACCATGCTGGGCCCCTGCAGCCCGGCTACTTGGCGGACAGGGAAGAGTCAGGCTGGGAGGACCTGCCAGGCACCTTCCACACACTCCATCCAGGGAGGCTCCCAAAGAGGAATGGGAGGGCTGGAGAGGCGAGGCCTGGGAGATGCCAGGCCCAGCCAGCCCACACTGCACACTGCTCCTTTAAGGCAGGTGTGGCAGAGAGATGGGGGCCTGAGTGGTTCTGGGGCTCCCCGTGCAGTGGGTCTGTCCCCAGGCAGGAGACTGGCACAGTTCAGCAGCCGTGTGCCAAGGGCAGGGCTGAGGCTGTAAGGGCCGAGAGGCAGGCTGGGGAGCCTGGGAGAGAGGAGGGTGGGGGCCTCTGCTGAGGGAGGAGCGAGGCTGGGGCCATCTGTGTGGTGTTCGTTCCGCCTTCGGGGAAAGCAGCACAATTAAGAGAAAGAAAAGCCGGGCAGGCAGTGTTTGGCAGCTGACATGGTCCAGGGGGTGATGCAGGAGACACAGTGACTCTCAGGGCTGGCTGGGGACACGGAAGATCTTTGGGGTGGGGCTGGCAGGGGTGAGGACAAGGACCCATCAGTGATGGCGTCGTGTGGGGCGCAGGGCCTGGGGCTGGAGAACTTGAGTGTGGCTTGGAGCAGACAGGAGGTGAGGGGTGGGCATGGGGTCCTGGCAGGGGACTCAGGGGGTGCCCAGGGCAGCAAGGAGTGGTCAGGGGCCGGGCTAGGAAGCTGAGGGAGGGATGGACATCAGGAGTAGCCAATGTAGTGGAAAAGGACTGAGAAGAGGCCACTCTGCCGCCTCTCTCCAGAAACTTCCAGTTACTTCCAAATGAGCAGCCCATGCATGTCTGCCATTTTTGGCTAGCCTTTCCCTACAGGGATGACTTCAGCACTCTCCAGGGAACCCTCTGGGTGACTCTGAGAGGTGGGCACCCATTTCACAGGTCAGTAAACCAAGGCTCTGGGAGGTCAGACCGTATGCCCCAGTCAGGAATGGTCCAGCGTGGCTCCAAGCCATGCTGTCAGCTGTCCCCAAGGCCACCTCCCCACCCACGGCTGTGGTTGCTGTCACATTTAACTCTGCCCCTCCACCCCCCAGCAGACGAGGCCCTGCAGGTCTGGCAAGGCCCACATACTCCGAGGTCACACAGCGGGTCAGCGGGGCTGTGGGGCCAACCTGGGAAGTGTGAGTGCAGGGCCCCTGGCTGGCAACCGTTGAGGTGGTAAGCACCGGACAGCACCAGCTGGGCCCTCCCAGTGCAGGCCCAGTGGACATGGCCTGGGGTATGCGGATGCAGGCTCTCGAGGCGCCCACCCCGCTCCCATCAGCTGGTCCCCGGTGCCCACTCGGGCTCCCCAGCATGAGCTGGCCTCTTCCCCAGAACTCTATGCCTTCCCAATGCCACCTCCGATATGCAGGGAGGGGCTGAAACACGGCCGTCTCTGGGTGTCAGCAGCTCTGTCCGGTGCGGGCATTCTGCAGTCTCCCAGACAGGCCCCGTAGCAGCAGCAGGTTAGCAGTGCTGAGCACGCCCCTCTAACAGCCTCTGGATCCTCACCCCTGACCCCGAACCCAGCAGCAGGTTAGCAGAACTGGGGATGGTCTCTCTGCATCCTCACCCCAGACCCAGCACCCAGCAGCAGGTTAGCAGTGCTGAGCACGCCCCCACTGCAGCCTCTGCATCCTCACCCCGGACCCAGCAAGACGCCTTCCTGGAGTGTTCCTTGAATCCCAGAGAGAGGAGCAGGCGCCCTGTTTCCTTTCCGCTGCTCCCTACCTTGCGAACGTCCCTGATTTTCCGGCGCAGCTCAAGCTGCTTGTGGTGGAAGTCGGTGCGGGTGAGCGCCTTCCTGTCCATCTTGCGCTGCCCCTCGGCCTGGGTGGTGACGGTCTCTCTGCGGGCAACCGCCAACTCCATGGCACGGATCATCTTCTCCTGCTGCTTCAGCAGCTGCCCGAGCCTGACCTGGGAGACAGGACAGAGGGGCTGGGGCTGGGGCAGGCCTGAGCTGCAGCTGCAGAGAGAGTGGCCGGGGCGCTGGCCTCGCTCATCCTCCGGTGACACGCATGGGGATCGGCGGGGAAACAGTGAGGCCTGTGCCGCCAGGAGGAACAAGGGACATGGAGGCAGCAGCCCTGGGTGGGAACCCGGAATCCACAGGCAGACAGTGCAAGGTGGAGAAATGGCCGAGACCTGAGGCCACCAAGGAGATGTGAGAACTAAAAGCAACTAAGCCAGGGTCAGATCCTGCAGCAGAAAAAAATCTCATTGAGAAAATTGGTGAAATCTGATTAGAGTTTGTAGTTTGGTTAGCAGTATTGCATGAAGGTTAATTTCTTAGTTGTGACAATGCACCTTGGCTTGGGTGGAGGACCTGGGGCTGGGGACTGGGTTGTAGCGTGAGGATTGGCTGCGGGGGTGCACAGGAACTTTCTGGAGTCATAGAAAGGTTCTATGTCTTGATGGCGTCAGTGGCTACGTAGATGTGTGCGCGTGTTAGAACCCACCAAACTGTGCTTTTTTAAAAATTTTTTGAGACGGAGTCTTGCTCTGTCACCAGGCTGGAGTGCAGTGGAGCCATCTAGGCTCACTGCAACCTTCGCCTCCCGGGTTCAAGTGATTCTTCTGCCTCAGCCTCCTGAGTAGCTAGGATTACAGGTATCTGCCCCCAGGCCTGGCTAATTTTTGTATTTTTAGTAGAGATGGGGTTTCACCATGTTGGCCAAGATGGTCTCGATCCGCCCACCTTGGCCTCCCAAAGCTGGGATTGCAGGCATAAGCCACTGCACCCAGCCTTTTTATAAAAAAAATTTTTTGAGACACAGTCTCCTTCTGTTGCCCAGGCTGGAGTGCGATGGCACAATCTCGTCTCACCGCAACTTCCACCTCCCAGATTCAAGCAATTCTCCTGCCTCAGCCTCCCAAGTAGTTAGGATTACAGGCACCTGCCACCACGCCTGGCTATTTTTTTTTTTTTTTTCAGTAGAGACAGGGTTTCACCGTGGTGGCCAGGCTGGTTTTGAACTGACCTCAAGTGATCCACCCGCCTCGGCCTCCCAAAGTGCTAGGATTACAGGCGTGAGCCACCGCACCCAGCCCAAACTCTGCGTTTAAAATAAGCATATTTTATCTTATGAAAGTTATGCCTAAAGTTGATTTAAAAGAAAAAACAGGCAAGAATCCCGAAGATAAGCAGGGTGAAGGGAGACCAAGCTTACTCAGGTTTAAAATGTACCATAAAGTGACTTGGAGCCACACTAAGAAACACTAAAAAGTCTGTGTGGCAAAAGACCCCCTAAACAGAGGGCAAAGACAATGATAGGTCAGAGCCACTATTTTAATAGGTATTGAAGACAGGGGTTAATAACCGAATGTATAAGGAACTCCTAAAAAATGTTAAGAAATAAGAAAACAGGCCGGGTGCGGTGGCTCACGCCTGTAATCCCAGCACTTTGGGAGGCCGAAACCGGTGGATCACCTGAGCTCAGGAGTTTGAGACCAACCTGGCCAACATGGTGAAATCCCGTCTCTACCAAAAATACAAAAATTAGCCAGGCATAGTGGTGCACGCCTGTAATCTCAGCTACTCAGGAGGCTGAGGCGGGAGAATCACTTGAACCCCGGGAGGCAGAGGTTGCAGTGAGCTGAGATCGTGCCACTGCTCTCTAGCCTGGGCAACAGAGCGAGACTGTTTCAAAAAAAAAAAAAAGAGAAATAAGAAAACAGCCTAATATTAAAATCAGCTGGCCGGGCACAGTGGCTCACACCTGTAATCCCAGCACTTTGGGAGGCCGAGGCAGGTGGATCATCTGAGATCAGGAGTTCAAGGCCAGCCTGGCCAACATGGTGAAACCCCATCTCTACTAAAAATACAAAAAATTAGCTGGGTGTGGTGGCACATGCCTGTAGTCTCAGCTACTCAGGAGGCTGAGGCAGGAGAATTGCTCGAACCCAGGAGGTGGAAGTTGCAGCGAGCTGAGATGTGAGTGCCACTGCACTCCAGTCTGGACAACAGAGCAAGACTCTGTCTTAAAAAAAAAGGAAGTCGGAGGAATTTCGTAAGTATAGAGTTACAGAAATCAAGACAGCAGGGCATTGGTGAAGGGACAGAAACAGAAATCAGTAGAACAAAACAGCCCAGAAACGAACCCACACAAACGTGTCAGCTGATTTCAACAAGGACTGGACGGTAGTTCGGTGGAGGAAGGGCAGTCTTTTCAGGAAGCAAGCAGGGCTGACTCCAGTGGACATCCAAATGCAAAAAAAATTAACCCCAGTCCACAACTTGCACCATACACAAAAATTAACTCAAAATACATTATGGACCTAAATGTAAAACCTAAAAGCAGGAAGCTTCTAGAAGAAAACAGAAGAGAAGCTCTTCGTGACCTTCAGCTAGGCAGAGGCTCCTCAGATAAGCTACTGAAACGATCCATGAAAGAACAGACTGAGGGGTGGGTGCCGTGGTGTGTGCCCGTAATCCCAGCACTTTGGGAGGCCCAGGCAGGAGGATCCTTTGAGCCCACAAGGTCAAGGCTGCAGTGAGCCATGATTGCACCACTGCACTCCAGCCCGGGTGACAGAGCGAAACCCTGTCTCTAAAAAAAGAGAACAGACTGGGTAATTGGGCTTCACCACACAGAAGAATCTCAAATGCATGAGGCTAAGCAAGGAAAGTCAGGCTCAATATGTCTCACCCTATTTGATCCATTTATGTGACATTCTGGAAAAGCCAAAACGACAGGCATGGAGAGAGACTGGTGGCTGTCATGGCGGCTGGGGTATGCGGTGAGCTGACTACAGAGGGCATGAGGGAATTCGAGGATGAGGAAATATATCATGATGTGGCAGTGGCTACATGATTGTACGTCTCTATCAAAACTTGTAGGGCTGGCTGGGCACAGTGGCTCACACCTGTAATCCCAGCACTTTGGGAGGCTGAGGTGGGCGAATTGCCTGAGCTCAGAAGTTTGAGACCAGCCTAGGCAAAATGGCGAAACCCCGTCTCTACTGAAAATACAAAAAAATTAGCCAGGCATGGTGGCACACACCTGTAATCCCAGCTACTTGGGAAGCTGAAGCAGGAGAATCGCTTGAACTTGGGAGGCGGAGGTTGCAGCGAGCCGAGATCCCACCACTTCACTCCAGCCTGAATGACAGAGAGTCTGTCTCAAAGACAAAACAAAAAACAAACAGACAAAACAAAACAAAAAAACCCAGAAAATCCTTATAGGGCTGAATGCCCTAAGCTGTGAGCTTCCACTCAGCTGAAAAACCTCAATTAAAAAAAAAAAAAGATAGATAAATAACACCAGAACTGAGAAGAAGGTACAGATATGACTGCCGCCATGTGCTTTTTAGACAAGTAATCTGTCAGGCTGTTACAGTCAGAATTTATACACCCTTTGACCTAGTAATCTCACCTTTGGGAACATAGTCTAGAAGAAAAAAAAAAGAACCAGTAAGGAAGGATGTGATTATAATGCTGTGTGATGGCTGATTTTGGGTTAACCTAACTGGGCTAAGGAATGCCTGGATAGCTGGAAAAACATGATTTCTGTTTTGGGTAGAACTGTGAGGGTGTCCCTGGAAATGATTGGCATTTGAACAGAGTAAAGATCCCTCTTGCCAGGCTGGGTGACATCATCCAATCTGTTGAGGGCCTGAGGAGAAAAGGCAGAAGAAGGTGGTGGGACGGGGTGGGGGTGGGGGAACACTGGGCTGGGATGACACCGTTGCCTCCTTCTCAGGTCTTAGACTTGACTGAATCATGGGCTCTCCTGGGTCTGCAGATTAGATGCCGGATACTAGGACTTCTCGGCCCTCATAATCATAAGAGCCAATTCTCATAGTAAATCTCTCTTTCTTTCTCTCTCTCTCTCTCTGTGTGTGTGTGTGTGTGTGTGTGTGTGTGTGTGTGTGTGTAGTCTACTGGTTCTGTTTCTTTGGAGAACCCTAACACACATTGTGTCTAGGACAAAACAATAACACCAACAACAAATTGGAAACAACCTGAATTTTCACCAACCTGGGACTGGATCAATAAATTGTGAAATATCCATAGTATATATTGTAACTGTTAAAGAATGGGTTAGTAACCATGTAGGGCCAAGGCAAGCCCTGCCTGTGCATTTGTGTGAGATCCGAGAAGGTGAGAGGCCTTATCCCTGCAGCGGCTGACACAGTCGCCCTGGCTGAGGAGGGGGAGCCGGGGAAGAAGGGACAGGGAGGAGCAGCCCGGACCTTCTCTTTGGCCCCCACTCTGTGGAGGAGAGCTTGTCTTGCTCCAGCAAATACATGTGGCTTCTGTAATATGAAAAGTCAATTAAATTTGGTATTTTTAAACACAACATCTTATTAGCATATGCACTTGATCTGAAAAATAACTCAGCAGAGGAATTTCTATTTAGCATGGCATGGTGAAAGTGAGGCCCATTTATTTTATGAACTGCTCTTACTGTTATCCTTAAGGCCCTGAACCTTTAGCTTGATGACCACTTGCAATTTAATTACCAGCCTTTTAAAGGCAATGAAATCTAATTGTGACCATGGAGAGACAACGCGGCTGTGAAGGATGAGATGGGGGTGCTCTCTGAGCCCTTCTGTGGTGTGAGACTGTCTCACAGTGGGATACGTTAGAGGGTCACAAAGTTTGAGGGTTACAACCGGCATTTAAAAATACCAGCGTGCTGTGATTACATGGAGTAGGAATAAAACAGCGTTTTGTGAGATGACATGCACGTGCTTGTGTGTGTCCTGTGTTGTTCATGCACGTGCTTGTGTGTGTCCTGTGTTGTTCATGCACGTGCTGTGTGTGTCCTGTGTTGTTCATGCACGTGCTGTGTGTGTCCTGTGTTCGTGCACGTGCCTGCGCGCGTCCCTTGTTCGTGCACGTGCCTGCGCGCGTCCCGTGTTGTTCGTGCACGTGCCTGCGCGCGTCCCGTGTTGTTCGTGCACGTGCCCGCGCGCGTCCCGTGTTGTTCGTGCACGTGCCTGCGCGCGTCCCGTGTTCTTCGTGCACGTGCCTGCGTGCGTCCCGTGTTGTTCGTGCACGTGCCTGTGTGCGTCCTGTGTTGTTCTGCAATATTTCTGCACATTAAAAGCAAGCGTGTGGTAAAAGCTGGGTCAAGGGGGACGTGCGCTTTGCCAGTGCTCGGCTGGAGTGCAGGTCACTCTGCTGGAGCGGGTCGCTCCCTGGAAATCTCACCCATTGCCACCAGCCAATGTGGCCAGTGTGGTTCCCACAGGAGCCCCGGGAGAGCCGAGGCCTTGGTGTGGCCAGGTCTCCAGAGCCCAAGGGCTGGCACCCAGCAGGCCCTGCCACGCCGCTCTCCTCCCCTCACCTTCATCCTGTGGATCTCGCCCTTCATGGCCCGGATCTCCGTCTGGCCGATCTCGGAATCCACTGAGGAACGCATCTCTTTTGCCAGTTGGATTTTTTTCTCCCAAAGCATAATCTGGTGTCTTTAGAGGTAGGAGAGGCAGTGTAAGAAATTAGGAGTTTTCTTCTGATGCTTCGGTGAGCTCACACTCTAAGGCTTTACAAGGCTCTCAAGCTGCAATGGCAGAGCCAAGCAGCTGCGACAGAAAGCGTGAGGCTCTCAAAGCCTGAAGTGTTCACTACTGGGCTCCTTATGCAAACGTTTGCCAACCTCTGGCATACAGGGGGAGGGAGGGAGATGGGGGTGGGGAAGAAACAGAGAGACAGAGAGAGAGAGAACAGGGATATATAACTGTAGGAGCTGAGAAAGTCAGTATAATTGATAGAAGCTGACTTAAGAAAAAGTAAAAAGCCTGAATACACCAATAGTCTAAAAGCTATTTAAATGTCACCAAAGATACAAGCCCCCCAAAGCATTGGTCCCAGATAATTTTTTGCCTAGATTCTATCAAACCGCAAGGAACAGGCGATCCCTGCGCTATTCATCCCTTCCGGAGCACGCTGAAGAAAGGACGGTGCCTCCACACCACGCCTGCTCCGCACCCTTTCCACAGGGAGATATGGGCCCACGTGTGTGACACGGAAAGATGGCCATGAAAATACTAAAGTGCTTCAAGGGGGAACTTCTGAAACAATCCCATTTGTGTAAAAAACAGAGCAAAACAAGAAAGGAATATAGCTACACATTGGTTTTCTGGGAAGTGAAGGGCGTTGGAATTATATGCAATTTTCCCTGGGTACTTTGCACGCATTGTATAGTTTAAAATGTTTAGAGCTGGGTGTGTGTTACTTTAATAATCAGACACCATAAAATAATGGATACTTAAAAACTTTATCACAAAGGAAACCCTTCAATTTCTAGCAGTAACTCGTTTGGCTCAAGAACTGCCACCAAGGGGGGTAGACAGACTCTGTGGGGAATCTGGGATCCACTAGGGTGGGTTCCAGACCCATGCCCAGGTGGTCTTTTTCTTCTTTTAGAGACAGGGTCTCGCTCTGTCGCCCAGGCTGGAGTGCAGTGGTGCAATCCTAGCTCACTGCAGCCTTGACCTCCTGGGCTCAAGCGATCCTCCCACCTCAGCCTCCCGAGTAGCTGGGACTACCGGCATGCACCACCATGCCTGGCCAATTTAAAACATTTTTGTAGATATGGGGTCTCACTGTGTTGCCCCGTCTTGTCTTGAACTCCTGGCCCCAAAGGAGCCTCCTGCCTTGGCATCCCAAAGCACTGGGATTGCTGGGCACGGTGGCTCATGAATGTAATCCCAGCGCTTTGGGAGGCTGAGGTGGGCAGATCACCTGAGATCAGGAGTTCAAGACCAGCCTGGCCAACAGGGTGAAACCCCATCTCTACTAAAAATACAAAAATTAGTGAGGCATGGTGGCGGGCACCTGTAATCCCAGCTACTCAGGAGGTTGAGGCAGGAAAATCACTTGAAGCTGGGAGGCAGAGGTTGCAGTGAGCTGAGATCGCACGGCTGCACTCCAGCCTGTGGGATAGAGCAAGACTGTCTAAAAACAAAACAAAACAAAACAAAAAACAAAACAACAACAAAAAATGACCAAAGCACTGGGATATGGGTGTGAGCTGCCACACCTGGCCTCCTACATGGTCTTCAACGGACAGAGGCCTGTAGGTGCAGTGACCTTCATGACCCACGTGTGGCTGGAGACTGGGACTCACTCTGCTTCCACCAGTTGATTCAGGAGGGTCGCCTTCTCCTCGCTGAGCTGGTTCAGCTTGTCCTGCATCTTGATGGTCTCCCTCTCAGAGGCCTGCATGGGGGAGGGGGCGGGACAGCTGTGGGGAGGGCCATGGGATTGTGGATGCCGGGGCTGGTGCCCTCTATCCCGGCACCGAGGGCAGGGCTGCAGGCTGGATTTCTAATACCCCTACAAGCATCTTGAACGGGTGTGGAAATTACATCCTGGTGCAGAACGCCCACCGCAAGGACCGTACCCCCGCCCTCCATCGTCCTGAGCCCCGGGACTGCGTGGACACGGCCGGACCTTCAGCGAGCGCACGAACTCATTCTCTGTCACCCGGTTGTTCTGCTCCAGCTCCTCCGAGCTGCACCGGTTTTTATTCATCAACATGTTGAGCTTCTTCAGGTCGTTGTCCAGGTCCTTCATGTGGTGCTCGATCTCCTTCTGCTCCTTCTTCTCCTGCTCAATCTTGCCTATGGCAGAAAACAGAGACTCAGGGAGAGACCCCAGGAGGGTACGGGTCCTCGCCCGCAGGCAGCAGTGTCCGAGAGGTGAGCCAGGTTTTGTCTCTCCCTGTAGCTCCCTTCATCCCCTCCCTCTTGTCGTTCCTGGCGCTCCTGCCTGAATCTCGTCCCTGCCAGGACAGAGGAGAGGAGAGGACAGGGGGTCTCTTTTTGGCTGCTAAGCTCCCAAAGCCTGGTCCTCCAACGGAACTGAGAGGACCTGCCTGTGGGGACAGCCAGCAGGTGTGGGCAGGGCGTGTGGGAGGGCCAGGCTCCCTCCCCCAGACACTTGCAAATCTGTGGAGCACCGGGACCTGGTTGATGCTCAGACACTGTGAGTCTCCAGGAGAGGGAGGCCCTTAGACCCCTGCCCTGCCCCAGCCAAGCTCAGGGGTAGGGGCAGAAAACAACAGCTCTTCTTGATGTTAAGATGGGTGGAGGGCACAAGAGGCCACAGCTGGTTCATCCGCTGGCCACTCCTCACAGGGCTTCTCCAGCTCCTCCTGCTGTCCCCATGGTGTGCCCTGACTACCCCAGGACATGGGCATGTGAGCCCCTCTCTCTGCCCTCTCCATGGGTGATCCTCCCCATCTCACAGCATGGTATTTCGGCAGCTCTTGCCTTGGGACACCGATACTCAGCTGACAGCTCCATAGGGTCTTTTGGGACTTGCTACTCACCAACAGACGGGTTTGGGCAACCCAAGAAGGGCAGGGCGAGAGGCAGCAGGACCTCCGAGAAGGGCACATGATGTGTCTGGGCAGCATTTCCCATGGGGGCTCTGCTGCAGGCCTGACCAGCATGGATCCCCGACCCAAGACCGGGCAGGACCCGGGATGTCTCGGCAGGTGGACATGTGGGTGGAGAGTGGTCCAGGAAGGATGCCCGCCTCCATCATTCCAGGCACCCTGGTGCTTTGGCAGCCCCTTGGGCCTCAGAAGGGTTGGGGAGCCCCGGTGGAATGGTTTTCTAAGCCCAACTGGAGGTGATGTGGGGACAGCACCAGGAGCCTGCCTGGCAGGACCCTGGCTTTTCCCGTGCCAGTGTTTCCACCTGAGTGCCCTGGCTTGGCGGGGATGATAACCTTCCATGCTCCTCTCTCAAGGAGAGCTCTGAAGTCCGTGAGCTTGGAGCCATTTCGTGACATTTCTCAACCCTCCCGCTGTGACTGCGAACTGGGCAGCTGGGCAGGCAGTGGTTCACATTTACAAAATACAGGGAGCATGCGCGTTTGTTATTTGCTTTTAAGGCTGCGTGCAAATCCAGCGACGTGCCCCACTGAGTGCCCCTCCCCTGGGAGGTGCCCACGTCCCAGAGCTCGTCTCAGCATCACTGCAGGGCCGGGCACGGCGGCTCTTACTTTCTACTCGTAGTTTCTTCTGCTCCATGATGTGGAGCTCCTTCTTGGATGCGTCCAGGGAGGCCAGCTGCTCCTCCTGCTCCTGTGTCACCTTGACCATCTCCTGCTGCAGGCGCAGCCAGGTCACCTGGGCCTGGACCGCCTTGCCATCGTGCTCGTCGATCAGCTTGCTCAGCCTTTTGATTTCAAGCTCCAGGGGCCCCACTTCTTCCCCCTAGACCGGATATTCATCAAAAAGCAAAATTAGGGCTGGGCGCAGTGACTCACGCCTGTAATTCCAGCACTTTGGGAGGCTGAGGCGGGTGGATCACCCGAGGTCAGGAGTTCAAGACCAGCCTGGCCAACAGGGTGAAACCCCGTCTCTACCCAAAATACAAAAATTAGCCAGGTGTGCTGGTGCACACCTGTGGTCCCAGCTACTTGGAAGGCTGAGGCAGGAGAATCGCTTGAACTCAGGAGGCAGATGTGCAGTGAGCAAGATGGCACCACTGCACTCCAGCCTGGGCAATAGAGCAAGACTCCGTCTCAGAAAAAAAAAAAAAAAAAAAAAGCAAAATTAGCCTTCTTGGGCTCAAAGGTCTTTGTGAGTGGGCTGCAGAGGGCCTGGAACCCTGAGGTCATGAAACTGGACGAAGGCCGAGGGGCTCAAGTTAGCTCTCAGCAGGGCCGCAAGCCACAGACCCCGCTGGAGGAAATATGGCTAAGGGGCTCTGGAGCCCCCTCTAGCTTCCCCATGGTGGGTGCGCTGGCAGGGTGGGTGGGGCCTCTGGAACCCAAAGGGGCTTTGAGAGTACAGGGACCTGGATGACGTATATGGCATCAGGCCTCAAACGCATTAGGCCACTTTTCTTAGAGCAGCAGAATATTTCGTGCTGGGTGAAAATTATTTGGAATTCAGACTTCAGTGGCCTTGAATAACATCTGATTGGACACAGCCGTGCCCATTCCTTTACGTTTTACCTATGCTCCTTCTCGCTATGGAGGCAGAGCCGTGTCACTGCCAGAGAGACCAACTGGCCACAAAGCCGGAATACTCTCTGGCCTTGTGCAGAAAAATGTGACTTAGAGCGCTTGGCACACGTGCCATTTTGTCTGTAAAGCAGGTAGGGAAAGAGGCAGTTCTGTGCCTTCCAGGAGTTCATGTCTGACCGTGGGGGATCTGAGGGGGCTCTGCCCCACCAGGCACCACAGTCAGCCGGGGACCACGTCTCCCTGCCTGGGACCTCACCCCCAGCTCGGAGACCATCCGCTCCAGCTGCTTGTTGAGGAAGTTGATGAGCCCTTGCTTCCTCTCGATCAGGATCGTGCGCCGGGAGATCTCGCTCTGGCTGTTGGTGATGAGCTCGTTGACTTTCTTCACGTCCTGGTCCAGCTCCACCAGGGTCTTCTGGTGTGCGTCCAGCCTGCTGCTGGTGTGTGTGATGTCCAGGGTGGTCTGGGCAATGTCACCGTTGATTTTGGAAAGATGTGTCATCTGAATTGATGAAAAGAAATACCTGTGAATATTGCCCCCACCCAAGGCCCGGGACGAGTTTGCTGATCCACCGTTCCCTGACGGTCGGGATGTTCCTCTGGAGATATTCCAAACGCACAGTCACGAGTGCAGGAGGCTGGATTTCCCACTGTCTCCAGGACCCAGCAAGGGACCTACTTGTTGGAACCCAGATGTTGGCTTTTTACAGAAAAGAGAGATCATGGTATTAGCTTTTCTTATTGATGTGGTTTGGCTGTGTCCCCACTCACATCTCATCTTGAATTGTGTCCCCATAATCCCACATGTCAAGGGAGGGCCCCTGTGGGAGGTGACTGGACCATGGGGGCCGCTACCCCCATGCTGTTCTCATGATAGTGAGTTCTCATGAGATCTGATGGTTTTGTGTGTTTGACGGTTCCTGCTTCACACACACTCTCTCTCCTGCTGCCTTGTGAAGGAGGTGCCTGTTTCGCCTTTTGCCATGATTGTAAGTTTCCTGAGGCCTCCCCAGCCATGCAGAACTGTCAGTCAATTAAACCTCTTTCCTTTATCAGTTATCCAGTCTTAGGTATTTCCTACAGCAGTGTGAGATCAGACTAACACACTTCTTAAATCGTAGCACACACATTGTGAGGAAATGTGAAAATACAGGCCAGGACAGAGAACACATTCAATTGCCTGCAATTCTGACACAAGTTAGCTACCATTCCCATCTGAATCCATTTTTCCTCCCAGTCTTTTCTATATAATTCTCCAAAATAAAAATAGGATCACACCCTACACACTGGGTGCTAACCTGCTTTTTAATCTGGTAAGTCGGGTCTTATGTTCCTGTGCTCTGTAAGCTGTAATGGCTGTGCTGTACTCTATCACATTTGCAGCATAGTTTATGAAGCAAGAAGCAATTGTTAGACACTGGTTCCTCCATGCGTTCTGACCCCTCCTGCTGTCCGGCAGGTCTGAGCCGCCAGTGCTGGCCTCCTCTGTGGGCTCTTTGGAGGCATTAGACAGACTTTGGATCCCTTCTGGCAACGGGGGGTTTATCGAGAGGACGTTTGTGATAATCAGGAGTGAGGCAGTGGCAGTCACAGCTGCAATGGTGTGGCCAAAGCTGCTCTGGGAACAGGGAGATGCTGTCACCACCAGGACAGGGTCCTCTTCCCCAGGGCATGGTTCTAACAGGTGGCCTCGGGCCCTGTGTCTGCCCTGAGCACCCCTGCCCGTCGGCTCCTGCCACACAAGGCCTTGGCTCTCTCACGACTGTGGCTCCTGCCTACCCCAGCCTCCTCAGGGCCATCTGAGCTTCTCCTCCCGCCACGCCTGTGGGCTCCATGTCTCTCACTGGCCACCACGGGCGGCTTCCCAGGAGACCCAATGTCCCCAGGTGGTGGAACCCAGACCCTGCCCACCTGGAGTGGAAGCTTCCGGCATCTGGAGTTGTGTGGCAATGTCAGCTCGCAGCCTCCTCCTCTGCCAAGTTCACCCTGAGATCTGGGCCCCCCAAGGACTCCCTGCCTCCCCCCTCCCCAACTGCCCTGCAGGGGCTATGGCTCCAAGTCCCCTTCAGTCCCTCCCCGTCACAGCCGGGCCTGCACCCCCGCTCCACTCCTGGCTGTTTGTGGTCTCTGTGGAGCCCACCCTGGCTCCCCCTAGGCATCTACACCATCCCTGGATTAACTGCCTGGACCCCGTGGTTGACCCCAGCTCCGGATGGGTGGTCCCGCCCATCCACACTTTGCTCCTCCTCCCAGATATGCCTCCCCACCCCACCTTCTATCAGCCCATGAGGCTTTGAGCAGTTCAAACATCGTGTCGGGGGTACTCTTTTCAGCAGCTGGACTGGCATCGGTTGGAAAATTGTCGTAATAGACGAATGTGTTGGTCCAAGACTCTTTGCTGCCCTCTTCTGGAAACTGGCAGCAAAACACGTATGACCTATCGGGCTGCCCAGACAGGGGCTCGGCGGGGGCCCGGGGGCCTGGGGATTGGGAACTGGACTTGGCTGGTAGCAGCACGGCTGGATGGGCTCCTTCACACCCACCACGCCCTTCAGCTCTGCCTGGCCAGCTCCTTTCCCACCCCTCAGGAGGGCAAAACCGGCAGAGCTTGGCATCGGGAATCTGTCACCCTCCTCTGAGACTAAAATGGGGACTGTTGGGCAGGCCCCACTGCTAGGATGTGCTCTGGAAATGGTGGAGCCTGTGGTAGCCTCTGGGGGTCCTCCAAAGGGGCCTGCTTGAGGCGGGGTGTTGGGGAGGCGGTCACCCCTCGGGAAGAGGCAAAGAAAAAACAATTCAAGTAAGGAATTGTTTTTTCTAAGGACACAAGTCCCCTCCACCCCCACCACAGGTGATAAAGGATAAAGCAAGATCCCAGGGGATGCGAACATGAGCTCACAATTGGGGGTTCCCTGCCATGGACGTCGAAGTCACACTCCAGGTCCCCCCAGGGAAATCAGCCTTTGGCTGGCAGCTGGCCATGCGGTGGCTCACGCCTGGCCTATTTCTAGGTTTTCTACAGTAAAAATGTATCACCCTTACAACCTGAACACCATGGAAAGGAGTGAGCACAGGAGGGCCCTCTGCTCACACTGACTCCGCCCTCTCCGCCTCCAGGACGGCTTGCCCTCATATGCCCAGGCTGCAGGGGGCTTCGCACAGCCCCTCCCTGGGGCAGGGGCCTACCATGTTGGTCTTCTCCTTCTGCAGCCTCAGGATGAGCTGGTTGAAGTATTTGGTGGTCTTGTTGGAGGTCATGTGCTCCTGCAGCTTCTCCCGGATGGCAGCATCCGTCTTCCTCCTGAGCTCCAGCTCGCCCTGGATGGCTTGGCGGATGGCCTGCAACTCCTCCGTGAGTATCATTTGTTCCTGGAGACAAGGAGCCACAGGGTGCACGTGCCTGAAGAGGCACCACCGTGCGCCAGGTGTGACCTGTGGGGCGGGCCCGGCCTCACCAGCTGGTCCTGGCTGAGGGCATCCTCTGTGTCCTGCAGGGTGAGCCTGTAGGTATTGAACTGGCTCTGCAGGGCCACCTGCTTGGTCAGGCACTGGGTGGTGAGCTTCTGCAGCAGTGTGGCTTCCGTCTCTGTCCGGTTCAGGATGCTCGCCAGCTTCTCGTTCTTTTCTTCCTCCTTCATGATGGATTTCTTATAGGCCTCAATCTCGCCGTCGGTGGATTTGGCTTGATGCTGGCATCCTCTGTAGAAATGCAGCGGGGAGAGCCAGTTACGTGTGAGACATCAGAGAGCCAGTGCACAGAGCTGCGCCCCACACGAGGGAGCTCACTAAGGCGAACTCAATGCACAGAGAAATAAATTAGGAAGCCAACTCTTATTTATTTATTTATTTATTTATTTTTTGAGACAGAGTCTCACTCTGTAACCCAGGCTGAAATACAGTGGTGCGATCTCGGTTCACTGCAACCTCCGCCTGCCGGGTTCAAGCGAGTCTCATGCCTCAACCTCTTGAGTGGCTGGGATTACAGGTGTGCGCCACCATGCCCGGCTAATTTTTAAACTCTATTTGTAGAGATGGGGTTTCACCGTGTTGCCCAGGCTGGTCTCCAACTCCTGAGCTCAAGCAATGTGCCTGCCTTGGCCTCCCAAAGTGCTGGGATTACAGGTGTGAGCCGCTGCACCCAGCAGGAAACCAACTCTTTTAATAGCAGCCAAATCTTTAAAAAATTTTTATGGATAGATTGGCACATATTTGAGAGGTACATGCGATATTTTGACACAAGCATACAGCATGTCATGATCAAATCAGGGGAACCGGCCATCTATCACCTCACACATGATCCTTCCTTCGTGTTGAGAACATTCCAAATCTTTTCCTCTAGCTATTCAGAAATATACACTAACTTACCGTGAACTGTAGTCACTGTGACATGCTATTGAACACTGGGCCTTGTTCCTTCTCCCTCACTGTATTTTTGCAGCCAATAGCCAAATCTTGACTATTATTTTCAAATAGATCAAGAGAACTATTATCTATTGAAAGCCCAAGTTGACAACTCTTTTGTACTGTGATTATGGGGAGAAGGAAAGTGACGCATGGGTCAGACGTTGGGCTAGGGGTTCTCATCTGCCCACCTTCCTTAACCATGACAATAATCCTAGGAAGGAAATAGTCCAGCTTTACAGATGTGGCCATTGAGACTCAGAGCATTTCAATCACTAGCCCAAGGTCTGCAGGAAACAGCGTGGCTGAGGGAACACCAGTGGGCCCACTTCAAATTCTATTGTCTTTCCCCTCGGCATGCTGCGATGAGATACCTGTAATTAACGTCAAGCTCTAAAACACAGATATCGGATAATCAGATCTAAAATACTGATTCAAATGAAATAATCAGATTCAAATCCTGTATTTGTTGGAGTGCAGAGGCACGATCTTGCCTCACTGCAACCTCTGCCTCCTGGGTTCAAGTCATTCTTACGCCTCAGCATGAGGATTTGAATTTTGTGTGTGTGAGGCATGTTTTCCTATTATTCTGAGATGTTCTGCGGTACTTTAAACATTCCTTTCATTCCTTTCTTTCTTTTTTTTTTTTTGAGACAGTCTCTCACTCTGTTACCCAGGCTAGAGTGCAATGGCATGATCTCAGCTCACTGCAGCCTCAAGCCACTCAAGTAGCTGGGATTACAGGTGTGTGCCACCATGCCCAGCTAATTTTTGTATTTTTGTAGAGATGGGGTTTCACCATGTTGGCCAGGCTGGTCTTGAACTCCTGACCTCAAGTGATCCACCTGCCTCGGCCTCCCAAAGTGTTGGAATTACAGGTGTGGGCCACTGCGCCTGGCCATCCAGTATTTTTTTTTTTGAGACAGAGTCTCGCTCTGCCACTCAGGCTGGAGTACAGTGGCGCGATCTCGGCTGACTGCAACCTCCTGGGTTCAAGCGATTCTCATGCCTCAGCTGCCTGAGTAGCTGGGACCACAGGCGTGTGCCACCATGCCTGCCTATTTTTTTTTTTTTTTGTATTTTTAGTAGAGACAGGGTTTCGCCCTGTTGGCCAGGCTGGTCTCGAACTCCTGACCTCAAGTGATCCACCTGCCTCAGCTTCCCAAAGTGATGGGATTACAGGCATGAGCCACCGTGCCTGGTGATCCAGTATCTATTTTTAATGTGTGTGGATATTTATTGATCCACTGATGAGATCAGAAAAAGCCAAAAAACAGGAAAGGGCCTCATTATGGATCGATGAGGATGATTAAATTATGGCACAGGCATCATTTAGAACACAGTGTGAAGAGAACTGCAAAGAACAACGGTGATTTCTATGTGTTCTGACATGGAATAACTCTAAGACACAGCACAAGAAACACCAAGCTGCAGAGCGGGACACACTAAGCGGCCGCGGGTGATTTTTAAGTGGAGAGATAAACACCCGAGAATAATGCATATGTATGAACGAAATCTATCTGGAAAGACCTTTATGAAACAGTAACAGGTTGCTTGGGAAAGAGAATTGAAAGACTGGGGAGAGATGTGAGAAAAATATGGAAGGTATTATTCTAGTCCAAGAAGAAAGTACTTTCTGACTATTTGAATAAAAACTTATTCAAAGGATAAGACACTATCAATAGAGAAAGGAAGCCTGGCCCACATGACAAAACCCCATCTCTACTAAAAATACAAAAAAAATTAGCCGGGCGTGGTGGTGTGTGGCTGTGTTCACAGCTACTTGGTACACTGAGGCATGAGAATCACTTGAACCCAGGAGGCGGATGTTGCAGTAAGCTGAGATTGTTCCGCTGCACTCCAGCCCAGGTGATAGAGCAAGACTCTGACTCAAAAAAAAAAAAAAAAAAAGATACTGATACTGGAGAGATTTGCCATGTCCATGAAGCAGAAGATTTAATATTATTAAGGCCTCAATTCTCTTCAAACTGATCTATGGATTCAATGTAATTTCAGTTACATCCCAGAAGGCATTTTTTCCCCAGAAATTGACAAGCAAGTTTTAAAATTTAAATGGAAACCTAAAGGACCTAGAGTAACCAAAATAATTTTGTAAAACAACATCAAAGACTCAGACTATCTGATTTCAAGATTTTCCATAAAGCTCTAGTTAGAAAGACAATGTGGTATTGGTGAAAGAATGACAAAAAGATCAACGGAACAGAATAGAGAGTCTGGAAACAGACACACACACACAATACATTGATCTTTGACAAAGGTGTCACAGGATTTCAATACGGAAAGGACAGTCTTTTCAACAAGTGGTGCTGGGACAACTAGAGAGAGACACACAAAACCTGAGCCTGGACCCCGCTCATACCACAACAAACGTGAACTTGAAATGGACCAGATGCCTAAAAGCGAGACCTGGAAAACTTTAGTGGAAAACTTGGGAGAAAATCTTCGTGACCCTTAGACATTTCTTTTTCTTTCCTTTTTTTTTTTTTTTTTTTGAGACAGAGTCTCGCTCTGTTGCCCAGGCTGGAGTGCAGTGGCGTGATCTTGGCTCCCTGCAAGCTCCGCCTCCCAGGTTCATGCCATTCTCCTGCCTCACCCTCCCAAGTAGCTGGGACTACAGGCGCCCGCCACCACGCCCGGCTAATTTTTTGTATTTTTAGTAGAGATGGGGTTTCACCGTGTTAGCCAGGATGGTCTCAATCTCCTGACCTCGTGATCCGCCCACCTTGGCCTCCCAAAGTGCTGGGATTAGAGGCATGAGCCACACTGTGCCCGGCCTGACCCTTAGAGATTTCTTAGAGAAGACATAAAAAGCATGAATCAGGAAAGAAAATATTTAATAAGTTGGACTTCACAAAAATTTAAAACTTTTGCTCTTCAAAAGACACTGTAAAGAGGTAAAAAAGACAAAGCCACAGACTGGGACAAAAATATTTTCAAAGCACACGTCTGATAAAAGATGTCTCCAGAAGATATGAAGAACTCTTACAACTCAATGATAAGCCACTCAGCGGAAAAATGAGCAGAAGTTGCTTCACCAGAGAAGGCACAGGAATAGCGAATAAGCCGGGGAAGAGATGCTCACCATCGCTAGTCATTAGGGACACGCAGGCTCAGACCGCAAGGCGATGCACCACACATTTGCTAATGGCTATATTTGATGGCTAAAATTAGATGACTGATAATACCAAATGTTGGCGAGGATGTGGAACAACTGGGACTCTCATAAATTGCTGGAGAAAATGCAAATTGGAACCAGTCACTTGGGAAAACACCGCAGCAGCTGTTTTATTGTTTATTTTTGAGACGGAGTCTCGCTCTGTCACCCAGGCTGGAGTGCAATGGCGCAATCTCGGCTCACTGCAACCTCCACCTACCAGGCTCAAGGGATTCTCCTGCCTCAGCCACCCAAGTAGCTGGGATTACAGGCATGCACCACCATACCCAGCTAATTTTTGGTATTTTTGGGTAGAGATGGGGTTTTGCCATGCTGCCCAGGCTGGTCTCAAACTCTTGAGCTCAAGTGATCCGCCTCAGCCTCCCAAAGTGCTGGGATTACAGGTGTGAGCCACCACGGCCGGCAAGCATTTGTTATAAAGTAAAATGTATGTTGAGCCGGAACCTTGGAGATACTGCAGGTTCAGTTGCAGGCCACCGCAATTAAGCAAGTATCACAGTAAAGCAAGTCACACAATCTTTTTTGGTTCCCCAGTGCATACAGAAGGTGCATACTTTACTGTAGTCTATCAAGCGTGCAATAGCATCATGTCTAAAGAATGTACTTACTTTAGGCTGGGCGTGGTGGTCCACACCTGTAATCCCAGCACTTAGAGAGGCTGAGGCAGGCAGATTACCTGAGGTCAGAAATTCGAGACCAGCCTGGCCAACATGGTGAAACCCTATTTCTACTAAAAATACCAGGTGTCGTGGTGGGCACCTGTAATCCCAGCTACTGAGGAGGCTGAGATAGGAGAATCCCTTGAACCCAAGAGGCAGAGGTTGCAATGAGCTGAGATCACACCACTGCACTCCAGCCTGGGTAATGGAATGAGACTCTATTTTAAAAAAGAAAAAAAAAACAAACTTTATTGCTAAAAAATGCTAACAATCACCTAAGTGTTTATCAAGTCATACTTGATAAAGTATGCTGGTAGAGGGTCTTGCATTGATGTTGCTGGCTGCTGACTGATGAGGGTGGTGGTTGCTGAAGGCTGGGGTGGCTGTGGCAATTTTTTTTTTTTTTTTTTGAGACAGGCTCTGACTCTGGCTCTGTCACCCAGGCCGGAGTGCAGTGGTGTGATCTTGGCTTATTGCAAATTCAGCCTCCTAGGCTCAAGCCACCACCTCCCTCAGCCTCTCGAGTACCTGGGACTACAAGTGCACACCACCACACCTGGCTAATTTTTGTATTTTTTGTAGAAATGAGGTCTCACCATGTTGCCCAGGCTGGTCTCAAACTCCTGAGCTCAGGTCATCTGCCTGCCTTGGCCTCCCAAAGTGTTGGGATTACAGGTGTGAGTCACCCCACCTGGACGGCAATCTTAAAATAAGACAATGGATTGACTCTTCCTGCCACATCCATTGCCACATGGATCGACTCTTCTTTTATGAAAGATTTCTCTGTAGTATGTGATGCTGTTTGATAGGATTTTACCCACGCAAGACCTTCTTGCAAAATTGGAGTCAGTCCTCTCAAACCCTGCTGCTGCCTCATCAACCAAGTTTATGGAATATTCTAAATTCTTTGTTAATTTCAACAATGCGCATGGCATCTTCACAGGAGCAGATTCCACCTCAAGAAAACGCTCATCCGTAAGAAGCAACTCCTCATCCATTAAAGTTTGATCATATGAACACAGCAATTCCATCCCATCTCAGCTCCACTTCTCATTCTAGTTCTTGTTTCCACCACATCGGGAGTGACTTTCTGCGCTGAAGTCCTGAGCCCTCAAAGCCATCCACAGGCGTTACAATCAACTTCTGTTAATGTTGATATTAGGTTGGTGCAAAAGTAATTGCAGTTTTGCCATTAAAGGTGATATTTTGGGGCCGGGCGCAGTGGCTCAGGCCTGTAATCTCAGCACTTTGGGAGGCCGAGGCAGGCAGATCACCTGAGGTCAGGAGTTCGAGACCAGCCTAGCTAACATGGTGAAAACCCGTCTCTACTAAAAATACAAAAATTAGCTGGACGTCTGGCTTCAGCAGCGACCACCCCTGCCTCCACCCTCTGAGCTTTGCATGTTCCACTAACCCGGGGCGGGCGGCAGATGGAGGTGTCAGGCTGCTGGCACCTCTGCAAGGGCAGAACACTAACCTGACCATGAGCGGGGACTTGCACATCTGTCCCCAATAAAAGCAATTCCAACCTTAAAAAAATAAAATTAGTTGGGCGTAGTGGCAGGTGCCTCTAATCTTAGCCACTTGGGAGACTAAGGCAGGAGAATTGCTTGAACCTGGGAGGTGGAGTTTTCAGTGAGCTGAGATCGTGCCACTGCACTCCAGCCTGGGCGACAAAAGAGAAGCTCCACCTCAAAAAAAAAAAAAAAAAAAGTAATATTTTGGGCCAGGCACGGTGGCTCATGCCTGTAATCCCAGCACTTTGGGAGGCTGAGGTGGCTCATGCCTGTAATCCCAGCACTTTGGGAGGCTGAGGTGAGCATATCACTTGAGGTTAGGAGTTCAAGACCAGCCTGGCCAACACGGTTGAAACCCCATCTCTACTAAAAATATAAAAAATTAGCCAGGTGTGGTGGTAAGGACCTGTAATCCTAGCTACTCAGAAGTCTGAGGCAAGAGAATTACTGGAATCCGGGAGGCAGAGGCTGCAGTGAGCCAAGATCGTACCATAGCACTCCAGCCCGGGCAACAGAGCAAGACTCCACCTCAAAAAAACCAAGAGTAATATTTTGACCTCCTCTCATGAATCACGAATATCCTTAACGTTATCTAGAATGGTGAGTCTGTTCCAGAAGGTTTTCAACTTACTTTGCTCAGATCCATCAGAGTAATCACTATCTATGACAGCTATAGCTTTACAGACTGTATTACTGCAATAGTAAGACTTGAAAGTTGAAATTACTCCTCAACCCATGGGTTGCAGAATAAATGCTGTGTTACAGGTGTGGAAACAACATTCATCTTGCACAGCTCCAGCTCCATCAAAACTCTTGGGTGACCAGGTACATTTTCTTTCTTTCCTTTTTTCGGTTTTAGAGACAGGCTCTTGCTATGTTGCCCAGGCTGGTCTAGAACTCCTGGCCTCAAGCAATTCTCTCACCTTGCCCTCCCAAAGTGCTGAGATTACTTGAGCTAGCATGCCCACCAGGTGCATTCTCTTTTTTGAGACAGAGTCTCGCTCTGTTGCCCAGGCTGGAGTGCAGTGGCGCGATCTCGGCTCACTGCAACCTCCGCCTCCTGGGTTCAAGTGATTCTCCTGCCTCAGCACCTGCCGCCATGCCTGGATAACTTTTTGTATTTTTAGTAGAGACGGGGTTTCACCGTGTTAGCCAGGATGGTCTTGATCTCCTGACCTCGTGATCCGCCTGCCTGGGCCTTCCAAAGTGCTGGGATTACAGGCGTGAGCCACCGCGCCCGGCCGGAAGGTTTGATCTTCTGTCCATACCACCTGAACTTTCTCCAGACGCGCAATTAGGCTGCTTCCCTTTCTTTTGTGTGTTCATTAGAGCAGCACTTTAAATTTTCTTCAAAAACTTTTCCTTTGTGTTCACAACTTGGCTATCCCTTTGGTGCAAGAGGCCTAGCTTTTGGCTTATCTCAGCTTTTGACATGCCTTCCTCATGAAGCTTAATCATTTCTAACTTTTGATTTAAAGTGAGAGGCGGCCAGGAGCGTTGGCTCACACTTGTAATCCCGGCACTTTGGGAGGCCGAGGCAGGCAGATCATTTGACGTCAGGAGTTCGAGACCAACATGGTGAAACCCTGTCTCTACTAACATACAAAAATTAGCCGGGCACGGTGGCAGGCACCTGCAATCTCAGCCACTCGGGAGGCTGGGGCAGGAGAATCGCTTGAACCCGGGAGGTAGAGGTTGCAATGAGCCAAGATCGTGCCACTGCCCTCCAGCCTGGGGGACAGAGTGTCTCAAAAATAAATAAATAAAATAAAAATAAAGTGAGAGGCATGAGACTCTTCCTTTCACTTGAGCACTTAGTGGCCATTGTAGGCCTAATTTCAATACTGTTGAGTCTTGGAGAATAGGGAGGCCCAAGGAGAGGGACAGAAATGGAAGAACGCCAGCCGGCGAGCAGTCAGTACACACACGACATGTCTTGATTCAGTTTGCTGTCTTAAACAAGGGCAGTTCGTGGCTTTGCCAAAAACCAATTACAATAGTTAACATCAAAGGTCACTCATCACAGATCACCATAACGGACGATGACAATGAAAAAGTTTGAAATATTATGAGAACGACCAACATGTGGTGCAGAGGCAGGAAGTGAGCACGCACCGCTGGAGAGATGGTGCCGGTGGACTTGCTCCACACGGAGCTGCCGTCAACCTTCAATTTGTAAAAAATGCGATTCCTGTAATCCCAGCACTTTGGGAGGCTGAGGCGGGTGGATCATGAGGTCAGGAGATCGAGATCATCCTGGCTAACACAGTGAAACCCCGTCTCTACTAAAAAATACAAAAAATTAGCAGGGCATGGTGGCATGTGCCTGTAATCCCAGCTACTCTGGAGGCTGAAGCAGGAGAATTGCTTGAACCCGGGAGGTGGAGGTTGCAGTGAGCCAAGATCGCCCCACTGCACTCCAGCCTGGGTGACAGAGTGAAACTCATCTCAAAAACAAACAAACAAACAAACAAACAAACAAACAAAAGCGATTCCACGCAGTAGGAGAAAGCGAGGCACACTGAAACGAGATGCGCCTGTATTTACCCGGGAGAAACGGAAACACGTCTCCATGCAAAGATCTTTTCAGGACAGCCACAGCAGCTTTCTTCACGGTATTCCAAAGGTAAAAGCCAAATGTCCATCAGTTGGTGGATGGACAAATACATCTGATGTATCCGTGCAAGGGAATACTATTCAACAATAAAAAGGAACAGACTACTGATCTTGCAACATGGGTGGGTCTCAAAAGCATGATGCCAAGTGGAAGAAGCCAGACAAGAAAAGCTACAGACTGCGCGATTCCATTTATATGACATTCTAGAAATGGCAGAGCTATAGGCACAGAAGGCGGCACAGCGGTTGCCAGGGCTGGAGGTATGCAATTTTGTACATAAATTATCCCCAGTCATCCTGACTTCAAGTAAATAAGTTACTCATTTTCTTTTTTTAGGAAGGAGCAGCCTTATAAATGTCTAAATTTGACAATAAAAATAAGATGCCCAATTTAAAAAGATACAGTTACAAACTGTGCAACAGAACTCCTAACACTCGGGGAAATGTGTGCCTGAGAGTGTGCTGACATGCTAATGAGTCTTCTTGTCACAAAAAGAGAAAGTCGATGGTATTTTTAAATCCTTTTCTCTGTTTTTCAAATGTCCTGTAACGCAATCACTTATCCTTGATAAGGATTATTATTTTTTTAAATCGTACTTTAAAAACTCCGTAGATCAGCAGGCACCAATAGAAAGTACAGGTTCTCCTCAGCTTACGGTGGGGATGCAGCCCGGCAAACCCATCGTAAGTTGAAAATATCCTAAGTCCAAAATGCAGGCTGGTGCCGTGGCTCACGCCTGTAATTCCCAGCACTTTCAGAGGCCAAGTGGGGGCAGATCACCTGAGGCCAGGAGTTCAAGACCAGCCTGGCCAACATGGTGAAACCCCGTCTCTTTTAAAAATACAAAATCAGCCGGGCATGGTGGTGGTGCATGTCTGTAATCCCAGCTACCTGAGAGGCTGAGGCAGGAGAATCACTTGAACCCAGGAGGTGGAGGTTGCAGTGAGCTGAGATCGCACCATTGCACTCCAGCCTGGGCGACAAGAGTGAAACTTCATCTCAAAAAAAAAAAAAAAAAAAAAAGCTGAAAAACCCAAAATGCACTTCCTGCAGATTTCCTGCCAGGCACCCCGGCTCAGCCCAGCCTCCCTCAAACGTGCTCAGGACACTCCCATGAGCCTACAGGTGGGCAAAATCATCTCACACGAAGCCTGTTTGATAATAAAGTGTGGGGCATCCATGTAATTTATTGAATACCGTGCTGAAAACCAGGGAGGTTGTGTGGGACTCAAAGCCCAGTTTCTGTTGCCTGCCTGTTGCTTTAATACCATGGTAAAGTCCAAAAATCGTGACGTCGGGGACTGTCTGTAAATGAAACAAAAAGAACGGATGGAATCTGGAATATGGCCCAGGCATTGGGCACCGTGCCTCTGAGGATTAAGGGGGGGACACAGGAGGTGTCCAGCAGCCTGTGGTCAAGGCCGGGTTCTCTCCCAGGACACTGCCCGTGGCTTTTGTCCTTGGGTCGGCCTGCCTGGCTGCCGTGGCCACAGCTGAGGGCCTGGGAGGAGGCTGTGAGGCCGTGTGGCTGACCGAGTCACATCTTGGGGTAAAGGGGCTGTGGCTGCGGGCCAAGACCTGTCTGCCCTCTGTATTTCCCGCCAGGAAATAGGACAAAGGCAGGTAAGAGCACGGGTGCTTTTGGCTCCAAGTCCCAGGCGTGTGTGAATTCTGATTAGGTTATCTGCCTCCAAGTTAAGTGCGGTCCAGGCTTTGTTTTCTGAAAGTGAAAGTGACCCATTTCCCTGCGTATGTGATGGGAAGGGGCTGACCGTGGGCTCCTCGTGGTTATTCACCTAGCTTTGGGACCCACGTTGGATTGCCTGGACCGCTGCGGTCTTTGAAGGGTTGGTGTGGCAGGCCCGGTCTGGTCTTGAGGGTCACACACGGTTCCTTCAGGACTTCTGGCTGCTGGGGAGGGCAGTGTCCAGCTCCCACAGGCAGGCCCAGATGGACAGGGGGTGTGCCCACAGCCACGGTCATTCCCTGGTGGGAAGAAGGGACAGGACACCATGAGCTACCACAGCAGTCCTGACAGGCCTCACCCATGCCCCTGTGTCTGGGGACACTTTTTTATTTTTTTGAGACAGGCTCTGGCTCTGTTGCCCAGGCTGGAGTGCAGTGGCACCATCTCGGCTCACTGCAGCCTCGACCTCCTGGGCTCAAGCAATCCTCCCACCCAGCCTCCCGAGTAGGTGGGACTACAGGTCTACAGGTGCACACCACCATGCCCCGCTAATTAAAAATTTTTTGAGAGACAGGGTCTTGCTCTGTTGCCCAGGCTGGAGTGCATTCGTGCAATCACAGTTCACTGCAGCCTCAAATTCCTGGACTCAAGTGATCATCCTGCTTCTGCCTCCCAAGTAGATGAGACCACAGGCACACACCACCACACCTGGCTATTTTTTATATTTTATTTTAGAGACAAGGTCTTACTTTACTATGTTGCCCGGGCTGGTCTTGAACTCCTGGGCTTAAGGGATCCTCTTGCCTCAGTCTCCCAAAGCACTGTGATTACAGGCAGGAGCCACTATGCCCGCCCATGGGGGCACATTTTTAATGGGGTTGTTACTCTGTCTTTGGTCTGTGGCCTCAGGTCTGCTGGGTCACCAGTGTCCTTGGGTATATGGGGCATTGGTGGTGACTGGGACCCACCTGCCAGATCCCCAGGCTAGAAGGAGGCCTGCTGGGGACACTGTGGCAATGCCCACACCCAACCCATCCCACACTGCCTTCCGCTCCTTCCTCCTCCATCAACTGGGGGCAAGGACAGTGTCCCCTTTGAGGGGCTACACCAGACCGAGCTGAGCCTGGGGCTTGTTACCCAGGAAACAGTGAAATCACCCGCTCGTTGCCTAGCTCTAATTCTGCGTTCAGTGTCTTGCTCCATCCTGTCCTCCCTCCCTAGGGCAGGCTCCAGCACTCCATGCCAAGGGGAAGAGCCTTTGAGGAGTCGTCTCTGCCATCATCAGGACTGAGGGAAAAGGAAGTCTAGGAGATTAGGGCAAGCCCTCAGTTTTCTTTTCTTTTCTTTCTTTCTTTTTTTCTCTCTCTCTCTCTGTCTCTCTCTCTCTCTTTTTTTTCTTTTTCTTTCTTATTTTTTTGAGACGAAGTCTCGCTCTGTCACCCAGGCTGGAGTGCAGTGGCACCATCTTGCTTCACCGCCACCTCCACCTCCCGGGTTCAGGCGATTCTCCTGCCTCAGCCTCCTGAGTAGCTGGGACCACAGGTGCCCGCCACCAGGTCTGGCTGTTTTTTTGTATTTTTAGTAGAGACGGGGTTTCACCATGTTAGCCAAGATGGTTTCAATCTCCAGCTCCTGAGCTCGTGATCTGCCCGCCTCGGCCTCCCAAAGAGCTGGGATTACAGGCGTGAGCCACCGCGCCTGACCCCTTCAGCTTCCTCAGGTCGACTTAAACAGGAAACAGAATAACACGTTTCATGTTTCTCCTGAACTTTTATGACCGTGTGCAAAACTCCTGCAAAAATAGGGAAGACAGCAAGAAAAAGCAGCCAAGACAGGCACAGCTTCTGAGCTAAGCTTGCAGCTTGTGTATGAGACACGGGGGCAAGATTATGGTTACCGCCCCCCCCACGCAGCAGCAACCCCCTGACCAAGGACGGGGAAGTCAGTCTGTCTTCAAAGCATTAGGTTGTAGACTCGACATCAGACGAAGAGAGACACAAAGGCATGGGGAAAGAGAAAGGGTGAGGTTTGGCTGGAACCTAATCAAAGGTATTAACTTATCTGAAAAAATGCCATGGGTGTCAGGAGGGAGGAGGGGTGGGGAATGGAATGGAGAAAGCAGCCAAGGTCAGGGTGAGGGCTGCTCGCGGGACACCTCCCGCCCATGTGGACGGACAGGCCATGAACTTCGGGGAAGAAGCAGGAAGCAGACAGGGCCGGGGCCCAGGCATTCCGCCCTCTAGCCGGTCCCTGAGCAGGGGTCTGTGTCATCCGCTCCTGTGTCCTCCCCCACAGATAAGAATCTGCTAGTCCGAGCGTGGAGCATTCGGTTCTTTGGTGTTTATATTTCATCATGCACATAAATGGGCTATTATACTCAGTTACACGTCAGGCTCTGGTGAGCTCGATTCATGTAAACTAACTCCAGGACAAGTGTGCCTTCTCGGTGTGATGGCAAAACCAAGCTTCTGGGCCAGGGGGTCCTGCCCCATGGGGATCTCGCAGGGTGAAGGCTCCAGAAATGCCCAGACAGCCACCAGGGTACCGGCCTGGTATGCACCATCCTGACCATCAGCCAGGAATGTCACCATTTTCTAAGATGCTCTACAAATCTGAACATCTCAAGGTCAATATTTGAGGTATAGTTCAGTCACTGCACTCCTAGCTTGGAAGTCCTAAGCTATGCAATAATTTATTTCTGTAATAATGGCCCTGATCTATTAAACCTGTCTCCAAGTTGCTTCTTCAAATCTATCTGGGTGCAAACAGCAAATCTCTGTAATTACAGTTTATACTTCTCACAATGTTCTACACGGCCTGCACTTTTAAAAGACTGGCCGGGCGCAGTGGCTCCCGCCTGTAATCCCAGCACTTTGGGAGGCCAAGACGGGTGGATCACCTGAGGTAGGGGTTCAAGATCAGCCTGGCCCACATGGTGAAACCCCGTCTCTACTAAAAATACAAAAATTAGCCAGGCGTGGTGGTGCACGCCTGTAATCCCAGCTACTTGGGAGGCTGAGGCAGGAGAATCGCTTGAACCCAGGAGGCGGAGGTCGCAGTGAGCAGAGATGGTGCCACTGCACTCCAGCCTGGGGGACAGAGCGAGACTCCATTGCAAGAACCACAAAAATATAATAAATAAAAGTTGGGCCTCACTCCTCCCCGGGGCCTTGGTGTGGCAAGCTGCAGGTGAAGTCAGAGGCTCTCTCACTCGTTGTGAAGTGTTTGTGCGTGTACATAGTCCACTAAAATATTCACTCAACATTCTGCGCATGCACGTTTTATAAAACAAGATTATCTATTTTCTTCATCAATCGGATTGGCACAGTCCTGAAGTGTGACAACATGCTGAGCTGTCAGGGGACTTTGAAACACCGCTGCCGGGGGCGTGACTGTCACAATCCTACTTAGCAATACCCGCTAGACCCAGACATTCCGGGCTTGATAGGCAATATAAAAAAGGCTATATAGCATCCTGGTGAGCGTTAGCATTCGCGGATCCGGTTATCTACAGCAGCACCGCCATAACAGACGGACGCGAACGCCCTCGATGCCCCGGGCAGGAAGCTTCCCCGTAGAAGTATCCCAGCGGAATGCCATGTGGTAGAAAGGCGGGAACGAGCGGTGTTTATATTTTGACTTGGGAAGCGCTCTAGGGACACGCTGTTAAATGGAAAAAGCAAAGAGGTGCAGAACAGTGAGTGTGGTGTGCTCCCACGGAGCAAGAGAGGGAAGGAAGACTCCGGGTGAACGCATATGCTTTCTTGCAATTGCACACAAGTTAGGCAGGGGATCCCAGAAAACCAGGTGCCTTTGCTTGTCTTGGGAGGGGGTTCTAGTGACTGCGGGCCGAGGAGGAGGAGACCTGATCGAATACGATTTTTACAATGTTTGCAACCAAAAGGAAGCCATGTCTCTGAGGGCAATGAGGACGGTTTGCAGAGAGGACACTGGTTAGTCTGGGATGCAGGGGAGAGCTGGACAACAGGACCATCTCGGAGGTGACGTCTTCCCTTGGGGACGCTGCAGGGTTCACAGGCCATGAGCCTCGGAGAGCCAGGCCAGGTGCTGGACCCTCAGAGAGAACCTGGCCTTGACTTTTCTTAAGGCCCGTGGCAGCTGAGCCGTGTAATTAAACAGTCAGGTATCAAGTCCTAGCATTGGGGCAGGAGGAAAAAGACACCCAAGTGGGCAGATGGCCAAGTCCTCTCGTCCTGGTGTTCAGGCAACCCTGGTGACACAGGGAGAGGAGCCCTTGCCCGGCCACAGCTGGCTCTGGTTCCTCGACCTGCATCTTTACAGGGGAAACGAAGCTTCAGCCAAACATCGCCTGTATCAAACCACAGTGTTCCCTTTGGCTTTATGTTGTTGACTCAAGGGAGTGAAGGAAATGAGTATTATTATTATTTTTATTTTTTTTGAGACAGAGTCTTGCTCTGTCTCCCAGGCTAGAGTGCAGTGGCGTGATCTCGGCTCACTACAACCTCCGCAATTCAAGCAGTTCTCTGTCTCACCCTCCCGAGTAGCGGGGATTACAGGCGCCCACACCATGCCTGGCTAATTTTTGTATTTTTAGTAGAGACGGGGTTTCACCATCTTGGCCAGGCTGGTCTTGAACTCCTGGCCTCGTGACCCACCCGTCTCAGCCTCCCAAAATGTTGGGATTACAGGTGCGAGCCACTGCGCCTGGCCAGAAATGAGTATGGTTAATCCAATATTATTCATTTGAAAATGTTTTGGTCTAAAAACTTTTAAAAACAAAATGGTTTCATTTTGTTTCTTTAATCACAGCACCCAAAAGGAAAAGCATCTCCTGGTTGTGTGACTGCTGCTGGCTGCCTGGCTGCGGGTGCTGTGGGGCCAGCCAGACCCTCATTCCTTGGTCCAGCCTTTCTTGAGCGCTTGCTGTATGCCAGGCTCTGTGCTGGGCACAAGGGGTGGAGACTACGAAAGGTGGAGGGGAAGTTAAAGCTCAGCGGGTGAGACACGTGCCACCACAGTGCCCGGCTTTTTCTTTCCGCGTCCCGAGACCTGGTCACCCTGGGTGGTTTTAGGAATGAAGGCAGCACCTGTGTCTCCAACGCCCTGCCCTGAGCCACGCATCCATCCCCAGAAGTGAGGGGATGCCCAGAGGAGGCCTCTTCCTCCCCTTCCTTTGGAGATTAAAATAGGATTTCGGTTGGAATGCAGCCCTCAGGCAGAACAATCGAGAAGGGATGGGGTTTCCGCACTCAGGTGGTGATACTGCAAATCAAAGGGACACCTTTACCTCCCAAAGATAGCTTTCTCTTTACCCTGCTCTGTTTCTACTTAATCCTGCCAGGAAATCTGAGCAGAAAAGCCTCTCCCCTCCCAGCGCCGCAGTGTTGGAAAGGATTTAAGAATCGCTGAAATCTTACCAAACAATGAGGGAGCTTTCCGGACGGAAGCCCGGACCCGGGGATCAAGGTGCACCCTCTGTCCCAGAGATCCGGTGGACCCAGAGAGAGGGGGTGTGGGGCGGGCCTGCCACGGACCCCTGGGGTTCCCGCACATCCTCGCTGCCTGTGGCCCTGCAGTACCTGAGCGCCTCCAGCACCGCCCTGTGCGCCTCGTCGCGGTGCTTCATGCCCACCAGGCTGCTGGCCCATTGCTGCATGATGCGCCTCTTCTCCACGCTGATGGCGTCGATCTCGGTGCAGGCCTGCAGCCAACAGGGGAGGGGGCAGGAATGGCTGTCTCATTTCATTTGCGAGCAAAGCCCAAGAACACCAGAGCCTCACATTCCCAAATCTTCCTCTTTTCCTTCTATCACCGGTACTTTCCTTGATCATGCATCTGCAGAGGGGTAAACACGAGCCTGAATGTAGCTTTCAAGATAACCCGTACCCGCTTTGAGCCTTTGCTCAGGGCCTGCGGTGCTCAGTGCTTGGGAATGAGGAGGAGGAGGGAAGGGAGGAGAGGGAGGAAGGGGGAGGGAGGAGGGGGAAGATGAAGGAGGGAGAGGGGAGGAGAGGGAGGAGGGGGAAGATGAAGGAGGGAGAAGGGGGAGAGGGAGGGGGAGGAGATGAAAGAGGGAGGAGGGGGAGAGGGAGGGGGAGGAGATGAAAGAGGGAGGAGGGGGAGAGGGAGGAGGGGGAGGGGGAAGACGGAGAGGAAGAGGGAGAGGAGGAGGGAGAGGAGGAGGGGATCCTGGCCAGCATCCGTGAAACACCTCTGCAGGGTTGGTGGTGTCATTGATTCGGACTGAGGTCCCACAGGACGGGCCCAGCACCGCTTCCTGTAGGGAGGCCATGATGGAAGGAGGTGTTTGTCTCAAGAATGGCCAGGGCTGGATGCTCTCGTCCAGCTGGGGGAAGCAGGGCTGCCTAGACTGGGAATGAGGAGGCACAACTGGACAGCCAGGGGTGGGCAGGTCAGGCAGGCTGAGCGGAGGCTGGAAGTCTAGGGGCATCGTGGGGGGCAGTGAGGGGCCACCTGCAGTAAGGGCTTGGCCCATGCAGGGGAGGGGCTTGAAAACTAGGGGGGTGGTTCAGGAATTTACTCCAAGGGAAAGGGGAGTTCCTTTATGCTTGGGGCACAGAGGTTAAGGCTGGTACGGCTGCCTGGGCTGAATCTCACCCGCTGTGCCTCAGTGTCCCCAGCTGTGACATGGGTACAGGAGCGGCACCTCCATGGGTACAGGAGCGACCCCGGGGCTGCCGGGTCAAGTGAGTTGATGCCTGCATGCCCAGCACGGCCTGGATCGCGGTCTTGTTTTGAGTGGTGTTTGGGATTCTTGATGAGTCATCCCCAATGCAAGCACTGTGACTTGAGCAAGCTGGCGGCCCGAGTCAGCCAACTGGGGCGTCCTGTAGAACGCCAAGTCCCAGAAGTGCCTGCACGCCGTGACACCCAGGCAAGCTTGGTAGACAGTGACTGAACCACAGTGCGCTAGAACATCACGGGGGAGCCGAGGGCAGCGCCGGGCATGAGAGAGGCCATCGCCCTGGAGACACCATGCTTGGCTGTGAGGGTTTCTGAACCATCTATTCATTACGACGTAACCTAAAATGGTGTGAATTAAGTATACCACGATGAGGGGGACTTTTTTTTCCTCTCACAGACGCTTACTTAGGATTATTGGGCAGCCTAGGAAGGGACACTGTGTACATCCCGGGACTGACTTCCCTTTTGTCTGTAGTATTTCCTTTTATTTTAGCTGACATGTTACAGCTGTATATCTCTGGGGTACAGAGTGATATTTCGACACATGTACAATGTGTACTGCTTGAATCAAGGTAATTAGCGTATCAGTCACCTCCAGCAATTGT
Source organism: Homo sapiens (assembly GCF_000001405.40). Lineage (NCBI taxonomy): Eukaryota > Metazoa > Chordata > Mammalia > Primates > Hominidae > Homo > Homo sapiens. The sequence continues at coordinate 80,063,875 of NC_000017.11, read as the reverse complement.
TATTTCTTTGAGTTGGGAACATTCAAAACCCTCTCTTCTAGCTATCTGAAAATGTACAATAAATTATTGTTGACTGGGCCAGGTGCGGCGGCTCATGCCTGTAACCCCAGCACTTTGGGAGGTCAAGGCGGACGGATCACCTGAGGTCAGGGGTCCGAGACCAGCCTGGCCATGGGGGTGCAGGTGTCTATTGGATGCACGGATTCCCTTTCCTTTGGATAAATGCCCAGTCGTGGGACTGCTGGGTCACAGTTTTGTATGGGGGTAAGTTATTCACTAAGGAGGCTGCTCTGTGCCATTGGGCAGTGGGAGCTGGCCCAGGCAGCAGGTGGGGACCCAAATTCAGCCAGGATGCACCTTAAACTGAGCCTGTGCGAGGCCTCCCCATGGTGCCCCTGAGGCTGCCGGCCACAGCCTGGTTGACTGAGGTGCAGGTCAAGGCATAAGGATGGAAAGATGGCTGCCGGGCTCAGTCACCTGTGCATTTAGACCCCAGTTTTTCACAAAGGCAAGTGTTCAGCCTATGCAAATAGAATGTGCAAATAAGCAAAAAGAAAATGAAAATTCAATAACCCTAACACTTAGAGATAACCATTTCTAACTTCTTACACCTGTGATTGTGTGTGTGTGCGAAATCAAATTCTATATATTGTTTCATAATCTCCTATTAATTTTTTTTTTTGAGACACTTTTACTCTCGTCACCCAGGCTGGAGCAAAATGGCACGATCTTGGCTCACTGCAATTTCCGCCTCCTGAGTTCAAGCAATTCTCCTGTCTCAGTCTCCCGAACAGCTGCGATTATAGGCACTCGCCACCACGCCTGGCTAATTTTTGAATTTTTAGTAGAGACGGGGTTTCACCATGTTGGCCAGGCTGGTCTCGAACTCCTGACCCTCAGGTGATCTGCCGACCTCGGTCTCACAAAGTGCTGGGATTACAGGTGTGAGCCACCATGCCCCGCCATATTAAAAATTAATGTATTGTGCCAGGTGCGGTGGCTCATGCCCGTAATCCCAGCACTTTGGGAGGCTGAGGCGGGGGGATTACTTGAGGCCAGGAGTTCCCAACCAGTCTGGGCAACAAAAAGAAACACCGTCTCTACAAAAAGAATAATCATAATAAAAAAATTAGCACGGTGTGGTGGCATGTGCTTATAGTCCTACCTACTTGAGAGGCTGAGGTGGGAGGATTGCTTGGACCCAGAAGTTTGAGGCTACAGTGAGCCATGAGGGCCCCAGTGCACTCCAGCCTGGGGGACAGAGTGAGACTTAGTCTCTACCATCATTCTCAGCAAACTATTGCAAGGACAAAAACCCAAACACCGCATGTTCTCACTCATAGGTGGGAATTGAACAATGAGAACACATGGACACAGGAAGGGGAACGTCACACAACGGGGCCTGTTGTGGGGTGGGGGGAGGGGGGAGAGATAGCATTAGGAGATATACCTAATGCTAAATGACGAGTTAATGGGTGCAGCACACCAGCATGGCACATGTATACATATGTAACAAACCTGCACATCGTGCACGTGTACCCTAAAACTTAAAGTATAATTTAAAAAAAATTAAAATAAGAAATTAATATCGAGACAGGTTTCCATGTCAGTAGAGCTCTTTTTGGTGTAGTGTATTCTGATGCACAGGTGTATGAAAATGGGTTTCACTAATGTCCTCTTCTTGGGGTCTTTCTTTCTGATGACACAACACGGTGATGAGCGTCATCTCCCCCATGAGTCTCTATTCACTGTATTTATTTCTTTAGAGACGGGGGTTTCACTCTGTCACCCAGGCTGGAGTGCAGTGGTGCAATCATAGCTCACTGCAGCCCTGACTTCCTGGGCACAAGTGCTCCTCCTGCTTCAGCCTCCTGAGTAGCTGGGACTACAGGTGCACCCCACCAAGCCTGGCTTTATCATTTTTAACATACAAAAATGTTATCTGCATAGGTCTTTGCTAGGTTCCTTGGAATGGAGTCTAAGCACTAACAGGGTGCGGGGTTAGGGTTAGGGTTAGGGAGGGAGTGGCTGCATATGATCATATCGCCCTGGATGAAGATCTTGATAAAGATAAAGGCCAATCTGTATTTTCATGGCCGACAGCAGGGAGGGCTCATCTCTCCTTATCTTTGCCAACTCTGTAGGGGACTCCCTGTCCTTTGGTTACTTGTGACTTCGCTCGATGAACAGGGGCCCTGCTGTTGCCCCCGCACTGTTCTGGGTACTGGAAATGAGAAATGAAGGAAGTGCGGGCGGCCCCCTTCCCTGGGGAAGTTGCATCGAGGGGAGGGCGGGAGGTGCAAAAGGAAGCATCTACCAAGTAGCCCACCTGCCTCCAGGGTGTGGAAGCACACAGGGCGAGTCTCCTTGGCTTTCAGCCTCTCTTCACAACCCCGGATTTACTAATGGCTGCGAGTTGTCTTCTCCTGCCTGTCTCCCCGCCTTCATCTGGTTTGTGGCGTCCTTAATCTACAAAGGTTTTATTGAGGGTGTGATTGTCCTCCTAGTCTTTTGTTTTGTTTTGTTTTTTGAGATGGATTCTGGCTCTGTCGCCCAGGCTGAAATGCAATGGCATGATCTCGGCTCACTGCAACTTCTGCCTCCTGGGTTCAAGCGATTCTCCTGCCTCAGCCTCCCAAGTAGCTGGCATTACAGGCGTGTACCACCACGCCCAGCTAATTTTTGTATTTTCAGTAGAGATGGGGTTTTGCCATGCGGGCCAGGCTGGTCTCGAACTCCTGACCTCAGGTGATCCAGCGGCCTCGGCCTCCCAAAGTGCTGGGATTACAGGCGTGAGCCACCTTACCCGGCCCCTCCTAGTCTTTTCCTTTAAGGTTCCTGCTTTTGGTGTTATACTTTGAAAGGCCTCCCCAGCCCAGGATTATATAAATATTTTCATTTGTTTTCGTCTGGCACATTTTCCCCCATTTAAATACTTGATTCCATCTGGAATTTATTTTAGTGTCTGGTATGAGGAAAAGATTTAATTTTTTCCCAAATGATTAACCAAATGTCCCGACATCATTGGATGCATAATTCATTAGCTCTCTGGTAATTTATAATCTACTAGGTTTTTATATAAACTCTGGCTTGCTTTGGGGCTCTCTCATAGGCTTCAATGTCTTGCCTGTCTATCTTGTGACACATTATTTTAGCCTCTAGAACTTTACGGTTTTGTTTTATTTTAGACAGGGTCTTGCTCCGTAGCCCAGGCTGGAGTGCAGTGGTATGATCATATTTCATTGGATCTTTCATAGTTCAAGGATCTTTCATGATCCTTCCTTTTCAAAATTTTCTTGGGTATTCTTGAGCATTTAGTCTTCTAAGTGAACTTTAAAATCAATTCGTTGAGAATAAAGTGTTGTTGTTCTTTTTTTTTTTTTGACCTCCCGGGCTTAAGTGATCCTCCTGCCTCAGCCTCCTGAGTAGCTGGGACCACAGGTGCACACCACCATGGTGGGCTAATGTTTTATTTTTTTTTAATTATTATTTTTTTGTGGAGACAGGGTCTCACCATGTTGCCCAGTCTGGTCTTGAACTTCTGGGCTCAAGCCATCCTCTTGCCTCAGCCTCCCCAAGTGCTGGGATTACAGGTGTGCACCACCTTGCCTGGCCAGAGCTTTACTGTATACTTTAATATTTGGTGCGGCGATGCTAGGGTGATCTGCCATCCTGCTGTGTCCAGGACCCCCTGGGCTTAGCATGGAAAGTCCCTTGTCTTGGGGACCCCTCAGTCCTGAGCAGACTGGGATGGCTGCTTGCCCCGTTTGAATCTTCTCTTCCAAAACCATTCTTGGCTAGCCTTCCTAATTTATTTTTCAGATAAAACTCCAGAATTGTTTTGTTAACTAAGGGATTGTTTGTTCCTGAGATTCTGATTGGGACGTGCTCTACTTTAATTGCATTTGTAGCTGGAGAGACCAGTGCTGAGTAACGCCCAGCCCCGGGCCCTCCCTTTACCCTGGGAGCCCAGCGTGCTCATCCGTTCCTTCAAGTCCTCTTCCTTCTTTTTCATTGGCTGGGCACGGTGGCTCATGACTGTAATCCCAGGACTTTGGGAGGCCGAGGTGGGTGGATCACCTGAGGTCAGGAGTTTGAGACCAACCTGGCCAACATGGTGAAACCCTGTTTTTACTAAAAATACAAAAATTAGCTGGGCATGGAGGTGGGCGCCTGTAGTCCCAGCCACTCTGGAGGCTGAGGCAGGAGAATTGCTTGAATCTGGGAGGCGGAGGTTGCAGTGAGCTGAGATTGTGCCACTGCACTCCAGCCTGGGCGACAGAGCGAGACTCTGTCTCAAAAAAAAAAAAAGTTAATTGTTTCCTCCGTGTCATTCCCGCACCCGTGAATGAAGATGGTGACTCATAGTTTTTTTTTTTTTTTTTTTAAGTTGCAGTAACTTTGGTTTCTGGTGCTACCACTACAGACCTGAATCTGGGGCCAAGAGGGAGCAGCTTTCACCCCCTTCGTTCCCTCCACTCCCTACTCCACGAGGTGCAGAGATGTAGGAGCTACCCGGAAGGCCGGCTGCCCACGGGGGTGAGAATTGTTAGAAAGACTTCAGTCCTCCCCGGAAGAGGTCCCTGCAGGCTAAGGAACTTGCTGAGCATCCCCGCAGCAAGCTGGCCTTGGCGGTCATGAAGCGACTAGAGTACCTGAACCCTGCGAGGCCTTCTGTCACCCACTAGCCAGGGAAGGAATAGGAATCCGGGCTGTCCACCTGTCAGTATCTACTGTGGCCCCACCATGGGGAGGGCCCGATGTTTGCAGATGTAAGCTGGCTGCAGTCACTCATCCAGCAGACGGGCAGGTGCAGTCTAGTAGACCCACCAGCACCCTGTGCGTGGACACTCACTGGAGGGTCGAACACTGAGAGCTGCGGGGACTGCTTTTACCTCACTCACTGCTTTCCTTAAAATCCGGGTGTCCTCAGCTTGGGCCAAGTACTGAGCCTCAAACAGGGCAATGTCTTCTTCCAGTTGCTGGGCTCGAGTGGTGAGCTGGTCCACATACAGGTCCTGGGAAACAGGATGAGAAGCAGCCCCGTCAGGAGGTGCCCGTGGCTGAGGGCCTGTTCTCCACCAACCCTTGATACAAGTTGACGCCACCCAGGCCGGCCGCCACCCCTCCGGCCGGAAGCCTTCACGCAGGAGGCAAAGCTGAGCCCCTTTTTGAAGCTCCACGGTCTGGTGATCATTAAACATGTGTCGAGTTTGCAGAATACCTGCTTTTTCTTCTCGATTTCTGCCCGGATCCTCTCCGTCTCGGCCTTCTTTACCACTTGTGTCATCACGCGGATGTCGTCACGCATGTCCTGGTCGATGTTCTGCATGTAGAAGAGATGCAGGGCCAAGTTCTCCATCTCAGTCTGCAGAGCCGCCACTGCGGGGCGCGGCGGGGGAGAAAGAGAGAGAGAGTGAGTGGGGAGGCTGTCCCAGCGTCCCCCATGCAGAGACCCAGGAGGAAGCAGGGAACAGCCGTTCTGGGCACCCTTCCTGCCATTTTTGGGTAAGACTGGGAAACTGCTTTTAAACTATCAAGACACAGACTTTGTCAGCAAAGAGTTTACAGTCTCTTGGAAGAGACAAAAATATACGGAATCTACATCCACAAATTGCAGCAAGCTGTTCCATTCCCCACCAAGTCTCAGAGATCCTCCTGGTAGTCTAAGGATACACTGAAGTAGTGCCAGGTGGTAAGGCTTCGGGTTGATTGCATAGATGTCTTACCACTGAAAGGCTGGCAACCTTAGGTGGAGTCTTAAGTCCCCTGGGAGGAGACGAGAACATCCAGGGCAGGCTGAGCTCCACAGATGCCCCTGCACTGACACCGCTGCACAGCAGTGCAGGCCAGAGAGGACGAGGCTAGAAGAGGCAGCAGCTTCCATCCTGTCCCAAGTTAAGTGACAGATTTATGTCAGTGCTCTCAGAGGAGGCCAAGGCCCGAGGAACTGATTCCTTTAACAAAACTTGCATGAGATGGATTTCTTTTTTTTTTTTTGAGACGAAATCTCGCTCTGTCGCCCAGGCTGGAGTGCAGTGGCGCGATCTCGACTCACTGCAAGCTCCGCCCCCAGGGTTCACGCCATTCTCCTGCCTCAGCCTCCCGAGTAGCTGGGACTACAGGCGCCCGCCACCACGCCCGGCTAATTTTTTGTATTTTTAGTAGAGACGGGGTTTCACCATGTTAGCCAGGATAATCTCCATCTCCTAACCTCCTGATCCACCCACCTTGGCCTCCCAAAGTGCTGGGATTACAGGCATGAGCCACCGCGCCCGGCCATGAGATGGATTTCTAAAGCTGGAGTGCAAATTTATTGAGGGAGCTACACGTGGGTCAGTACTTGCTTGCTCACTGCACAGAGCACTCCCTTTCAGTGGCTGGATCCAAACAGAAAACTGAATTACAGGCCAAAAGGCTGCTGGACGCATATCATCCTGGAGCCAGGTGTGCTCGAAGGATACAGCTTAAACTTGCAAAGCCATTTTGGCTGGGTGTGGTGGCTCACGCCTGTAACCCCAGCACTTTGAGAGGCCGAGGTGGGCGGATCACTTGAGGCCAGGAGTTCAAGACCAGTCTAGCCAACATGGTGAAACCCTGTCTCTACTCAAAATACAAAAATTAACAGGATGTGTTGGTGCACGTCCGTAATCCCAACTACTCAGGAGGCTGAGGTGGGAGGATCATGCCACTGCACTACAGCCTGGGTGACAAAGTGAGACTCTGTCTCAAAAAAAAAGCAACCTGTGCATTAATATAGCTTGCAGTAGCTAAATTCCAAAGTAATTTCCTCTAAGTTCTCTTTGAGGACTTGCTATTCTTCTTTTTTTTTTTTTTGAGACAGAGTCTCACTCTGTCGCCCAGGCTGGAGTGCAGTGGTGATCTCGGCTCACTGCAAGCTCTGCGTCCCGGGTTCACGCCATTCTTCTGCCTCAGTCTCCTGAGTAGCTGGGACCACAGGTGCCCGCCACCACGCCCGAGTAATTGTATTTTTTTTTTTAGTAGAGATGGGGTTTCACCATGTTAGCCAGGATGGTCTCGATCTCCTGACCTTGTGATCCGCTTGCCTCGGCCTCCCAAAGTGCTGGGATTACAGGCGTGAGCCACCAGGCCTGGCTAAGGACTTGTTATTATTCTTAAATATTTCTTTCATTATCCTTCCTTTTCAAAATTGTCTTGGATATTTTTGTGCATTTAGTCTTCTAAATGAACTTTAAAATCAATTTGTTGAGAATAAAGTGTTGTTGTTCTTGTTGTTTTCTGAGACAGGGTGTCACTTTGTCACCCAGGCTGGAGTGCAGTCGCACAATCATAGCTCACCGCAGCTTCAACCTCCTGGGTTCACCTCAGCCCCCCAAGTAGCTGGGACTCCAGGCACATGCCACCATGCCCGGCCAATTTCTCATTTTTGTATTTTTTGTAGAGATGGGGTTTTGCCGCATTGCCCAGGCTGGTCTTGAACTCCTGAGCTCAAACGATCTGCCAGCCTCAGCCTCCCAAAGTGTCAACACTACAGGCGTGAGCCTCCGCACCTGGCCCGAGGTGCTTTTTGTTTTGAGGTGGAATATCCGCAGCACGTGTTGCTAAGGGACAGCAAGCGAGGAACCGAGCAGTGGGTATAATATGCAGCCATTTAAGTTAAAGAGAGAGAGAGAGATACACATACACACACACCCTTGTGACTTTGCTTAGATATGCAAAAAATCTCCAAAAGACTCCACAAGGGCTGAACACAGTGGCTTATGCCTGTAATCCCAGGACTTTGGGAGGCCGAAGCAAGAGGATCACTTGAGCCCAGGAATTGGAGACCAGCCTGGGCAACACAGTAAGACCCTGTTTCTACCAAAAAAAAAAAAAAATATATATATATATATATATATATATATATATATATGAAAATTAGCCAGGCCTGGTGGTGTGTGTGTAGTCCCAGCTACTTGGGAAGCTGAGGTGTGAGGATCACTTAAGGCTGGGAGTTCGAGGCTACTCTGCCATTGCATTCCAGCCTGGGAAACAGAGCAAGATGCGTCTCGCTGTCTCGAAGAAAACAAAAACAAAAAGAATCCACAAGAATCTACGTTGCCTCTGCGGAGGGCCCTGGTGGCTGGGTGGGGGAAGGGGAAAAGAGACGAAAACTTCCTCTTAGTTGTAGAGCTCTTGCATTTTGAATCATTACTTTTCCAAAATAAGTAAATAATTATGTTGAATAAATTTAAGTTCACCCAAAACATCTCACCACGGAGGGTAACGGGAATTGCAATGGTTTTATTGCTAATTTGGAGGGAAATGGCATTTTTATATCATGCGTCTTCCCAGCTGGTAACGTGGGCACTCCATTTATTTAAATCTGTTTTATGACCTTTCATAACATTTATTGTTTTTTTTCAGACAGGCTCATCATTCCTTGTTGGATTTCTTCCTGGACTTATTTAAAAGTTGTTATAGCTATTATGAATGAGCTTTTTTAAAAATTGTAATTCCTAACTATATTACTGGTGTAGAAGAAAACTACAGAGCTGGTATCCAGCTACTTTATTGATTTCTTACTGTTTCTATTGGCTTTTATTTTTCATTAGTAGAGGTTGAGAATTTCAGTATTTCATTCCCAGATCCATATCTCATTTCTTTCTCTTGTTTTCTTTGCGTTGCTGGAGCCTCCAAAACAGTCTGGGGTAACTGCTATGCTAGCAGGCCTCCTCATCTCATTCCTGATTTTAAGTCTAGTCTTTCCACTGGGTAACATTTTCTTGTTAGTTTCTGATAAATACTTAGAACTCTCCTTCTATCCTACTTTGGGATGGATGATGAGTTTTATTAAATACCCATTTGGCACCCACCCAGGAAGCCTTTTTTTTTTATCCTTGTATTTTGTTTTATTTGATTTATTTATTTTTTTTTTTTGAGACAGTGTCTCACTCTGTTGGCCAGGATGGAGTGCAGTGGCACAGTCTCGGCTCACTGCAACCTCTGTCTCCTGGGCTCAAGCAATTCTCCTGTCTCAACCTCCTGAGTAGCTGGGATTACAGGTGCCTGCCACCACACCTGGCTAATTTTTTGTACTTTTAGTAGAAACAGGGTTTCACCACGTTGGCCAGGCTGGTCTCGAACTCCTGACCTCAGGTAATCTGCCCGCCTCGGCCTCCCAAAGTGCTGGGATTACAGGCGTGAGCCACCACATCCGGCCTCCATTCTTTAATTTATAAATATAATGCACAAAATTAGTAGATTTCCTAATTGTGAATTATTCCTGTGTGAATTCTGGAAGTAAATCCTACTTATTTTTGCTAACATTTTGTTCAGGATTTTCACTCCTCACATGTGGGGCCGCTTTACAGTTTCCTGCTTGTATGCTGTCAGCGTTTGCAGCCAGCCTTTCACTAAGCATTGCAGGACCAGCCTGTGGGGAGTTTCCGGAATCTTCCATGCCCTGGAGCTTTGATAACACAGGAAGTGTTTGTTCCTTGAAAGGTTACTAGAAGCCTTCCATAACATCTTCCAATACTGGTGCATTTAGGGAAAACAGATTTTTGACATTTTCAATTTCTTGCATGATGAAACCAGTACAATGCATAGCTTTCTTGCAATTAAAAACAAAAAACAAAACAAAAAAAACCCTCCCCCAAGTTGTCCTCATTCCCAACACTGTTACTTGCATGATCTCCTTTTTATTGCCAGATAAGCCAGCAGTGTGTAAGGTTTATTGGTCATTTAAAAAAAAAGCAGTTTATTTATCAAGTCAATTCATTTTTTATTTATTTCATCAGCTTCTGCTTTTGATCTTTATTGGTTTATTTTTCTGCTTCTTTCAGTTTATTTCCCTCTTTTTAGCTTCTCGAATAGAATGTCTGTTTTCAGGCTTGTTTGTGGAAATGTAAATAAACTCTGTCATGGGTTTTGTCTGAGCAGATTTGGCTGCAGCCAGAAGTCTTCATGCGTGGACTTCCCGTTGTTGTTAATTTCCAGAGTCTAACTGACATGTAGGTCAAATGCTAACCATCCTTCTCCCTTAGAATTCTGTATGCATTGGGAGGCCAAGGTGGGCGGATCACGAGGTCAGGGGTTCAAGACCAGCCTGACCAACATGGTGAAACCCCGTTATCTACAAAAATACAAAAATTAGCCAGGCATGGTGGCGGGCCCCTGTAGTCCCAGCTACTTGGGAGGCTGAAGCAGGAGAATCGCTTGAACCCGGGAGGTGGAGGTTGCAGTGAGCTGAGATCACGCCACTGCACTCCAGCCTGGGCGACAGAGAGAGACTCCATCTCAACAAACAAACAAACAAACAAAAAACACAAAAAAGAGAATTCTGAATTCTGTATGCATTGACATCCTGCTATTTAAATTTAAGATCTGTGATTCTCAGCCCTGGCTGCAAGTTAGCATCATCTGGAAGCTTAAGGGTCAAAAAGAAAGCCAGAAACAAACAATGCCTGGTCCTTCCCAGAACAAACCAATCTGAAATCTGGGCTGGGATAGGTCCTGGTGGTTTTGAGCTCTCCCTGGTTCCTCCAAGGCGCAGCTGATGGAGGCCTTGATGAAAGCGTAGCCCAGGCCCGGCCTCAAGAGGCCATCTGGGTTTTCCCGCCTGGAAGCCTGCAGCATTTTTTCTTTTGCCGTGGTATTTGGAAATCCCACCAGCTATGTCTGCGGAGGTTTATTTTCTCTTTCAGCTGCATGGCCCGTCACGAGTCTTTCTATCTGCAGATTCGTCTTTCCTGAACTCACGCATCTGTTCTCCTGGACATTGGCTATTGCCTCTCATCTCCTGAAATCTCCCTTTCGGACACTGATTCGATTTCCCTAATCTGTCGTCCATGTCTTTTACCTCCTCCTCAAGATATCAATCATTTGGGGTTTTGCTCTATTTCCAGGGAAGGTTCCTCGAACTGGCTTTTTAGTTAAGAAATTCAGTTTTCAACTGCATTCATTTGTCTAGTTAGTGCCTTTTGGGGGGATGATGATTATATTTTTAAATTTCACGTACCCCTTTTCCTAACACTTTGTTCTCTTTATGGATGCAATGTCCTCTAAAATCTCATGAGACTACCAGTTGGCGCCTCTGCACACTCTGGGATGATGATTATATTTTTAAATTTCACGTACCCCTCTTCCTAACACTTTGTTCTCTTTACGGATACAACGTCCTCTAAAATCTCATGAGACTACCAGTTGGTGCCTCCGCATGCTCTGTTTTTAGAATCAGGGCTGGGTTTGCCTGTCTGTCCGGCTCAGTCTCCTCTCAGGTCTGGGGATCTCGGGTTGGTAACTCATTTTGGTGTGAAGGTTTAGTGTCGGTGATGGTTAATACTGAGTGTCAACTTGATTGGATTGAAGGATACAAAGTATTGATCCTGGGTGTGTCTGTGAGGGTGTTGCCAAAGGAGATTAACATTTGAGTCAGTGGCCTGGGAAAAGGCAGACCCACCCCCAATCTGGGTGGGCACCATCTCATCAGCTGACAGTGCGGCTAGAGTGTAAGCAGGCAGAAAAATGTGAAAAGAGAGACTGGTGTAGCCTCCCAGCCTACATCTTTCTCCTGTGCTGGATGCTTCCTGCCCTTGAACACTGGACTCCAGGTTCTTCATTTTTGGAACTCAGACCGGCTCTCCTTGCTCCTCAGCCTGCAGACGGCCTATTGTGGGACCTTGTGATCCTGTGTCAATACTGAATAAACTCTCCTTTCTCTATATATCTATCCTGTTAGTTCTGTCCCTCTAGACAACCCTAATACAGTCTCCCTCCCAGATGAGGCAGGTGACCGTGGGCTTTCTCCAGGGGCCAGGACCCACGTCTCACCTAAGGGACTGTGCAGTGGTGGCTGCCCCCCGGTCAGGGCCGGGACCGTTGCCCAAATTCTTCAGTTCTGAGAAGGCAGAGACGGTGCTGTTTGACGCAGGCCTTGCTGGGTTGAAGAGCCTCGGCTCTGGCCCTCTCCTAATCTCCAGGAAGCAGAGTCCACCAGAGTGTTTGGATCTTTTTGGAATCCCACCCACTCTTTAAGCCCTAGCAGAGGGGAGCCGGAGGGCGCTCCACACCAGCTCCACGGCTCCAGCCTCACTGCAGGTGTGGGGAGCAGTTAGGGGCACGCGTCCTCCTTCAGGTGGGTGTAAATTTGGTTACTTCTGGAGGATGTGGCTCTTTCAGTTCAGTGTGGATGTCACTTTCTTTCCTTTTACTGTTTTCTGTTCATTTGATGCTAACTGGAGAGAGGTTCTTTTTTCTTTTTTTTTTTTTTTTTTTTTTTTTTGAGACGGAGTCTCGCTCTGTCGCCCAGGCTGGAGTGCAGTGGCGGGATCTCGGCTCACTGCAAGCTCCGACTCCCAGGTTCACGCCATTCTCCTGCCTCAGCCTCCCAAGTAGCTGGGACTACAGGCGCCCGCCACTACGCCCGGCTAATTTTTTGTATTTTTAGTAGAGACGGGGTTTCACCGTTTTAGCCGGGATGGTCTCGATCTCCTGACCTCGTGATCCGCCCGCCTCGGCCTCCCAAAGTGCTAGGATTACAGGCGTGAGCCACTGCGCCCAGCCAAGAGAGGTGCTTGATAAGTGCCCACTTACCCTAACTCTGAAATTTCCAGAACCTCTTCCACTTTTCTCAGGGTTTAAAATGTTTCTTTCCAGAACAGCTGGGATAGCCATGTGCTTCTGTTTTCCTCCAGGTTTGTGTAGGTCATTTCCCCATTATAAGAGTAATACACAGTTGATTGAGAAAGTTGAAAACATCAAAAAGCATAAAGACTGAAATACTCCGTAGTCACAAGAGGAAGCCACTGTCCCCGGTCACCTACATGACCAGCTCTGTGCAAGGACGTTGCTTTATCGGTAATGTTGCATAGCACGTGCTGTAGCCCCCACTGTCTCATCTGATTCAAAGCTACCCACTGACCTGCCGCACACATCCTACGGCGGTCAGGCCCTGGGCCATGGTCTGACCGTCGTGCCGGCCTCACCCTCGCATTCGCATCTATTGAAACCCTCCATCACCCCCGGTCTGCTCTCGCCTCCTGGTCTCATCTATCCTGGGACCTCTGCAGCTCACCCATCTCTCCCAGTTTTGAATCTCTACGCTCTGGCTGTTAGCAGCTTCAGCATTTGCTGCTTTGTCCTGACAGGTGCCATTTAACATATTTATAACCGGGTGCAGTGTCTCATGCCTGTAATCCCAGCATTTTGGGAGGCCGAGGCAGGCGAATCACCTGAGGTCAGGAGTTCGAGACCAGCCTGGCCAACATGGTGAAACCCCGTCTCTACTAAAAATACAAAAAATAGCCAGGCATGGTGGCAGGTGCCTGTAATACCAGCTACTTGGGAGGCTCAGCCAGGAGACTGGCTTGATCCCGGAAGGGGGAGGTTGCAGTGAGCCAAGATCGCGCCATTGCACTCCAGCCTGGGTGACAGAGTGAGACTCCATCTCAAAAAAACAACAACAAAAAGACATTTGATTTATGTGCCTTCCCCTCCTAAAAAGGGTGGGAACCCCTCCAGGATGCACACACATCTTACTTTTCTAGATGCCTGGCCATGGTACATGGAGACACCCCTGGGAAACCCTCCAGGACCGGATGGCGTGTGGGGCTGCCGGGTTGCCTTACACTTTTTGCGCTCCTCGTTGGCGGCTGCGCAGGTCTTGGTGTAGAGAGCGCGGGCGGCCTGCAGCTCCTCCTCCTTCTGCCTGCGCTCGCTCGAGGCCATTGCGTGGCGGTCGTGACTCTTCTCCAGCAGCTTCTGCAGGTGTACCAGGTGCTGCTGCACCTCATAGAGATTCACCCCCAGCTCCTGCCGCTGGGCTCGGCTCTGCTTGGTAGCCACAACCTGGACCAAAGAGAGAAACAGGGTCACCAGGACGCAGGCATCCGACCAGGGTGGGAGACTGGACGGATACACACCAGCTCTTGGAGGTCCAGCTTCAACTTTTCGATCTGTCGGTTCAGGTAGTTCTTCAGGGCAGCCTGGAATCTTACCATCAGGGGCTAGAACAATGGAAAACCACAGGTGGTTACCTTTCTGGTTACCCTCCTGCCCGACCCAGGGCTCAGCCCAGGTGGCCACAGGTCTCCCTCCGGTGGGCCAGAGACGACTTCCGTGTGGAGTGCTCCCTGCTTCTGCTTGGGATTCTTACTCTGGAAGCCACAAATTAAAGGCACCTCATGGTCTCATCTGAGGCACTTGCAGAGAACTGAGTGCATATTTTGGCAAAATGATGGTGAGCTGGGGCCAGAGGGTGGGGTGGAGCAGTGGTCTGGGGAGAGAACCTCCCTGTGCAGCCCCCAGCTCCTTCCGGCAGTTCCTGGAGCTCTGCAGCTGTCCTGATGGGTAAATGAAATCAACATCTGCCTTTTCCCCTTGCCAGTGGGTGGGGCAGGGAGCTGCGATCCAATTGGTGCCCTCAAGGCAGTGGCTGCGAAGATGGGCCCCACACCGCCAACATTTGGCAATGACTGGAGACATTTTTTTTTTTTTTTTTTTGAGACAGAGTTTCGCTCTTATTGCCCAGGCTGGAGTGCACTGGTGCCATCTTGGCTGTCTGCATGCAACCTCCGCCTCTTGGGTTTAAGCGATTCTCCTGCCTCAGCCTCCTGAGTAACAGGGATTACAGGTGCTCACCACCATGCCCAGCTAATTTTTTTTTTTTTTTGTATTTTTAGTAGAGATGGGGTTTCACCATGTTGGCCAGGCTGGTCTCGAACTCCTGACCTCAGGTGATCCACAGACCTTGGCCTCCCAAAGTGCTGGGATTACAGGCATGAGCTACCACGTCCAGCCTGGAGACATTTTTGATGATCACAACCAAGGCGGGGGGGTGGTGCTCCTGGCATGTAGCAGGGGGAGCTCGGGGATGCTGTTCCACACCATGCAAGGCACAGCACAGAATGACCCGGCCCCACGGGGCAGTGGTTCCGGGGTTGAGAAACACAGGCCTCACCTATACCAACCTCAGAGGAGAGTACCCTACGAAGAGGCAGGTCAATCAGTGCCAATAAACGGTGCAGTGAACAGGCGAGATACAAGTACAGCATTTAGGGTCAGGAGTGGGAGACAGTGCAGGCAGAGAAAGGGGCCTGAGTCATTCGCCATCCATGTAGGCAAAAGCAAAACCTGGGAAGGCTTCCTTACGTGGTCTGGGTCCAAAACCACCAGCTGGGACCCTTCGTCTTCTGCTTCCTCGTCACTCCCCTCGGACTCCACTCTCTCTGCCATGGCCCCCTCCTCGGTGCTGGGCTGCTGGATCTGGTCCTGGAACACTGGCAGGTCTCCTTCCCTGGGGTGGGCATCGGGCACCCCTGGGGGGATCACTGGGGGGAGAGACAGCGACACCATTGAGGAGCTGCTGGAGAGAAGCCTCAGTGATTCTATTCTGGGGCATCAATGGCACAGCTGCTGTCATGCCTCATGCAGCATGATGGGAAAGTGACAGCAAAAGCATCCCAACGGTCTGTGGGTCAGAAACATCATTCACCCCATCTTCTATTCCCTGACTCAATGCATCCCAGAGAAAGCGTCCCGTTTTAAAGGTAGGCAGGAAGGAAATTATTTTTGAGAGGCTTTCTTTACACATAAAGAGTGAACAGAAAGGTGGCCACTTAACTAGTGGATTGGATACAATATTTTTTATCCCCAGACAGAGTCTTGCTCTGTTGCCCAGGCTGGAGTGCAGTGGCGTGATCTCGGCTCACTGCAACCTCCACCTCCGGGGTTCAAGCGATTCTCCTGCCTCAGCCTCCCGAGCAGCTGGGGATTACAGGCACCCGCCACCACGCCCGGTAATTTTTGTATTTTTAGTAGAGACAGGGGTTTCACCATGTTGGCCAGACTGGTCTCGAACACCTGACCTCAGGTGATCCACCGGCCTTGGCTGGGATTCCAGGCGTGAGCCACCGCGCCCGGCTTGTTTTTTTACTAATTTAGACACGTGCTGTTTTCATGTCATTTGCAAGTAATGAAAGGTTTGGACCGGCTGCAGGTCGGTACCACAGGGAATTTGCAACTGCCTGATCTGCCCTCCCACGTCCACAACACTGGGATACTGGGACTACGTAAGAAGACAGGGGTTCTGGAAAGCCTTTGAAAGCCAGCAGACAGATTCAGGCCTGGGGTTGCTGTCACGGCACGTCTCGCTCTGAGACCAGGAGCCCGTGAGAAATGGCTGTCAGGGGATGGGGCTGGGCGTCACTGAATCTTGGTGAAGGCCGCGTTCTGTCACTTAATCGGACCAGTTCCTTAATGGCCTTAGGGAACCTGTCTGTTAAATGGAGAAGGATTCCTACTTCATCGGTCACTGTTAGGATTAAATGAGATAAAACAGTAAATGCCCAATAAATGTTATCCATATCTGTTAATAAGATTTTTCTCTTTCAGCTCACAGCCACTCAGGAAACAGGTAACGGATGACAAACGAGTGGCATCCCTTGCACAGAAGGGCCTGTGCAGGTGGCTCATCGCCAGGGCAGGGTGACCTCAGCAGGTGGGTGGCACCTGGCTCCTGCGAGACGAACTCCTCCAGGTCTGAGGACTCGATGTCGCTCCCGTGGCTCAGCCGGAAGCGGTGCTGGACGCCCATTGGGAGCACCTGCCCCTGGGGCTCCTCTGTGGATCCTGTCTATGGCAAGAACAACCAAAACTAAGTCAACAGGGCTTAATTGCCACTGAGAAGTTATTCAATTTTAACTCATTACATTTGTGAAAGTTGTCAGACTCAAAATATAGTCACCTGTGTGTTTTTTAAAAAACCTGGCCGGGCACGTGGCTCATGCCTGTAACTCCCAGCACTTTGGGAGGCCAAGGCGGGTGGATCGCTTGAGGCCAGGAGTTCGAGACCAGCCTGGCCAACATGGCGAAACCCCGTCTCTACCAGAAATACAAAAATTAGCTGGGTGCGGTGGCGGGCACCTGTAATCCCAGCTACTTGGGAGGCTGAGGAGGGAGAATTGCTTGAACCCGGGAGGCAGAGGTTGCAGTGAGCAGAGATCACAGCACTGCACTCCAGCCTGGGCAACAGAGCAAGACCCCTTCTCAAAAATAAATAAATAAATAAAGTTAAAATCGAGCCAGGTGTTTTTATGAAGGGAAGACATTTTCTTATTGAAATTTCCCTAAAGGGGGCTGGTTTGAAAGGAGAGAAGAGGAAACAGTCCTCTTGGGAGACCCTGGCCAGGAGCCGAGGCTTTTCCGCATGCTTTCATGAAGAGGGTGCTCAGAGTTGTGGTTTCCCATCCTCGAGGCGCTCAGCATGTGGGAGCAAAAGATCCCAGGACCCATGCATTCTCGTGCCTGGGTGTTTACACTTAGCTACAGATGCAGACACGCAGAAACCACTCTTTTATTATTATTATTATTATTATTATTGAGTAAGGGTCTCACTCTGCCACCTAGACTGGCGTGCAGTGCTGCAATCATAGCTCACTGCAACCCCCAACTTCTGGGCTCCGGTGATCCTCCCTCCTTAGCCTCCAGAGTAGCTGGGATTACAGGTGCACACCACCACACTGGTCTAATTTTTTAATATTTTACTTAGAGGTAGGGTCTTGCTATGATTCCTAGGCTGGTCTCAAATTCCTGGCCTCATTCAGCCTTTCCGCTTTGGCCTCCCAAAGTGCTGGGATTACAGGTGTGAGCTGGGGGAACCACTTCTGAATTCCCTGGGCGGGGGAGAGTTAGATGTTTTCCATTTTGGACATTTGCAAAAGTCAAATGATGATTTTTATATCCAAGTGATTTCCTATTACTTTAACAATCATGTTAAATTTTGAGCAATGTATCATCCTAAATAACAAACAGAGAGAGGTTCTGTAAAGGAAAATGACATTTATTTGGGGATAGGGCATTGCAATGGGAATACGGGTGTCATAGTAAATTATGTTTGTATTTGGGGAGGTAAAGGAAGATGAAAGTTGACACAGGAAAAATGAGGAGGATTACATAATTGTTTTGCGATAATTCTCCTTGGCTGTAAGGATCAATAACAGGGTGGCATCAGTCCAAGTTTCGACAGGCAGTTGCTGGCAGCTGTCCTAGCAGAAGTGTTTTTTTTTTTTTTGAAAGGTTATGATGATCTTTGTGCAACATTGTGGGGTTTGCAGAGTCTTTTGTGATAGTTTTTGTTATGAGAAGCCCTCCCCTTAATGCCTTTCCCCAGCTCTGTTTTTCAGCGTTTTTTGTAGTTGTTGTTGTTTTTGAGATGGACTCTCGCTCTGTCGCCCAGGCTGGAGTGCAGTGGCACCATCTCGGCTCACTGCAAACTCCGCCTCCTGGGTTCAAGTGATTCTCTTGCCTCAGCCTCCTGAGTAGCTGGGATTACAGGCACCTGCCACCACACCTGGCTAATTTTTGCACTTTTAGTAGAGACGGGGTTTTGCCATGTTACCCAGGCCGGTCTCGAACTCCTGACCTCAAGTGATCCACCCGCCTCGGCCTCGCAAAGTGTTGGGATTACAGCCACTGTGCCCGGCATCCATTTTAGCTTTAAAAGAGACTTTTGCAGTTACGACTATTGACAATAATTATCGCTGATGATGAACTCTTGGATATTAGTAACCCAGACAATGAGTCAGGGTTTTGCTGCCCATAAACAACACATTGTTACAAAGCTCATCTCATGCCACCCTCGCCATAACCCCACAAGTCAGGTTCTAGTCATTTCTGTTCTCCATAGTAAAGCAGCCACATGGAGGCTGAAGGGCTTGCCCCAGTTTGCACGGGCAGCCCCAGGTATGTTCGGCGCCGGCTGTCTCTGTCTCCAGCCCATGCACCGTCTCACGGCACTTCCGCAGATGGTGTTGACTCTGGAAGTTATTTCTGAGGCATCTGGAGCCACAACAACATTAACGGGAGCCCAGGGTCAAAACCCATCTCCAGGGTGCGCAGCAGTGGCTTCTCCTAATGAGAGGTTTCCGGGTGTCCGTGTGCACAACTGGACACAAGCTCCACTCACACTGTCCCAAAGACTGAGAGCCAGTGGGAGGTGGGAAGCAAGGCTCGCTCAGGGGCTGTCCCTGCCCTTTCTTCAATCATATTTGAAAACTACTTCCCAGTGTATTTTCTAGAAACTAGGCCCAAGGATGAAAATCGGGTTTACAGAGCAACAAGTGACCTAGACTTCACTTAAACAAAGGTGAAGACACTGGTTTTGCTGTTGTTGAGATATATATATATATATATATATTTTTTTTTTTGTTTGTTTGTTTTGTTTTGTTTTTGAGATGGGGTCTCGCTCTGTCTCCCAGGCTGGAGTGCAGTGGCATGATCTTGGCTCATGCAATCTCTGACTCCCAAGCTCAAGCGATTCTTGTGCCTCAGCCTCCTAAGTAGCTGGGACTACAGGTGTGCACCAACACACCCGGCTAATTTTTGTATTTTTAGTAGAGATGGGGTCTCGCCATGTTGGTTAAGCTGGTCTCGAACTCCTGGCCTCAAGTGATCCGCCTGCATCGGCCTCCCAAAGTGCTGGGATCACAGCCATGAGCCACTAGGCCTGGCCTGTTGTTGTTGATAAATTCTTAAAATAAGATTTTGGTTTTGGTTTTATATTTGTCACTTGTGATCATAAAACTTAATTAGGGCTCACCAAATACTGAATCATGCTGTTCTCCAAAGTGACTTTTAGAAACTCTTTCGGGTTTCCCAGGGTAGGGGAGTAGGAGGGATGGGTGCCTTGTGGTTCAGAACGGTGGCTTTGAAGCAAGAGCTACCGTTTGCCGCAACAGCTGGGTGACTATGCAATGACCTTGCACCTCTCAGTTTCCTCATCTGTACAATGGGCACAATCATAGTTCCTACCTCGTAGGGTTGTCAGGATTCTAAGACAACACAGAACAGTGTCTATCCCATAGTCAGTGCTAAGAAGTATAAAGCATCCTCTTTCCCTGCCTCCCTTCCATACTCCCATCTCCCCTCGCAGAACAATTGAAACCTAAGGTATGCTGGGAGTAGGGGGCAGCCAAGGCAGTAAAAGTGGGAGACAGGTTACATCCAGGAGGATTGACCACATCAGTGAATACAGTAAGGATCATGGGGCCAGGCTTCTCCCTGTTGGAGAAAGGAGCTACAAATATGGAAGAGGAGGCCGGGCGTGGTGGCTCATGCCTGTAATCCCAGCACTTTGGGAGGTTGAGGAGGGAGGATTGACTGAGCCCAGGAGTTCGAGACCAGCCTGGGTATCATGGTAAGACGCCCCCTTGTACAAAAAATACAAAAATTAGCCGGGCGTGATGGTGAGTGCTTGCAGTCCCAGCTACCTGGGCAAGACTCTGTTTCAAAAAAAAAAAAAAAAAAAAGGAAGAGGAGAAAACCAGGAGGGACTCCTTATGGAGGTGAGATGGAATTAGAGGTTCTGTTGTGAGCCAAGGCCGGCCGCAGGGGTGTGAGCCAAGGCCGGCCGCAGGGGTGTGTTCCAATAAATATAGATGTGAGCGAATGTCTGTGTACATGGTGTATGTATAAATGTGGGGGAAGTACGTACAGTACACGCACACAGGCCCTATCTCCTGCCGCTGAGAGGTCCTGGGGACAGTGACACCCCAGCATCAATGAGGACCCCAGCACCCAAGTGATAACTTCTAAATTCTATTTTCCACTAACAGAAACAGGGCTCCTGGAGAAATGTCTGATTCTAAGGCTGGGCAGTCTATGGCAGAAAGCAAGAAAGCCCTCAAAGAAGGATGGAGGTGCGTCCGATCACACAAAGGCTGGTTTAAATGGGCCCTCACTGGCCAAACTGAGCATCAAAATACATAATGACAGTAATGGGTTATAACCCAGTGAATCACATGGAGAGCCCTGAGTCTATGCAGATGTAAGAATATAAATAAACCAAGAGTTTAAAGAGGAACCGACATTCACATCACTCCAAAGTGGCTCCCTGTGTTTATCTCAGAATGCGGGGTTGCTTGAACATCTGAAAATCAATCAATGTAATCTACCAAATCAACTAACTAAAAAGGAAAATACAGTCTTCTTAACAGACACAGAAAAGGATTTGACAAAACCCAATACCCTTTTATGATTAAAAAAAAAAAAACAACCCAACAACATACAACAAACCGAGAATACAAGGGAACTTCCTTAACCTGATAAAGGGCATCTGCAACACCCACAGCAAACATGGCACTTTACAGTCAAAGACTGATGCTTTTCCTGTAAGATCAGGGCAAGACAAGAGGTCTGCTCTCACCGCTTCTATTCAACATGGTGCTGGCGGTTCTAGCCAATGCAATCAGGCAAGAAAAAGAAAGAAAAGGCATCTGGATGGGAAAGGAAGAAGTTAACTGTCTTTTTTCTCAGATGAGATGATTATCTTTGTGAAAAAGCCTACCGATTCTACAAACAAGCTAGTCTAACTAGTGAGGGACTTTAGCAACGTGGCAGAATATCAGGTGAGTATACAAAAACCAATTGTATTTCTATATGCTAGCCACAGACAATTGGAAACCATTTATAATGGCATCAAAAATGTGAAATACTGGGCAGGAGCGATGGCTCACACCTGTAATCCCAACACTTTGGGAAGCTGCGGCAGGCAGATCATTTGTGGGCAGGAGTTCGAGACCAGCCTGGCCAACATGGTGAAACCCCATCTCTACTAAAAATACCGAATTTTAGCCAGGTGTGGTGGTGTGTGCCTGTAGTCCCAGCTACTTGGGAGGCTGAGGCAGGAGAATTGCTTGAACCCGGGAGGCAGAGGTTGCTGTGAACCAAGATCATGCCACTGCACTCCAGCCTGGGTGACAGAGCGAGACTACATCTCAAAAAAAAGAGAAATACTTAGGGATAAATCTGCCAAAAGTTGTATAACACCTGTATACGTTTGTAAGCAAATATAAGAAGTCCTCAATAACTGGTTGGAATCTGTTGCAATTTTTTTCCCATTCTAAATAGTATTCGCCTTCCTATCTTAAACCAAAAAAGAAAAAAGCACCTTCCCACAAAATCTTCATTAAGTATAAAGGAGTAAAAGGTCGCTTCACAATGAAGAATCTTGGTGCTTTTAAATTTGGTGACAGAAGTGAACATCATCAGGAATGGTGGAAGCTGGAATCCTGCATCCCTGGTGGGACGCACTGAGAGCCCCACGTCGCTTCCGTGATAGTCCCACTAAAGCCTCATGACCCTAACCCCATCATGAGGAAACACGGGGCAAATCCAGGCTGAGGGGCGCTCTACAAGACAGCTGGCCTATGACCTTCACAAGGGTCAAGGTTGTCAAGGAAAGACTGAGGAGACTACAGAAATATGAGCACTCAAGGCAACATTTGATTCTGAACTGAATCTCTTTGCTACAAAAGACATCATTGGGACATTTGGTGAACCCTGAATGAGGCCTGAGCATTCCTTGGAAATGGAGCAAGGCAATTTCCAGAATTTTTTTTTTTTTTTGAGACAGAGTCTCGCTCTGTCGCCCATGCAGGAGTACAGGGGTGCGATCTCGGCTGACGGCAACCCCTGCCTCTCCAGTTCAAGTGATTCTCCTGCCTCAGCCTCCCGAGTAGCTGGGATTACAGGTGTGCACCACCACGTCCAGCTAATTTTTGTATTTTTAGTAGAGATGGGGTTTCACCATGTTGGCCAGGCTGGTATCGAACTCCTGGCCTCAAGTGATCCACCCGCCTTGGCCTCCCGAAGTGCTGGGATTACAGGCGTGCACCACCATGCCCGACCCAATTTCTAGATTTTGATGGTTGTGTCCCAGCTGTTTGTGGGAAACATACAGAAGCGTTCGAAGGCTTTGGTGACCAGATCCGCAACCCACTCTCCAGTGTTTAAGAAAATAAAAGATCCTTTTTATTGTACTCCATTTTTTTCTGTAACTTTGTGATTGTTTAAAGAAAATTGATGAAAAAATATAAGAACGCAGCTATTGTCATTGTTTTTATCTAGAACTGCACTATTCATTATGGCAGCCACTGGCAACAGGTGGCTATTTAAATGGAAATTAGAATCTTAAACAGTTAAAAGCTCCATTCCTCCAGCTCGCTAGTCACATTTGGAGAGCTCTCTGTAGCCACATGTGACTGATGGACCGTATTGGACAATGCTGCTCTGGAAGCCTGGGAACTTGGATGCCCTTACGTGGATGGCGGCTATGGAGGCCCCCAGCCTTGGGCTTGGGCAGACTGAAGCAGAGTCCAGGATCTCTCAGCATTTGACCGTGAATCCTGAGACCTAAGCTTGCTAAGAAATTTCTTTTCTTTTTTTTTTTTTTTTTGAGACAAGGTCTCACTCTGTTGCCCAGGCTATAGTGCAATGGTGGGATCTTGGCTCACTGCAGCCTCCGCCTCTCGGGTTCAAGCAATTCTCCCACCTCAGCCTCCTGAGTAGCTGGGATTACAGGCGTGCGCCACCACGCCTGCCTAATTTTTGCATATTTAGTAGAGACAGGATTTCACCACGTTGGCCAGGCTGGTCTCGAACTCCTGACCTCAGGTGACCCACCCACCTTCGCCTCCCAAAGTGCTGGGATTACAGGCGTGAGCCACCGCACCCAGCCTTGCTAAGACATTTCTAACAGGGATTGCAATTTGTATTTATAATGTATTCCCAAGTTCCTCACATAGGGTGACAAACCCCGTGGGCCGTGCGACACTGGCACAAAACAGAAGTCAGGGCTACTCACCAATCTGCCCACTGCTGGCCCAGAGGTGACCTGGCCCATTTGCTCCGACGGGCCTAAGACTCCGTGGGATGGCTCTGGGGAGGTGACCCTCCTTTCTCTGGATTCTGGTGGACCGGTGGCCTCTTGCTGGAAGCCTTGGAGACCAGCCTCCCCGCTAACACTATCGTATGCCTCCTCTCCAGGCAGTTCCTGAGGAGGACTGAAATACGGGTAAGTCGTATCTGCAGCACTGATTTGCCCTTCCGGGGATGAAGTTTCTGTATAGTAATATTCCTCTTCGCTTTCAGCATCTCCATAGGACACAGCCTCCTCTTCCCCTTCCACTGCTGCTTCCCCTTCTGTCTCCACCTCCCCCTCTTCAATTGCAGCTTCCGCTTGGGTTGTGACTTCCTCAGGATGCTCTGTGCTACCGACAGCTTCTTCACCTTTCTGGCCATCATCCTTCTCTGGTGGTGACACCTGTAAAGGTGTGGCAGGAAAAAAATCAGGAAACAAAGTATAAAGGACCTTGTGAGGTTTTATTCTTTATAGTGTAATTATATCAATGGGAAAACTGCATTTATACCCTTCTCAGCATCACTAAGAGATCATGTTTCACTTTGGGAGGCTGAGGCAGGCAGATCACGAGGTCAGGAGATTGAGACCATCCTGACCAACATGGTGAAACCCCGTCTCTACTAAAAATACAAAAATTAGCTGGGTATGGTGGTGCACACCTGTAATCCCAGCTACTTAGAAGGCTGGGGCAGGAGAATTGCTTAAACTCGGAAGGCAGAGGTTGCAGTGAGCTGAGATCGTGCCACTGAACTTCAGCCTGGAGACAGAGTGAGACTCTGTCTCAAAAAAAAAAAAAATCATGTTTCATGCTTCAGTTTATCTGTTCTTTCTTTTTTTATTTTTTTTTGTGACAGGGGCTCACTCTGCTGCCCAGGCTGGAGTGCGGTGGCGTGATCTCGGCTCACTGCAACTTCCACCTCCTGGGTTCAAGCGATTCTCCTGCTTCAGCCTCCCAAGTAGCTGGGACTACAGGTGTGTACCACCATGCCCAGTTAATTTTTCCATTTTTAGTAGGGATGGGGTTTCACCATGTTGGCCAGGCTGGTCTTGAATTCCTGGCCTCAAGAGATCCATCCGCCTCAGCCTCCCAAAGTGCCGGGACCACAGGCGTGAGCCACCATGCCTGGCCCTCTCTGCTTTTCATAATCATTTTTGCATCCTTTGTTACAGGAAATGAGTTCCGAAAAACTCAGGGCAACCCAAAGTTGGACATCCTTTGCATCCCTGACTAATCACTGACACTGTAGAATGGGGTAGGAAGAAAATGAGTCTCTCTTCAACTGAATTGAGTTTGTTCTGGTGCAAGATAATGTCATCATACAATATACTTGACCAAGTCCTAATTCTCTTTATTTATTTATTTTTAATTTAATTTTATTTATCTATTTTTTGAGATGGAGTCTCGCTCTGTCGCCAGGCTGAGTGCAGTGGCACAATCTCGGCTCACTGCAACCTCCATCTCCCAGGTTCAAGCCATTCTCCTGCCTCAGCCTCCCGAGTAGCTGGGACTACAGGCGTGAACCACCATGCCTGGCAAATTTTTGTATTTTTAGTAGAGACAGGGTTTCACCATGTTGGCCAGGATAGTCTCGATCTTTTGACCTCGTGATCTGCCTGCCTCGGCCTCCCAAAGTGCTGGAATTACAGGCGTGAGTCACCGTGCCCGGCCTATTTATTTATTTTTGAGATAGAGTTTCACTGGTCACCCAGGCTGGAGTGCAATGGTGTGATCTTGGCTCACTGCAACCTCTGTCTCCCGAGTTCAAGCCACTGTCCTGCCTCAGCCTCCCGAGTAGCTGGGACTACATGTGCGCACCACCACGCCCGGCTAATTTTTATATTTTTAGTAGAGATGGGGTTTTACCATGTTGGCCAGGCTTGTCTCAAACTCCTAACCTCATGTGATCCACCTGCCTTGGCCTCCCAAAGTGTTGGGATTACAGGCGTGAGCCACAGTGCCCGTACTCTGATTCTCTTTAATTCCTAGTAAATATAAGCCCGGAATAACTGCCCATAGGGAATTTTACCATGTGGCTTTCATTATTCCCTTCCTTCTCTCCCTCAGAAGCCGATCCATCTTCCGGATGGGACCTGGTTTTAGAGAAACAATTGAACAGTTTCAAGCAACAGCTTTCTTTTTCTTGGTCCTTATCCCCTCCTGAATTCTGCACATCTGTTTATTTACTTGTTACTTCTCTGCCACCCCCAGGCTGTTGTCACGTCTTTGTCCTGTTTGTCAGGAACCATAGCACTATATCATGCCTGTCAGGTGGCGGAGATGCCACAAAAGCAAAGCTCCATGAATGAATGAAAAATATAATTATTAAAACATCGAAGGAACAGCAGGATTAGATCACCCCAGAAAAGTCACCTCAAATATAACTTGTGTCTGGGACAAAACTGGGGAAAAGAAATACAACGTAGAGAAAGTAGCGCGATCAGAGTAAGTGTTCTGGGGACTCTGAGTTTCTCCACGATTTACGTAGCACAGGAATATATATATATATATATATATATGTATATCTTTTTTAAAAAATTAAAGATTCAAGCTATTTTTATCTGTCAAAGGAATATAGATATGTTCAAAGAGACAGACAGTGACAGTTCCCTGTGATCTTCCCTTTCCTTCCCAAGATAATCATTGATAACATTTAGGACCACATTCTTTCAACATTTTTCTATGTTTTAAACACACACACACACCCTGAATTAGAGATCATAGTATACCTACCCTTTTACATTTATGCCTATCGTTTTATTAATAATACCTTTAGTCTTTCCATGTCAATACATACAGACCCACCTTTAAAAAAATGAAACAATACCGATGTGTCTAAGGTAAAAAGGCCAAACTCTTTCCAATCGTTTCTATCCTTTTAAACAGAGCCTAAGCGAGCAGAGGCCCGGTGGCAGGGATCTTCACTCAGCCGCCCTCCCTGTGCGCGCTCAGTGCTTCCACCCAGGCCCCAGGACGGTGACCGCGGACTATCGCGGGCCGCCTAACCGCAGGGACCCCTCCCATCGCGGGTCACCCCCAAGCCTGCGAGAGGGGATCTGTCCTTGCAGGAGGGAGGCGCGGGGCCGGGCTGGTCTCCGGCCACAGCGAGTGGCCCCGGAGCAAGGTCAGGGGCGGTATCCAACAGCCCCGCGCCCTGCAGAGCCCTCTACTCTTAGGAGGACTGCGCGCAGGGACCGCCACGCAGAGTGGTTGCCATGGTGACTGCAGAGTGAGCGGTCCCGGGTTTTAGAGGGAGTCGCGCGCTTGGAGTAGGGGAAAGAGGGAGGCCGAGAGAGGACAAAGGGACAGGAGGGGAGAAGTGAGAAGGGTTGGCGGGGGGGTGAGGGGCTGAACGCAGTGGACGGGAAAGGCCAGCAAAATGGCGAGAGAAGGGACACAGGCGAGAGGAAGGGGGAGTGGAGGCGAAGGGGCGAGGCAGGAGCCGACGCGGGGGCCACCTGGAGCGGTGAACGGAGAGCGCGGCCTGGCGACTCCAAGACCCGCTGCCCCTCGGCCCGGCTTACCGGCCCGCCGCGCCGCCCGGTTCCGCCATTTCCCGTTGCTAGGCGACGCTGTCAACATCCGGCCGGGCCGGGACCACGCGCGCTGCGAGGGCGGGGGCCGCCGGGGGCGGCGCGGCCTTTGTGCCATCTCCACGCACGCAGAGGCGCGCGCCGTCTCGACGTGTCGTCCCTTAGACTGTAATGATTAGAGCACGACCATGCTTTTCCTTTATCGCTCTCTGCGCCCGGGTCCCGCCTCGGCTGCGCTCAATTTCTGTAAAGCGACAGCGGCGTCAGCGTGTGCCCAGCGGGCGGCTCGAGGTCCCGAAGGGACCTGCCGGGCACCTGGGGACCCCGGACTGCTAAGCGCCCGGGAATGGCAGGCGGGCTGGGGGCACCGGGGGCCGGGGACCCCGCGCATGGCGAGCGCTTTTCCATCTCCTGCCCTAGGGGGCTCCGGTGCCCTTCTCCAGGGGTCCTACGGAGACTCCTTGCATGGACGCCCGGGGGGTCTTCCGGAGCGTATCTTCCCTTCCTAGTCCGAAATAGGAGAAATCTCCCTGCAGAGGGCGGCAGCGGAGGGCCAGCGCGCACGCGGAGCGTCCGAGGAGCCCTGCCTTTCCTTTGGGGACGCCAGGCTCGGGACGGGGCACAGTCCCCGAGGCCGGGACGCGGCGAGGCCTGAGGGAGGGCCAGCAGGGAACTAGAGGCTTGGGCCCAGGGCTGGGCCAGAAGGTGGGCGGGGAGACCGGCGGGGGCAGGCAGGGGCCGGGCCGGGGGCGGGCCCGGGGGCGGGCCGGGGGCCGGGCCTCCCCGCGCGTCCCCGCCCCGCCGCGCCTCACTGGCGGCGGCAGCGGCGGAGGCGACGGTGGCGGCTCTCGGAGCCGGCGCGAATCCGGCCCCCGCAGCGGGACCCGGGTGGGTATCGGGGCCCGGACGGGGCCGCGGGGGCGGGGTCCGAGGGGTCCACCGCGCAGCGAGCAGCGCCCCCTCGGCGGAGCTGGGGCGGGGGCGCGCGGGGCGCGTGGGGCGCGTGGGCCTGCAGCCGCGGGACCGGGGAGGGGCCGGGGTCCGGCCGCCGTCCTCGGGGTGCGGGGCGCCAGCAGGAGCGGGAGCGTTGTGGGAGGACCTGGATCACGGAGGGGCACCTGGGGACTTTTCCCCGCGGCGAGTGAGGGCGCCCGGGCCCGGAATGGGCCTAATTCGGGGAGACTGGTCCCCGCCTGTCTGGAGCGGTGGACCGGGGAACTTGCGGTCTTTGTCTGGCTGAATCGGCGGAGCAGACGGATGAGAACTTGTGGGGTGCCGGCGCGCGCCCACACAGCCTCCAAAGTGTGCGTCCCCCCAGCAGCGCGCGCTCAGCTTTCCCGGCCTGTCGGGCTTGGTGGTCTGGGCTGTTTAAGATCCGCGTGTCGGGATACTCACTTCCGTTCCGCCTGGGCTCCCTTGTTCTTTCCTTTGGGAAAAAAAAAAAAAGAAAAAGAAAGAAAGAACGAAAGGAAGGAAAGAAAAAAAGGAAAGGCAACTGAAGATTGCTAAACATAACCTAGGGGATCCTGCCGGAAGCCGCTGAATCCTGAAATCCTGTGATTCCCACACTCGGAAGCTGGTGTCGTATATTGGCCACAAAGTAGTTCAGATTTGATTCAGAAATAGGAAATGAATAGAAAAGACATAACAAAAGTTAGTCTCGCCTTATGGTAAAGTTTGTTTTACTGTCTGGGTCAAGTTCAAATGAGAAGCTGGGCTGATTGGCCAGCCTCTGCGACTTGATCCTGAAGATCTGCTTTCTTTTCTACCAGAAGGCTCCTAATTCTTTTATCTGGAATAAAAAGGGAACTCCGTCTTAAAGATGCTCACGTGAGGCGGCATATTGCCAGAGGGTGGGCGCAAAGACTGGGGGCTGGAGATTCCATTCCAAATCTGTTACTGATTGATCAGAACACTTTTTCAAATCCATGCCTCAGTTTTAGAAAATCCTCATTAGAAACGCTAACAGTAAAATTGGTGAATACTAAACACTTTTAAGAACCATGAAAGCTTTTGTAAATAAAGAATAAAGTGAGGAGTAACTTTTGGTATTAACTACAAAGTTCATTAATGGATGTTGTTTGCATCCTGAGCGTGGTTATTGTGCGCATATTTTTTTGTAAGTGGCATGTTTATGGTGAGACTATGGCTAACGAAAGTTTTTATGGCGAAAGTTTTTATGGCTGGGCGCCGTGGCTCACGGCTGTAATCCCAGCACTTTGGGAGGACGAGGCGAGCGGATCACCTGAGGTCAGGAGTTCGAGACCAGCCTGGCCAATATGGTGAAACCCCCCATATCTACTAAAAATACAAAAATTAGCCCGGTGTGGTGGCGTGAGCCTGTAATCCCAGTACTCAGGAGGCTGAGACAGGGGAATCGCTTGAGCTCGGGAGGCGAAGGTTGCAGTGAGCCAAGATGTGCAACTGCACCCCAGCCCGGGTGATAGAGCAACATTCTATGTCTCAAAAAAAAAAAAAAAAAGGAAAAAAAAAGTTTTTATCTGTGGAATTATTTAATCCTCTAGCAATTTTGGTGATTGCGTTAGTAGTTCCTAATTATCATGCATGAATTCACTTAACCCACAAAACAAGCTCATGAAGTCAGGACTGCAGTTATGCCCATTTACAGATGGGAACACTGACGCTTAGAGAAGTAACTTCCCAAGCTCATGCAGTTAGGAGTGACAGAATTAGGCCTTAGGCCCAGGACGTCCCAGCTCCAGAAAACCGTTGTACAACTTTGCCCTCTGTCTTACAGAGGGTGCCCACCATTCATATACAAACATTCTTCCAAGTGGTTCATAACAGTGCAAGGAGGTGGGACTAATCCCATGTCACCACTAGCTGCTAATCTCAGTTCACTTCAGTATGGAAAGCATCCCCCAGGCTTCAGGATAAAGCCATTGAGTTTGCAGAACCTACCTACAATTGCACTGGTCTCTGTCCACAGTTTTGGGTAATAAGGTGCAGTGGTTAAGAACATGGCGTAGAAAGATGGACTGCTGGCTTCAAATACAAATCCTGGACTGGGCATAGTAGCTCACACCTATAATCCTGTATTTTGGGAGAATCACTTGAGCCCAGAAGTTCAAGACCACCTTAGGCAACCTAGAGAGACCCTATCGCTACAAAAAATGAACAAATTAGCTGGACATGCTGGTGGGCACCTATGGTCCCAGCTATTTGGGTGGCTGAGGTGGGAGGATAGCTTGAGCCCGGGAGGTCAGGGCTGCAGTGAGCCATGACCAGCCTCTGCATTCTAGCCTGGGTGACAGAGTGAGACTCTGCTTAAAAAAAAAACCTAAAAAACCCAAACAACAACAACAACAAAACAACAACAAAAACCCCAACTCCTCTGGCACTTAGTTAATTCTCCAGTGCCTTAATTTCCCCATCTATACTACCTACTTCAGAGACTTTGTGCAAGGATTATGAAAAGCATTGAATTCCTGACACATCCTGAGTTACCATTTAGGATGTGGTAAGTAATGTCAAATGGTAACATTTTAACACTGTTATTAATGACCGTTATTTGGATTTTCCACATTTAACTAGATTGACACAAAACATTTTGTTTTTGTGCTTTGACTCCTCACTCCCCTTTGTGTGGTCCATGAGGTGGAAAGTGATTCCAGGCAGATGTAGGATTTACTATTTGTGCGTATGTGTACCCTTATCTTTACAACTTGACCGGGGGCTGGGTCCCTGCAGGATGCTATGGGGAGCAGAGCTGATCAGGTTGCCTGGCAACACCACCTCCTGTGAAAATTTTAGCTCCCCTTCTTCCCTGGCTGAGGGACCCTGATTTTTGTCACAGGCCTAAATTCTCTTGTAAGATTAGCTACTTTGTTTCATCCAGCATTAAGCACCGGGGGCGGGTGGCTCTGGGATGTGAAGGTGACAGCGCAGAGGATGATTTTATGATCGAATTGTACACCATTTGTATTGCATTTGCATTATATTGCTGTTAATGAGGCCAGTGCACAGGAGAGAGCACACATTTGCACCCTTCCCAAAAATATGGGGCAATGATGTTGGAGGCCTTTTTCCGTTCACCTCAGCGGCAGTGTTTTTTATCCTGTTGGCTTTGTTGGTGTTTTTATCCTATCTGTCCTTTGAGCACCTGATGTTGCATCTCTAATAAATCTGCTTTTATGAGCTGTCTGGTGGCATCTGATTTGAAATACGTTCTTTACTCTGTCTTCGGAACTTACATAACCATCCTCAAAGGATGAGAGAAATCGGGCCACTGTAAGACTAAGTTCGATTTCTGCCCGTGGTGGCTTCTGACACATGAATAACAGAAAGAAAAGAGAAATAATCCAAATCCACTGTCCAGTCGGAATGGCCTGCCCTTCTGTTGCTGAGCCTTGGGCGGTGAGTCTGTGCAGGCGTTGGAAGGTGATACATGTGTCTGCTTGCCTGTATGGGCTGCAGACGCTGAGATGTGGCAGTATTTTCTCCGTGGTCTTTCTGGATTGGTCACTATGAAGCCAACGTACTGCGGGTGCCAAGCCCGCATCCATGCTGGCTTGCACACTTCAGTCGTGTACTGCTTTTTGCATGTTGAGTGAGCCTGAATTCAATGCTCCAATATAGTTCATCATTACTCTAGCCTTCTGGAAGTGGGGGAAAGGGTGAACTTTACAGATGTCATTTGACAGCCTTTTGCCTTTTCTGTAACTAAAATGCTTTCCAAAGCAAGATCAGTTGTGTTGCTTTTGGGTGTTGTTAATATGTCCCCCCAGTTTCAGTTTTGTTTTGCGGTGCATTCACTGCTCCTTCACTGACAGATGCTGAGAAGCTTTAGGCCTCCATGTTTACAGGCACAGCATAGAAGTAGGAGGTACCTGAGCCAGACTCAGGGCAGTTTTTGATTTCCTGGCTGGGTCTGCATCTTCCCTTACCCTTTGTGTTTAGTCTTTCCTTAGTCCCAGATCCAGGCTCACCTCTGAGTTGAGTTTCTTCTCCCAGGCCTGACCTCCTTGGCTCTTTGCGGGGGAAATGGGATTTTACAATCTACTATCAAGGGTGCACAAATGGCAGATGGTCTCTCCTTGGAGGCAGAGGCTTTGGGGTTTTCCAGGGAGTGGGTGCTAATCAGGGTGACCGCTGGACAGTTGCAAAAGGAGAGTCACAGCCACACAGGCCACCAGGTTTTCCCTCACCACCGTTTTGGTGATGGTCCTGCCCCGTTATAGCCTCTCAGGGGTCCTCTTTCCCTATGGTCCAAGATCCCAGCACTGCAGTGAATGCCCTAAGCCCTAGTTTCTTCATTTTAAATACAACTTGATGTCCCGTTCTCGCTTCTGCATAGAGGCTCATCTTTGGGCCCCAGGCTTTCCGGGTGTATCCTGAATGTGGCTTCTGTGTGCAGCCAGTATCTTTATTTTCTCAATTCATCCTGTAACTTGAAGTTCAGCGCAGCTGCGAGGAGAAATCACGGCGGCCCCGCAGGGGATTATCCTCCTGATGAGACTGAAGGAGCTACCTTCCCCAAGCCTGCTGCCCGGGGACTGGGTCCTGATCCTGGCTGCCTACAAGATTCCATATCGCCCTTTGACCCGCAAAGCCAGGGGTTCCCAGGAAGATGGGTAGGGCCCCTGCCTGGCTCTGGGCAGGTGGAGGAAGCTGGGGCCTCATCCAAGGCATGCCAGCAGCAGACGTTCTGCAGCGGGGGCAACGCGATCCTTGTTTGCGTGTGTCTGGCTCGTGTTTAATAAGGTGTCGCTGTTTCCCTGTTCTTTGTTGCTTGGGCTTTGAGGGCAAAGCAGATGAACCAGTTTCTGCCGGCCATGTGCCAGGTGACCGGGCTCAGTGCGTGTTGCTCCTGAGCAGTCTGGCAGTGACATGGCCATGGGAATAATCGGTGGTGGGCTGCGTCCCGTGGCCCCCACACCCTGCCTGCCTCTGCCTCTGCCCCTGCCTGTCACTAGTGGGCATGGGCTGCGTCCCTCTGGTGAGTGGGAACTGCCAGCTCCATGGGTTTCCAGGACCAGGTCTGTCCTGCTGACTGCTGCATCCTGGCCCCTAACCCAAGGTGGCCCTGAGGCCGGTGCACGGCACAGAGTGAGCAAGAGAAGAGGCTGGGGTGATACCTCTCTCCTAGTGGCTCCAGGCTACCTCCAGGAGGGTTCTGGAAGAGACTTTTGCACCTCTGTTCTTTTTGTTTTCCTGTTTGGGAACTGATGAAGCCCTTTAGGCCAGGACAGGAAACTAAGACCTTAGGTGGAGGCAGCCTCCACGGGCAGGTCCTGGTCATGAACCTGTAGCCCACCTGTGTCCATTCTCGCTGCCCTCACAGGGACGTCGGGGCCCAGGCGTGCTCCTCTCCTGGGTTCTAGGCCTCGGTCCTCATCCTACTGCTAAAAGAGTAGTCACTCTGCGTGGGGGGTTCACCGTCAGTGGGTGAGCAGGTCAGAGGCCGCCCTGCGAGTTGGAAATCAGCTCCTTACAGTGTCCTCGGTTTGGTGTGGTTGGCAGAAGAATGGCCCCCAAAGATGCCCATGTCCTAATCCAGGGAATTTGTAAATATGGTATGTTACGTGGCCACGGATTCAAGTTGGGGATGGAATTAAGGTTGCTCAGCAGCTGACCTTGAAATGGGGGATGATCCTGGGTTATATGAGTGGGCCTGATGCAATCGCAGGATCAGGCAGGAGAGTCAGGGTCAGAGAGATGAGGTATGAGAAGGACTCGATCGGCCACTGCTGGCCTTGAAGATGCAGGAAGGGGTCGAGAGCAAGGAGTGTGGGTGACCTCTAGAAGCTGGAAAAAGCAAGAAAACAGACTCTCCCTTAGAGCCTCCAGGAGGAACCAGCCCTGCTGATACCTGGTTTTAGCCCTGTGAGACCCATTCCAGATTTCAGACCTCCAGGACTGTAAGGTTATGCATTTGTGTTGTAGCTGGTAAGTTTGTGTCATTTGTCACAGCAGCCGTAGGAAGCTCATACGCGTGGAATGAGGGCTTTCAAAAGGAGACAAGAGGGGAGACGGTTGTGTCATTTCTTTATCTGTGTTTGCTCATTTCTGGTTTTCTGGTGACTTTGCCACTTTCTACATTGAGGAGGACTCTCTTTTCTAGGGTATAAGTCACCAAATCTTGGGCAGTGAATTTTGGGTAGTAGATGTCCTAACCTCATGCCCTGTGAATATTTGCTAGAGAAGACCCACCCCCACTGCTCACACAGTGAGTCACCAAATCTTTGGCTGTTCCAGGCCAAGTTTCAGTGGCCAAGTGGCTCCTAGGGGACGGGAAGGGAACATGTGTGGTTAACAGCAGGCTCACAGCTGCGCCCTGTGTCAGCTCCAACCCAACAGCCTGGCCAGTTCCCAACAGCATTGTGAAAGAATAGATCTGCTGCCCCTCTCCTCCCCTGCCCGCCCCTCTCTCCTTAGGGCTTCTGAGGTTTCCCACGTCTTCACCTTGCAGGCAGCTCCCCCTACTCCAGCCCCCTCAAAGCGCTCTCGTCCTGGAAGCAGACTTCAGCTACCTTTATCACCAGTTTAACACCCCTGCCAGCTGCAGGTGCTGCGACTCCATGCTTCTCAATGGTGCTCTAATTCTTAAAGAGTTGCAGGTTTCTGGGAAAGAATGACTCTCTGGTGGAGGAGTTTCTGCACAGTTTTTTGTTTTATGAGCCTGTGTATTTTTGTTGAGGAATGGCCAAGTTGTTCTTTCCTTTCGAATTACACAATGGCCTATTTTGCAGAAATCTGGCCCTACCTACTGGTCACCAATGGCTTTGAGCAGCACAGAAATCAACTGGTCGGCTCGGGGCGGTGGCTCACGCGTGTAATCCCGGCGCTTTGGGAGGTCGAGGTAGGCGGATCACGAGGTCAGGAGATTGAAACCATCTTGGCCCACATGGTGAAACCCCGTCTATACTAAAAAAAATACAAAAGTTAGCTGGGTGTGGTGGCGCGCGCCTGTAATTCCAGCTACTCTGGAGAATTGCTTGAACCCAGGAGGCGGAGATTGCAGTGACCTTAGATTGCGCCACTGCACTCCAGCCTGGGCGACAGAGCGAGACTCTGTCTCAAAAAAAAAAAAAATCAACTGGTCATCATGCCCCGGTCTGATGGTTTAGAATCAGCATTGACGCTTTTACTTTTTGCCTTCTAAAATCATTCTTTTTTTTCTTTTTCTTTTTTGAGATAGAGTCTCGCTCTGTCACCCAGGCTGGAGTGCAATGGTGCCATCTTGGCTCACTGTAACCTCTGCCTCCTGGGTTCAAGCGATTCTCCTGCCTCAGCCTCCCGAGCAACTGTGATTACAGGTGTGTGCTACCATGCTCAGCTAATTTTTGTATTTCTAATAGACAGGGTGTTACCATGTTGGCCAGGCTGGTCATGAACTCCCGACTTCAGGTGATGCAACTGCCTCGGCCTTCCAGAGTGCTGGGATTACAGGCGTGAGCCACTGCGCCCGGCTATTCTTTTTTTCTTTTCTTTTTTTTGTACACTCAAGCTGATGCAAATTGTAGATCTTGGCTTCAATCCATCTGTGAATTCTTTGTGCCAACTGCCAAGTTGGCATTGCTATCCTTTCCATCAACAAAAACAAGGCATTTGGAACCTTAACGAAGATGGCATTCTGGGAGGCACATTATAAAAGGAGCGTCTCGGAGGTGTCATGCACTCGGGAGCTTATTATTGAAAACACAAACCAACAAGGACATCACCGTTTCAAAATACAAATGTGAAGTGGATGCATTTGAGGAGAATGGGGGGTTCTTATTGTCAAGGATCTACCCTTAGCTGCTTCTCTTTTTTTTTTTTTTTTTTTTTTGAGTTGGAGTCTTGCCGTGTTGCCCAGGCTGGAGTGCAGTGGTGCGATCTCAGCTCACTGCAACCTCTGCCTCCCGGGTTCAAGCAATTCTCCCGCCTCAGCCTCCCAAGTAGCTGGGATTACAGGCGCCTGCCACCATGCCCAGCTAGTTTTTGTATTTCTAGTAGAGACGGGGTTTCGCCATGTTGGCCAGGCTGGTCTCAAACTCCTGACCTCAAGCGATCTGCCGCCTCAGCCTCCCAAAGTGCTGGGATTACAGGCATGAGCTACTGCACCCGGCCTCTTTTTTTTTTTGAGACAGGGTCTTGCTCTGTCACCCAGGCTGCAGTGCAGTGGCGCAAGTACAGCTCATTGCAGCCTCAACTCCCAGGGTCGAGCGATCCTCCCACCTCAGCCTCCTGAGTAGCTGAGACTATAGGCACAGGCCACCAAGCCTGGCTAATTTTTAAAGTTTTTTTGTAGAGACAAGGTTTCTCCATGTCCCCCAGGCTGATCTCGAACTCCTGGGCTCAAGCGATTCTCTTGACTCAGCCTTCTGAGTATCTGGGACTATAGGCACATGCCACCATGCCCAGCTAATTTTTGCTTTTTTGTAGAGACGGGGTTTCACCATGTTGCCCAAGCTGGTCTCAAACTCCTGGACTCAGGCGATCCGCCCACCTCGGACTCCCGAAACTGTTAGGATTGCAGACATGAGCTACCGTGCCCAGCCTCCTCAGCTTCTCTATCCATCTTCATCTCTCAGGATTTGGGGAGGGGATTTGTAATAATTGCCACAAGGTGCTTTGAGCATCTTGCATTGCTATTTTGATTTTGATGAACTCTGAGTCCTTCCTATAGATTGGAAAAGCCTGGTGTCTGTTCTTTGCTGCAGGCCTGTCTCAGCTCCCTTTCCAGTGTTCACTCATTTTGTGTCTTAGGAGTTCTGCTGGCTGCCCCCGCCTCTGTTCGTGTACTGATGAGAAGGCATCTGGCCCCTAGGAAGAGCCCCAGGCCCGCAGAAGGGAACCTGGATGTCCCCCTTGCTCTGAGTTCCATACTGGGGCAGCCTTCCTGACATCCAGCTTCCTTGCCTCCCAGGACGAATGGTTTTCTTTGCCCCCCTCAAACCCCGCAGGACTCCAGGTCCCTAAGGTCATGGGCATCAACTGCTCCACACTGCTGTGGGCAAGGGCCATTCAAAGTCTTGCATCTTGCAGATTCAAGGACATTAGGAAACTCTCCCATCAGACAACTTGGGCTGCCGGCAGCTGGGTTCTCAGTCCAGGAACCAAACGTTGTCTTTGACTCTGCTCTGTTCAGCCTGCCTCTAGTGCCTGCCTGTTCTCGGCATTGGTCCACACAACTCCACCCTCGTCCACGCCTCCTCCACACCTCTTTGGATGCAAGCTTCCTGATCTCAAGCCTCTTTTTATTTTAAACTAATAGATTCCCCCCTCCCCCAGAAGATGATGTTTGTTTGTTTTGGAGAGAGAGTCTCCCTCTGTCACCCAGGCTGGAGTGCAGTGGCACAATCTTGGCTCACTGCCACCTCTGCCTCCCGGGTTCAAGTGATTCTCGTGCCTCAGCCTCCTGAGTAGCTGGGATTACAGGCGTGCGCCACCATGCCTGGCTAATTTTTGTATTTTTAAATTAGCGATGGGGTTTTGCCATATTGACCAGGCTGGTCGTGAACTCTTGACCTCAGGTGATCCACCCGCCTTGGCCTCCCTAAGTGCTAGGATTACTGGCGTGAGCCACCATGCCCGGCCGCCCCTTTCTTTTTAGTATTAAATAATCCTCCATTATTTAGGTGTATCACAGTTTATTTATTTATTCAGCTGTTGGAGAACATCTCGGTTGCTTCTGAGTGTTGGCAGTTATGAGTAAAGCTGCTCTCAACATCCGTGTGCAGTTTCTGCGTGGCGGACTTCATTGTTTAGAGCAGTTTTAGGTTTACAGAAAAATGAGCAGAAGGTACAGAGTGCTGTATGTGAGGAGATAGGGGGCGGGGGGCCACTGCTTCCCTGTGGGGCTTCCTGTCTCATGGATTGAGAGTCCTTAAGGAGGCCTGGACGCCATTCTCTGTACCTCTGTTCCTGCTGTGTGAAGAAGGAACCGTGTGACACCGACAGGTGAACCTTCCAGGGTCCCTGGGTCTTAGGGACACAACCAAGGGACAGAAGTGGACCAGAAGTCACTGCCCTGGGCAAGCTCCTGGCCATTAGGCAGCAGTGTCTCCCTGGCACTCTAGCAGGAGGGTGCTCCTGGGTGGGGGTGGGGGGCTCCTGGCAGGGGGGTGCTTCCAGCAAGGAGGTGCTCCCAGCAGGCGGCTGCTCCCAGCAGGCGGGCCCCGAAGCCCAGGTGCCAGGACTGCTGCAAAACTCTCCAGGGCTCTCCGGGGGCATTTGCCAGGCCCCTTATTCAGCCCTCAGAGCCTAGGCGCCCCCTCCTCCAGCTCACAGAGCCTGCACTTCCTGCCGCCCGGTGACAGGTGGCTGACTTGTGTTTATGGACCCAAGACAGACCAGCATGGGGGCTGGGTAGGGAGGCTCCTGCGGCCCCGGATCCGCCTGGGGCTTCCCTAATCCTGGAGACAGCTGGGAAGGAGTGGGGCCCAGGCAGCCTCTGGCGTGTCAACACTGGCGCTGTCGGAGAACAGAGGCAAAGCTGGTAGAGCAGAGGGTGGCTGTGTGTGGTGTGTGTCATGGGGTGCGTGTGTGTCATGGTATGTGTGTGTCTATGGTGTGTGTGTCCTGGTGTGTTTGTGTGTGCCTATGGTGTGTGTGTGTCTGTGGTGTTTGTGTGTATATGGTGTGTGTGTGTCATGGTATGTGTGTGTGTGTCATAGTGTGTGTGCCTGGTTGTGTCATGGTATGTGTGCATCTGTGGTGTGTGTGTGTGTCTATGGTGTGTGTGTAGAGTGTGGTGTGTGCCTACGGGGTTGTGTGTGTGGTGTGTCTATGGTGTGTGTGGTGTGTGTGTCTATGGTGTGTGGTGTGTGTGTGATGTTTATGCAGTGTGCCTATGGTATGTGGTGTGTGATGTATGTATCTGTGGTGTGTGTCTACGGTGTGTATGTAGTGCGTGTGTCTATGGTGTATGTGCCTATGGTTTGTAGTGTGTGGTAGGTATGTGTGTCTATGGTGTGTATGTAGTGTGTGTGTCTTGGTGTCTGGTGTATGTGTGGTGTGACTATGGTGTGTCGTGTGTGGCATGTGTGTCTATGGCATGTGTGTCTGTGTGTCTATGGTGTGTATGTCTATGGTGTGTGTGGTGTGTGTGCTTATGGTGTGTGGTGTGTGTGTCTATGGTGTGTGGTGTGTGGTGTGTGTGCCTATGGTGTGTCGTGTGTGGTGTGTGTGTATATGGTGTGTGGTGTGTGCATGGTGTGCGTGGTTTGTCTATGGTGCGTGTGGTGTGTGTCTATGGTGTGTGGTGTGTGTGTCTATGGTGTGTGTGGTGTGTGTGTCTATGATGTGTAGTGTGTGTGTCTATGGTGTGTGTGGTATGTGTGTCTATGGTGTATGGTGTGTGTGTCTGTGGTGTGTGTTGTGTGTGGTATGGTGTGTGGTGTGTGGTATGTGTGTCTATGGTGTGCGTGGTGTGGGGTCTATGGTGTGTGTGCTTCTCGGCCTCTGACTCCTCCGGGGTGGGAGCAGCAGGCATGGGGTTTGGGATCTCCAAGGGGCTGGGGTCCGTGGGGCGTGCCCCGCTGCAGTCCTGCCTGGTGGGCTGAAGTGGGGCCTCTGGTTGGGGCCGGGGCTGCGGGTAGGGCCGGGCAGGACCGTCTGGCCCGGAGCTGCGCTTTGTCGCGGAAAGCCAAAAGCCGCTTCTGCTTAGCCGGCCGGCGAGGGATTTGGGCCCCGCCCGCACTCGCCGAGGGCTGCGTCCTTACCTTCTGCGCTTGGTCCTCCAACCTCGTCCTGGAGGGGCCTGGGAGCCCTGTCCGCCGGAGCTCTTTCCTCCCGCTCTTCTGACAGGATCGGGTTAAACTCAGATTTCTCTTCTCTGGCTGGAGGGCTCCGTGGAGCTGCAGAATGAGGGCGCTGCCAAGGTGGATTTTGGACCCTGAATGGAAATTCACACCAGGGCTGGAGGCGCCAGCTGGGCCTGGGAGGTGGGAGATGAGGGCGGCCTGACACAACCCGCTGTGACTGTGGCCGGGGTGGTGGGAGGGAAGCCCACAGCGGGGCCAGGCGGGCCACCGAGGAGCAGGGCCACCCCAGCCACGCCCTGAGCCGGTGGGGGGGGGCCCGGCAGCAGTTCTCGCTCCTGGCCTGCACCGAGGTGAGGAATGCCTGGAAGGGTCCCTGGGTGTGCACAGCCTGGACCAGTGGGCTGTGCGCTCTAAGTGGCACTGAGCGTCTCTTTCAGCAGTGGCCACACGAAGCAGGATTGAGATTCGGGGAAGAAGTGGCCGCAGGGGCTGTGGGCCTCCGCAGGGAAGGGTCTCTGACGAGCTTGCCCTGGGCTCATGGGGAACTGTGGCTTCATGCTGGGACTGCGGGGCGGAAGGAGGGCATGGAGGGCTGTGGCTGCCCGGGTACTGTCCCATGGTAGCCTCCGAGCAGCTGTCGCTGGAGCCCGTTCGCAATACCCCTGGAGGGCCGCCTGCCCATAAAGGGGAGGGGAGCAGCTGGGCTTGATCTTTGGAAGGGACATCTGGTGAATTTCTGAAAACGTATTTTATTGCAGGTGCTTTCAGCAGGGTGGAGGGGGTGGCCTGGGGAGGAAGTTAAAATGACCCCGCCTGTCCCATTTCGCGGTAAATCTTGCCTGTGATGAGCCATTACTCTCACCAGAGCGTGTGATAGTATGAGAACCGTGGATCTCACACACGTGTTTGTCACATGTGCAGCGTTGCGGCAGCTGAGAGGGTGTGGACCATGAGGTGGGCCAAACCACATAGGCCTCCGGGTCACGGCCAAGGCACCTCTTAAAATTGTCCATAAAGTTTTATATAATAAATGTCCCCGGCCAGTCATGGTGGCTCACGCCTGTAATCCCAGCACTTTGGGAGGTTGAGGCGGGCGGATCACCTGAGGTCAGGAGTTTGACACCAGCCTGGCCAACATGGCAAAACCGTCTCTACTAAAAATACAAAAATTAGCCAGGTGTAATGGCAGGTGCCTGTAATCCTAGCTACATGGGAGGCTGAGGCAGGAGAATTGCTTGAACCTGGGAGGCGGAGGTTGCAGTGAGCCAAGATTGTGCCATTTCACTCCAGCCTGGGCGACAGTGTGAGACTCCACCTCAAAAAAATAAAAACAGGGCCGGACGTGGTGGCTCACGCCTGTAATCCCAGCACTTTTGGAGGCCAAGGCAGGTGGATCACCTGAGGGCAGGAGTTCGAGACCAGCCTGGCCAACGTGGTGAACTCTGGTGTCTACTAAAAAAATACAAAAATTAGCCAGGCGTGGTGGTGGGCACCTGTAATCCCAGCTACTCGGGAGTCTGAGGCAGGAGAATCACTTGAACCTGGCAGGAAGAGGTTGCAGTGAGCCAAGATAGCACCACTGCACTCCACTAGCCTGGGCAACAAGAGAGAAACTCTGTCTCTAAATAAATAAATAAATAAAAATAAACGTCCCAGCTTTATTAATTTATCATAGATTTCAGTGTTTTTGTCAGATAACTGAGTAAGCAATAAAAACAGGGCCTAGCAATAAAAACAACATAAACACTCAATGAACTGCTCGATACTTTAGTTAACATGTGAGTCCCTTTCAGGTAAATATATGCTTTGAATTAGGCTTTTGAAACATTAAAAGTAGTTCATTGAACATAGAAGAAAATATAGACCAATGTTTAACGATCTTTAGCTTGGAAAGGATTATATTAAGTATAAAAGTAATAAAGGAAGTTACTAAGAAAAAGTTACCATCAATTTACATAAAAGTTTTAAACCTCCGTATGTCAAAATAGGTAATATAAATAAAAGGCAAACAACAAATTAGGAGAAATACATGTGTGTCATGGTATGTGTTTGTGTGTGTCATGGTGTGTGTCATGGTGTGTGTTTGTGTGTCATGGTGTGTGTGTGTCATAGTGTGTGTGCCTGGGTGTGTCATGGTATGTGTGCATCTGTGGTGGATGTGTGTGTCTATGGTGTGTGTGTAGAGTGTGGTGTGTGCCTATGGGGTTGTGTGTGTGATGTGTCTATGGTGTGTGCAGTGTGTGTGTCTGTGGTGTGTGGTGTGTGTGTCTGTGATGTTTATGCAGTGTGCCTATGGTGTGTGCCTATGGTATGTGGTGCGTGATGTATGTATCTATGGTGTGTGTCTATGGTGTGTATGTAGTGATCTTTACTATATAAAGAGTTCTTACATATCAATGAAAATTCCATCTCAGCTTAATCTCTGTATTAAAAATAATAAGAATTCCACCACGCCAGCAGAAAAATTGTCAAAGCACACCAACAGATAATTCACAAGTGAACACAAATGTCTAATAAATATAGGATAATCTGTCACCCAGGGTGGGGTGCAGTGGTGCAATCATGGCTCAATGCAGCCTCGACGTCCTGGGCTCAAGTGATCCACCTTAGCCTCCCGAGTAGCTGGGATTACAGGCACACACCACCACCCCCAGCTAATTTTTTAGAAGTGGGATCTTGTTATGTTGCCCAGGCTGGTTTGTTTGTTTGTTTTTGTTTTTTGAGATGGAGTTTCACTCTTGTTTCCAGGCTGGAGTGCAATGGCACGATCTCGGCTCACTGCAACCTCCACCACCTGAGTTCAAGCGATTCT
Source organism: Homo sapiens (assembly GCF_000001405.40). Lineage (NCBI taxonomy): Eukaryota > Metazoa > Chordata > Mammalia > Primates > Hominidae > Homo > Homo sapiens. Next base: position 80,021,160 of record NC_000017.11, on the reverse strand, counting down.
CATGCTTCAGCCTCCCGAGTAGCTGGGATTACAGGCATGCACCACCATGCCTGTCTAATTTTGTATTTTTAGTAGACACGGGGTTTCTCCATGTTGGTCAGGCTGGTGTCGAACTCCCGACCTCAGGTGATCCACCCGCCTTGGCCTCCCAAAGTGCTGGGATTACAGGCGTGAGCCACCGTGCCCGGCCCTGCCCAGGCTGGTTTTGAGCTCCTGGGCTTGAGCAATCCTCCCACGTCAGCCTCCCAAATTGTTGGAATTACAAGTGTGAACCACTGTGCCCAGTCAGAAAACCATTTTTCAGTTCCCAGCCTGGTGGAGATTTAAATCCCTGGCAGCACTCTTACATTTCGGGGAACCCACTGGGCAATACGAGTTGGGGTCCAGTTTATCCTCCTGGGGAAACAGTAATCCTGGAAATAATGAGGATACAGATGAAGATTTATGTATTAAAATGTGGAGTTTATTATTTCAGTAGCCACTAGTTGGAAGCCAGATGCCTAGCAATGGCGGCTGATTCTATGAAGATGGAGGGTTGGCATTTATAATTTTTATTTTTATTTATTTATTTGTTTTGAGATGGAGTCTCGCTCTGTCTCCCAGGCTGGAGTGCAGTGGCGCCATCTCAGCTCACTGCAACCTCCACCTCCTGAGTACAAGCAGTTCTCCTGCCTCAGCCTCCTGAGTAGCTGGGACTACAGGCACCCGCCCCTACGCTTGGCTAATTTTTGTATTTTTTAGTAGAGACAGGATTTCACCATGTTGGCCAGGCTGGTCTTGAACTCCTGATCTCAGGTGATCCGCCCGCCTCAGTCTTCCAAAGTGCTGGGATTACAGGCGTGAGCCACCACACCTGGCCTTATACTTTTTAAATGTGTTAATAATGTGGTATATTTGTTTGCTAGGGCTGCCCTAACAAAGTACCAGGGTCCAGGTGGCTTGAGCAATAGAAATCTCTCTGACAGCCCTGGAGGCAGGAAGTCTAAGATCAAGGTGTCGGCAGGATTGTTTCCTTAGGAGGCTGTGAGGGAGGGGCTGCTCCAGGCCTGCTCCTTGCTGGTAGGTGGCATCATTGTATTCACACAGCACTCTCCTTGTATATAGGCACCTGCTACCAACTTCCTCTTTTTATAAAGACACCAGTCATATTGACCTCAAGGTAACTTGATCACCTCTATAAAGATGCTGTCTTCAAAAACAGTTTCATTCTTGGGTACTGGGGTTTAAGACTTCAACACAGGAATTTTAGGGGATGTACTTCAACCCTAAAGTTTGTTATATCATAAGTATACTTCACCTGGGAAAATATATTTATGATCCAACTGAAAGCAAGATATGATATAATTCCAAGGAGTGGGTTTTTCATTAACTCATTCATTATAGGGCACAAAATATAGTAGAGAATACATAAATGTCTTAGGATTATGTGATTTAAGGGACACGTATTCTTCCTTTTCCTTCTCTGAGTGTGTTTCATAACTAAAAAAAAGTTTTAAAAAATGGGCCAAGGATTCTCCACTTCTAGTTTGCTGGTGACCAGAGGTTGGGAACTAGGTTGGATTTCGATGAAATAGCCTCTTGCGAAACAGCAAATGCACTTTACAAATAAGGAGAATTGTTTTTAGAGAGCAAACAGTCCTGTCTAATGTTTAATAGACATGCTCCATTTCTCCAAAAAGAGCCCAGTCTCTCCAGAACAATCTGGGAGGGGCGGGGGGGGGTTGTCCTGGTGTCCCAGGTGGCGGGTGATGGAGGAGCCGGAGTTCTGCACGTGGGGGACGAAGGTCTCACGCTGCAGGGTTTCCCGCTCACGAAATGACCCTGAGTGGTCAGAACCTGTCTTCTCCTCCGTAAAGCTGCACTGTTGGGACGCACCTCGCAGAGCCACAGTGAGGTTCTGCCTGTCATGGTATGGGAGAAAATGCTGTATTTTGAACACTTGTATTTCGGAATCTCCTTTAAAGCTTCCAGCACATTCTTTTGATTATCCTCAGTGCTGGCAAAACATTTTCACTTAAAGAGGGTTTTGATTTGGGGAAGCAGCTGAGAGCTGTGTGCAGCCAGCTCTGGCAACTGGAGCGATCACACTGAGTAGAGCCATTTGAAACACAGAAGGAGGTGGGCTCCAGCCCCGCTGCGGCCTTGTCCAGTGTGGACACCGCGCAGGCTACAGAGCACCCAAAACGTGGCTGAGCAGAACTTTGACGTGCTTAAGTGCAAAATGCACAGCAGACTTTGGAGACTTTAAGGACATAAAATAGGCCAGGTGCGGTGGCTCCCGCCTGTAATCCTAACACTTTGGAAGGCTGAGGCAGGAGGATCACTTGAGGCCAGAAGTTCAAGACCAGCCTGGGCAAAAAAGTGAAACCTCATCTCTACAAAAAATAAAAAAATTAGCGGGACCTGGTGGCATGTGCCTTTAGTCCAGGCTATTTGGGAGACTGGGCAGGAGGATTCCTTGAGCCCAGGAGTTTCAGAATACAGTGAGCTGTGATCACACCACTGCACTCTAGCCTGGGTGACAACCTGTCTCTAAAAAAAAAAAAAGAATGTAAAAGATTTCATTAATAATTTTTTCAGGCTGGGCACGGTGGCTCACGCCTGTAATCCCAGCACTTTGGGAGGCCGAGGCAGGCGGATCACGAGGTCAGGAGATCGAGACCATCCTGGCTAACATGGTGAAACCCCATCTCTACTAAAAATACAAAAAAATTAGCCGGGCATGGTGGCGGGCGCCTGTAGTCCCAGCTACTCGGGAGGCTGAAGCAGGAGAATGGCGTGAACCTGGGAGGCGGAGCTTGCAGTGAGCCGAGATTGCACCGTTGCACTCCAGCCTGGGCTACAGAGTGAGACTCCGTCTCAAAAAATAAAAAAAAAATAAAGAAATAATGTTTTCATATTGACTATATGCTGAAATAATAATATTTTGGATATATTATGCTAAAAATTATTAAAATTAATTTCACTTTTTTTTTTTTTTTTGCTTACCAGAAAATTTAAAATTGTATCTATGTCTCCTGCAGTGTTTCTGTTGGACATGGCTGGTCTAGAGGACGGCGAGCAATTTTCTTGCAGGGCTTATTAACTGACCTTGCAATTCTTGAAGAATTCTTGAATTCTTAAACTATTCTGGATAACATTAGAACAGAACATAGCTTTTCCATGTGATTATTGGGAAGGACAATATGTTTTTTGATTTGTAGTTTGCAGTGTGATTTTTTTAATTAAGTTTCGTCACTTGGTTGTCATATGCCCCTGTGTGGGATGAAGTGTTTAGGCCAAGAGTGGCCAGAAGGCTTCCTGGAGAGGTTGGCAGAGAGCTGGTTTGGATAGGTGGAGAAGAATCCCCTGGATTTGGTCAGATGGTCTATGCCAGGGCACTGCCATCTGCAACCCACAGGCCAAAGCCAGCCTTCCACCTGTTTTGTACAGCCTGTGAGCTAAGGATGGTTTTTACTTTTTTTTTTTTTTTTTTTTTTTGAGATGGAGTCTTGCTCTGTCGCCCAGGCTGGAGTGCAATGGAGCGATCTAGGCTCACCACAACCTCTGCCCCCTGGGTTCAAGCGATTCTCCCGCTTGAGCCTCCCGAGTAGCTGGGATCACAGGCATGCACCATCACGCCCGGCTAATTTTGTATTTTTAGTAGAGATGGAATTTCTCCATGTTGGTCAGGCTGGTGTCGAGCTCCCGACCTCAGGTGATCCGCCCACCTAGGCCTCCCAAAGTACCAAGATTACAGGCGTGAGCCACCGCGCCTGGCCGGTTTTTACGTTTTTTAAGGGGGTTGAAAAATGGAAAGAATTCTTTTTGAGACACGTGAAAAATGATCTAGAATTTAAGCTTGAGTGTCTGTCAGTAAAGCTTCACTGTCACAGTCATGCCCATCATTTACTGTCTGTGGCTGCTCCTGCACTCCAAGGGCCGAGTTGAGTGGTCACGACAGAGACTCTCCGGCCCAGAGAGTCCAAAGCATTTACTCTCTGGCCTTTTGCAGAACAAGTTTGCTGACCCCTGCACCAAGGGGTCGACTTTCTTCTGCAGCCTTCATTGGACATGTTGAGGGAGCCTAAAAAGGGGTGGGCTAGGGAGAGCTGAGTGGATGAGGGCCCTGGAGACGGTTGAGATCAGGCAGAGGGCGTCTGTGGCTCAAGGCTGAGGAGGTGAGGATCTGAGCTGGGTCCCCACCCCCAGAACTGGTGATTTTCACAAGTGATGTTGACGTCGGGATCTCTGAGATGGGGAGATGGGGGTGATGGATCTGTCAGAGGAAAGACATGGGAATGGGAAGGCCACTCCTGGGCTGGCTGGAACATCTTTGGAATATTGTGCTTGGGAAGTCAGCAGCCATGGAGACAATTGGAAATACACAAACAGGGCTGGGGGAGGCTGAAGCATGGAGGGGGTCAGAGGAGAGGAACCCAGAGAGGCAGAGAGCGCTGAGCCGCCTGGTCCTGGGATGGTGGCCATCACCACTGACATCTGCCCCCTGCCTCCTGCCAGGCTGGGAGCCAGTTCTGCTGAGCCAGTGGGGACCCCTCCACCCACCCACCCACCCTCTGTCCCAGAGCCTAGCCAAGTGCTGGAGGTGAAAGGGACTTGATTTAGGGACCACCCTCAACCAGCTCTGGATCTTTGGAGAAATGTAAAAAATGCAGAAAGTTCAAAGAACAAGATCATATACCCGGAGACCCTCCACTAATAGATAATTTTTAACTTTTTTATTGTGGTAAAATACATATAACATAAAACTTACCACTTTAACCATTTTTAAGTATCAGGTTCAGCGGCATTGAGTACGATCATGTTGTAGAGCCGCCGCCACTGTCCACCTCCAGGACGCTTTCATCCTCCCAAGCTGAAGCTCTGTCCCCCTTAAACATGACCTCCCTATTCCCCCCACCTCACCCCCTGGCACCCACCATTCCACTTCCTGTCTCTGTGAACCTAACTGCTCTAGGGACCTCACACGAGTAGAATCCTACAGTGCTTGTCTCTTGTGACTGATTTGTTTCACTTAGCGCAATGTTTTCGGGGTTCATCCATGCTGTAGCAGGCGTCAGACTTTCTTTTCAAGGCCAAATAATATTCCATTATACTACATTTGGTTTATCCACTCCCAGTTACTAATTCTTTTTTTTTTTTTTTTTTTTGAGATGGAGTCTCGCTCTGTCACCCAGGCTGGAGTGCAGTGGCGTGATCTCGGCTCACTGAAACCTCCACCTCCTGGATTTAAGCGATTCTCCTGCTTCAGCCTCCCATGTAGCTGGGACTACAGGCACATGCCACCACACCTGGCTAATTTTTGTATTTTTAGTAGAGGCGGGGTTTTGCTATGTTGACCAGGCTGATCTCGAACTCCTGACCTCAGGTGATCCGCCCATCTCGGCCTCCCAAAGTGCTGGGATTACAGGTGTGAGCCACCGCTCCCAGTCAGAATTTCCTTTCTTTTAAGGCCAAATAATATTCCACTGTACCACATTTGGTTTATTCACTCCCAGTTGCTAATTCTTATCATGTTGGCTTCAAGTCTTTTCTTCCTTCAAAGAGGTGAAGGTGAAGCCCCTCTGTGGCTGTCGTCTCCCAGCCCCCTGACCTCTGCAGACTTTTGTGAAGCCGGCCTGCACGCAGCCCAGCTGTGGTCAGAGTCCTGGACATCCCCCATCAGTGATCAGGATGCAGCGTGGCTCTGTGCCTGTCTTTTATTTTTTTTATTTATTTTATTTTTTTGAGACGGAGTCTCACTCTGTCGCCCAGGCTGGAGTGCAGTGACTCAATCCCAGCTCACTGCAACCTCCACCTCCCGGGTTCAAGCAATTCTCCTGCCTCACCCTCCCGAGTAGCTGGGATTATAGGCTCGTGCCACCACACCCGGCTAACTTTTTTTTCTATTTTTAGTCAAGACGGGGTTTTGCCATGTTGGCCAGGCTGGTCTCGAACTCCTGACCTCAGGTGATCCACCTGCCTCGGCCCCCCAAAGTGCTTGGATTACAGGCATGAGTCATTGTGCCCAGCTGTGCCTGCCTCTTCACTGACACGGTCGTTCCTTGGCGTGGCTTGGTGTGTGTGTTTGTGAGCTCCATGTGTGTATAGAAGTCTAGTTGGTTCTCATCTGCTATCTAGAGGTTTGGTGGTTTCATTTTTGTTGGTAGAAACTGGCTGCAAAGCATTTGATTAGGTGTTTCCTTGGGTTCCTCCAGGCAGAGTCATCACATGTTTCAGGTCACAGCGCATTATATATACATTTCATACGTCCCAGGTCGTCTTACCCACATGAATGTGTCCTCACGGGGCAGAAGTTCTCTGACCCAGTGCTGAGCCTACCTATGGCCAGGGTTCAAGGGCATTTTCTATTTTTTTTTTCTTTTTTTCTTCTTATGCTGGTGTTGACCCACTAAATTGATTTCAGGATCTATGATAGGGCTGCAAATTGCAGTTTGAAGAACCACCCTCAGGTATTTCCTAAGGGAGGAATTTCAGGGGGCTTTGGGCCTTCTCAGTGGTGCCAGATTCTGCCATGTTGCTCCCGCATTGGAGGAGACAGGACTGGTGACAGCTCCCCTTTCCCTCATCCTCAGTATTTTTTGACTTAAAATTGCTTTTTGCTGGTTTGTTGGGTGTTGAATTTTTGTTTGGAACTGAGAATCTCTTTACATATTTATCAGTTCTTTGGTTTTCCTCTTGTGTGGAGCACCCATTTTTTTCTGTTGAGATGTTGCTCCTTTTCACCATGAATTTATAGGAGTTCTTTATATATTCTGTATACTAATCCTTTAGTTTATAAATTTTCCTTCTTTCTTTTTTTTTGAGACAGAGTCTCGCTCTGTTGCCCAGGCTGGAGTGCAGTGATGTGATCTCAGCTCACTGCACCCTCCGCCTCTTGGGTTCAAGCGATTCACCTGCCTTAGCCTCCCGAGTAGCTGGGACTGTAGGCGCCCGCCACCGCACCTGGCTCATTTTTGTATTTTTGGTAGAGATGATGTTTCACCATGTTGGCCAGGCTGGTCTCGAACCCCTTACCTCAAGTGATCTGTCTGCCTCAGCCTCCCAGAGTACTGGGATTACAGGCGTGAGCCAGTGCGCCTTGCCTGTTTATTTCTTTTTAATGAATTAGAAGGGCTCATTTGTGCTGATGCAGGTGGGAAACTGAGAAAAGAAAACGTTTTTTTTTGTGAAAAAAACGTTTTTGTGGAGGTTTTTGTGAAATTGCTAAGGTGGGAACAGAGTTTCTGTAGCTTAGTGGTTCTCCTTGGGAGGGATTTTGCCCTCCAGGGCACATTTGGCAAAGCCTGGAGATGTTCTAGTTTTCGTACTGGGAAGGGAGGTGCTGGTGGCATCCACAGGTTGAGGCGAGGGACGCTGCTCAGCCTCCTGCGATGGACAGGGTGGCCTGGCCAAGATGGAGAACGTGGCCTACCCTGTACAGAGCTGTTCACCAGCAGGACACGCTCCTGTGGTTAACCAGAACCCACCGGGTGCCGAGGCGACACGTACTGCTGTGAGACAGAACGCAAGTCCACAACCTTGACCATCTCCTCTCTCTTCCTCCCCCAGGCAGGTCTTGACGAGCCCTGCCCGGGCCGACGCATGCGGAGGATGGAAACACTTGCCCGGCAATGTCTCTGGGCCGCCTCCTTCGCAGGGCCTCCTCCAAAGCCTCGGACCTCCTGACCCTCACCCCCGGTGGCAGCGGCAGCGGGTCCCCCTCTGTCCTGGATGGAGAGATCATCTACTCCAAGAACAATGTCTGCGTGCACCCGCCGGAGGGGCTGCAGGGGCTGGGGGAGCACCACCCAGGTGAGCCAGGGCAGGCGAGGCTCCAGGGTCGCACAGCCCAGGTTATTTTCCGAGCCAGGGCTCTAAAGGCCCTGGGCCACAGCACGTGAGAGTGCATTTGGTTCCTCTTCCAGAACGTGTAACTAACAGCAGCTGTCCTCCCGGAAGGAGGGTCTGGGGGGTGTTAAGTCTGGCTCATGGCAGGCTGGGTGAGTCCCTCAGCCCTGCTGCTTCCAAAGGGAGGGACAAAAGATGGGTTAGTGATCCCTCAGGCCTGCCTGGCCCCTTGTCATTCGTGTGAATGACTTGCAACAAATAAATGCATTGCTTTGTTCATCTGTTGCTTTATTTAATTTGCACAACAACCTCATGGGAGTGGCCAGGGCCCCAGCAGGCCTCTTAGGTGGGTAAGGACGCTGGTGTTCAGAGAGGCTGAGCGACTCTCGGCTGCACAGTGCCAGTGTGTGGTGGAGGTGGGGCTGCAGGGCAGTCTCTGGACTCTCTCTTCTCATTTCTTCCTGTTGCCGTCCCCTTCCCTGGCTGCTAAAAGGATGTTTCAGGGCCCCAGTGTCCTGCAGCCTGGCTGTGGCCTGCCCCGGCACACCCTAACATTTGCTTGGCTTGGGCAAGAGTACAGACAGAAGTCCCAGACAAGATGGCAAAATAGTAAAGTTGTCATCTGGGCGAGGTGGTTCACACCTATAATCCCAGCACTTTGGGAGGCTGAGGTGGGAGGATTGCTTGAACCCAGGAGTTTGAGACCAGCCTGGGCAACAGAGTTAGATTTCATCTCTATTAAAAAAAAAAAAGTTATAAATTACAGTGAGATCTGGGCACTTTATGCAGATTATGTTTCAATCGAATACTGAATAAATAAATTTTTAAACAAGACAAAAGTTTAAATTATGCCAATGAAACATTTAAAGAGAGTGTTCTGTCCCCCTGCCTTGATAAGTGTATCTTTATAGCCACCGGCTGGTTGGCTGCGGCTGTGTGGGCAGGGGCTTCCCTGGAGTGCCCTAGAAAGGGGTGCAGGTTCTGGGCGATGCGGCCCCTCGACCCGGAGGTTGCCTGGCCTGAGGGTGTTCTAGAGAGAGAGACCAGGGAGTAGCCACCTCGGACCCTCTTGCCGATCTCAAAGGATGTGGAAACACTTCTCAGCCTCAGGCTCATGTTATCCTAATGCCCAGCTGGCTGACATTCCCCAAATTTCCCAGCCTGTTTTGGCAACAGGAGCAGTGCTTAGGAGATTCTAGGGGTCTGAGTTGTAGAGGCCTGGAGAGTGGGTGGGGGAGGCCCAGGAATCAGGATATCCTGAAACTGCGTGGTGCTGGGTTAGGAAATGCCACCTCCCCCCAGAACTGAGCACCCACCCACTTGCTCTGGCCCAGGAGAAATCCCTCCTCCCATGTCACCAGCAACCCCGTGTGTGACATCAATGCTCATCTGCAAAGGTGGCCCCTTCCTCAAACAATCTGCATTAAAAAAATGCCATGAGTGCCACTGATGATTGGAAAAGGCCCAAATACCACCCAGCTTGGATGAATTTTTTTTTTTTTTTTGAGACGGAGTCTCGCTCTGTCATCCAGGCTGGAGTGCAGTGGTGCAATCTCGGCTCACTGCAAGCTCCGTCTCCTGGGTTCACGCCATTCTCCTGCCTCAGCCTCCCAAGTAGCTGGGACTACAGGCGCCCACCATCACGCCCGGCTAATTTTTTGTACATTTAGTAGAGACAGGGTTTCACCATGTTAGCCACGATGGTCTCGATCTCCTGACCTCGTGATCCACCCGCCTTGGCCTCCCAAAGTGCTGGGATTACAGGCGTGAGCCATCACGCCTGGCTGTATGAATTCTTTTTGTGAAACAGAATGAAGTCTCCAGCCTCCATCCCTCCTAACAGTGCTGTAAAGCCATGAAGCTGGGCACCTGGGCCGCTGGGCTCACACAGACAGGGAGGCTGCAGGCAGGTGAGCCCTGGGGCCAGGGTCAGGGCTCTGAACACAGGGAGAGCCCCTGGTGTACTTGGAAAGGTGCATGGCAAGCCTGAGTTCGTGGCTCATCGCCTGTAATCCTAGCACTTTGGGAGGCTGAGGTGGGCGGTTCGCTTGAGCTCAGGCGTTTGAGACTAGCCTGGGCAACATAGTGAAACCTTATTTCTACCAAAAAAAAAAAAAAAAAAATTAGCTGGGTGTGGTGGTGTGCACCTGTAGTCCCAGCTACTCGGGAGCTGAGGTGGGAGGATTGCTTGAGCCTAGGAGGTGGGGGTTGCAGTAAGCTGAGATTGTGCCACTGCACTCCAGCTTGAGACACAGAGCGAGACCCTGTCTCAAAGAAAAAAGAAACAAACCCAAAAACCAAAAAGAAAGGCGCATGGCAGGCCGGTGCTTGGGGACCAGTGCCCCCTGGATCTGCCGGAAGTGTGTGTTCTTAAAAAACACGCATAGCTGGAATTCATTTCAAGCTCCACAGTTTCCCTCTAGTGTTTTTGCTCAGGGCCAGGCTGTATCTGAGGCCGGACTGGCACTTTACTAAAGGGCAGTGGCCTCTCCGAGCAGCTCGCCAAAGGTACCACAAGGGCCTCATCCACAGCCTCCTGGCCTCTAACGTGCCATCCCCCTGGCTCCTCACAGGTTACCTGTGCTTGTACATGGAGAAGGATGAGATGCTGGGAGCCACCCTCATCCTGGCATGGGTCCCCAACTCTCGCATCCAGAGGCAGGACGAGGAGGCCCTGCGCTACATCACACCCGAGAGCTCCCCCGTTCGCAAGGCACCCCGCCCTCGGGGCCGGCGCACCCGGAGCTCAGGAGCCTCCCACCAGCCCTCCCCGACGGAGCTGCGGCCTACCCTGACCCCCAAAGATGAGGACATCCTGGTGGTGGCCCAGAGTGTTCCAGACCGCATGCTCGCCAGCCCTGCGCCAGAGGATGAGGAGAAGCTGGCGCAGGGCTTGGGGGTGGATGGTGCCCAGCCAGCCTCGCAGCCTGCTTGCAGCCCCTCCGGGATCTTGTCGACGGTCAGTCCGCAGGATGTCACCGAGGAGGGGCGGGAGCCGCGGCCCGAGGCCGGGGAGGAGGATGGCTCTTTGGAACTGTCAGCCGAGGGCGTGAGCAGAGACAGCTCCTTTGACTCAGACTCAGACACCTTCTCCTCGCCCTTCTGCCTCTCGCCCATCAGCGCGGCGCTGGCCGAGAGCCGCGGCTCCGTGTTTCTGGAAAGTGACAGCAGGTGAGTTCCTGGTTCTGGGCGTGGGCTCTCGGGAGGCCCCCAAGGCCTGACCTGGGCAGGAAGCACTCACCTGCGTCACCTGTGATGCCAGGTGAGCGCTGGAGGCATCTGCCCGACCTGCCCGCGGCTGTGGCCGTGGCTGTGGCAGGAGCCCCTCCCTGAGGCAAGGGCTTCAGCAGGGAGTCCCCACTTTACACCCCACTGAGAGGACTGTGAAGGGTGCGTCGGGGTGTCCACATTCTTCTCTCTCCTTGAGACTCACTAGGACTAAACAGGCCCTACCAGGTCTGATGGGCCCATGACCAAGGCTAAGCCCCCGGGAGTCCTGGTCCCTTCTGTTCCCATCACCGGAGGGGCAGGAGATTTTCAGTCCCCAAGCGAGTGCCCAAGAGGCCCGGGTGGCATCATTAGGCTCACGCACAGGGCTGGCCCAAGCCCAGATGTGCTGGTCTCCAGCTCCCCGCTCTGCCCTGCAGCCCACTGGGCACGTGACCTGGCCCCCTGTGGTCCCCGGAGGCTTCAGCCTCCCTCTTTCTCATAGCTGTGGAGGATGGATGTAGTCCCGGGGCAGTGTTGACCATATTCACCCGACTTGGCAGCCGCTATGCACCCTGGGGAGTCCAGCCAGAGTATCTGGACTCCTTGCTGGCCACACTTGCAGGAGCTAGAGTTGGGCCCGTGCCCTGCGGTGGGTTCCCTGGGCCTTGGAACCCAAAGAGACCTTCCTGAGTGGGGAGGGTTGCATGGTGCCACGAGGGCCCTCATGGCCTTGGGGTGAGTGCCCGTGTGGTCGCATAAGCCCGGAGCCCCAGAGCCAGCACAGGGGGCCTGCATCCGACTTCCACAGCCCCTTCCTATGCCCCGGCTGTGGTCCTTACGCTCATTAGATTTCTGGGCAAATAATGGTGGTGACCACAGACAACAGTAAGAGCCGACATCAGTCAGCGAGCAGGTCATTAACTGTTGAGCTCGTGGTGTGAGCCGGGCGCATGCTGGACGTGGGTGGTCTGGGTCTCGCCTGGGCGCTGGACACCGTGGGCTATGGATGGTACGTGTGTGCTTTCCACAGCCCCACGCCCCGTGAGGTGGGCCCTCCTATTATCCCCTGCTATCGAAGGGGAAAGGGCGGCTCGGAGAAGGTCAGCAGCTTGCCAGGGGTCTCCCAGCCAGTGCCCGGGCCAAGCTGGGATGTGAACCCAGCTGGGTCTGCCCCAGGGCTGCAGCATAAAAGGTCACCCCAGGCCGATTAAGCCGGGGAGTGGTGGGGCATGAAGTAAGGACACAGGCTTTGCTGGCCTCAGCAGGGGTGACTGTGGGACGGGTTCTTCCCTGATTTTATCCCTCCAGTAAAGATGCAGTCCATTAGAGCCCCAGGGTGAACCGATAACATTCATCTCAGTTATTGGAGAGTGCAGATAAAAGGAAGCCGTGAGCCGTAACTGAGGACTCCAGGTGCCAGGAGGCTTGCTGAGCTGGGTGGCGTCAGGCGCCAGGGAACCCGAGGAGGTGTGGGGGAGGCGGGGCCCGAACTCTGGTCCTGGCCTGGGTCCCGCAGGCCGGACTCAGTCGGAGCTCCCCCTGGTGGTGCCAGGCCAACAGTGCAGCAGAACCTGCAGGCGTCCCCGTGTCCCTGCATCCCCAGGGCCCAGGCGAGGGGAAGGTCCCAGTTGTGTCTCAGAGAGGTGGTGGGGTTGGCCCACGGTCTTGGGGCTGAGGATTCTGTGGCAGAACCACAACCAGAAGCTGGCCGGTCAGCTCTCTGTCCCGCAGCCCCATCTCGTAGGGAGCTCAAGTTTAGGAGTTAGGGAGTTGAGTGCCGGTTGAGTCCTGGCATCACTGGTTAGTGTGAACCTGGGAAATTCTTTCTTTTCTTGGAGCCTCGGTTTCCCTGTTTGTAAGATGAGGCTGGTAATATCCACTTTCTGGGGGTATTGTGAGAATGCACCCCGGTTCGCTTTTCCCCGCCCTTCGCCTTGCTGGTTCTTCAACCTGGCTGCATGTGGGGGTTCCTGGGGGAGCCTTTAGACGCTGATGCCCAGGTCCCTCCAGGTTCTTCTAGAGCAGTGATTCTCACCCGGGGCCGAGTCTGTGCCCAGGGGGTGTATGGCAATGCCAGGAGACACTTTTTTTTTTTTTTTATCACAACTGAGGGTGGGGATGTATTGGCATCAGTGGGCAGCGGACAGGCGTGCTGTGCACTCACTCTGGAAGCCAGGCTGTCCCTCTGCCTGGGACCCACCGGGGGCCGCCCATCATTTTCAGGATGAAGCACCATCTCCTTCACTCGGGGTCCAAGGCCCATCACCATCTGGCCCTGCTGAGCGATGCTGCCTGCCTCCCCACCCCCCACTGTGCACACCTCCAAGTTCGTCGTCCTCTCTGCCTCTAGATCTTGTGGGGCTCTCTCTGCCTCATGCCTTTGGCTAGGGATCCCCTCTACCTAGGCTTCCTCCTTCCCCTCTCTCCTAACCGGCCAGCTTATATGTTTGAGACTCAGCTCCTGGGGCGAGGCACCTTCATGTCAGCTTTTGGGGGAGGCTTCTCTATTCCCCCGAACCCTGGGCTGAGGAGGGCCCTCCCCATGGCCCCCTTCTCTGCTCTGACACTCGAGTCCCCACTGAGACACCCTGTCCGCCTGTCCGTCCCCAGCTGCTGGGAGGCAGATGGTGGTGAAGGAGTAAATTTTGGGGTCCGACAGATCTGTTTCCAGTCCTGGCATCATCCTGAGTTATGTGTGATCTTGTGGCCATTACCTCCCACATCCAAAACGCAGATGCCTCACGGGTGTGAAGTGCGGCCAAGAACCCCCTTGTAGGGCAGAGTCGGCGTGAGGGTTGAGCACCAGCCTGGGGTATGGGGTCAGCGAGCCTGGCCTGGGACTCGTCCCCACCCGGAGACCGTGCTGGGGGGTGCTTACCACAGCCCGGCCCTGCTCCTGATGAAGGCTCAGAAAATGCCTCTTGGCCACATGGCCGCGGGCTCGGTGTGGCTCGCACCTCAGGCCTGTGTCAGCCCGGTCCAGGGGAGGCTCGCTGAACGTGGCGAGTTGCAGCTTTGTGCTGGGACGAGGTGGATGTGGATGGGACTCTCCCCACCCCGCCAGAAGCGTGTGCTTCAGTGCAAGGCTGGAGTGAAAACAGCCTGTCTCCAAGACAGACTGCTGAGAGCTTTCTTTTTATTTTTAAAAAGTAGATATGGAGGCCGGGCACTGTGACTCACGCCTGTAATCCCAGCACTTTGGGAGGCCAAGGTGGGTGGATTGCTTGAGCCTAGGAGTTCAAGACCAGCCTGGGGAAAATGGCAAAACCTCATCTCTATAAAAAATACATAAAAATTAGCTGGGCATAGTGGTGCATGCCTATGGTCCCAGCTACTCAGGAGGCTGAGGCAGGAGGATGGCTTAAGCCTGGGAGGTGAAGGCTGCAGTGAGCTGTGATCATGCCACTGCACTCCAGCCTGGGTGACAGAGAGATACTCTGTCTGGAAAAAAAAAAAGAAAGAAAGAAAAAGAAAAGCAGACATGGATTCTGAAAGGGGCTGGGCGAGCCCTGGAATCTGCATTTCCCTGGTCTTTCCTTGCTCCTGTGCGCTTCTGGCCCCCACCACATGGTAGACCCAGGAAGCAGAGGTGGTGCTCCTTGCCCCATCCCCATCCCCCGGGGCCTTCGTATGATGGGACTGGAGATCCTTGGCTAAGGTGGTTAATTGTCCTAGACGCTGTAGAGCAGGCGTCCCCAGCCCGGCTGCCCATGAGAATGCCCTGGGCAGCTTTAAAAATCCTGATGCCCAGGCTGCACCCAGACCAATTAAACTAGGATCGCTGGGGTGGCGCCCAGGCATGGGAATGTTTTGAACTTCCTGGGGGTTTCTGAAGTGCACGTAGCGTTGAGAACCCCTGCTGTGAAGGGGCTGAGAGAGAGAGAGAGAGAGAGAAAGAAAGAGAGAAAGAGAGCGAGAGAGCGAGAGAGAGCGAGAGCGCTCCTGGTGCTCTGGGGTGGGGAGGGGTGTCAGGGCCGAGGACCCCAGATGACTGGCCATCCCGCCAGGCAGGGGTGTTGGTGAGGACTCGGGTGCACCCATCGCCACTCTGAGCGGTGGGGCGTCTATTAATAATTAACCCGGAGTTGAGTCCCCCCGGAGGGCAGAGCAGGTAGGCTGGCTCGAGGGTCCCCTCTAGTGGTGGATCTGAAGAACTGCATGTGCAGGCTGCGTGTCTGGCTGAGATTGGCCAGGAGGGACAACTCCCCCACCCCACCCCGGGGGCCTAGGGTCCCCCAGGTATATGGTTATTTGGCAAGTAGTTCACAGAAGAGCTTAGGGGTTAGAAATGGCAGTATCCCCCGGGCTGCCCACATTCGTGTGCTACCTGTAGAGTATGGCCAGGTGGGGTCTGCATGCTGGAAGGTGAGCCCACCTACTAAACCCAGAGGTCTCCTTTGGAAGCCCCAGGCCCCAGGCCCCAGTCCAGCGACGGCCTGGAAATCCTTGACCAAGTGAGTATTCGAGGCTGACTTGGGGGATGGGGTGATACGGAGAGCTGCTGTCGCCAATGCGTCGTCCTGCCTCCCCGCCCTGAGACCCCAAGACCCTGAGCTTCCCCGAGCCGGGGGTGAGCCCTGGGCTATCTTGGTCCTGTGCCCTCCTCAGTGTCAGAAAGCAAGGCTCTCGGGTGTGCTGGGGAGGGTGACCACCAAGCGCGACTGGTCATCCTGCCCTTGGTTTCTGTGCTGGAAGCTACCGTCCAGCCTAAAAGGCCAGTTGGGCGAGGGTGTGGAATAACGGGGCGCCATGGGGCTGGTACCGTGTCCACTGACCCTGCCCCGGGGATGTGCATTGGTGACCTGGATAAAGAACTGAAACAAGCCTGGGCAACATAGCGAGACCCCGTCTCTACCAAAAAGAAAAAAAAATTAGCTGGGTGTGGTGGTGCACACCTTTAATCCAAGCTGCTACTCCGGAGGCTGAGGCAGGAGGACTGCTTGAGCCTGGGAGGTGGAGGCTGCAGTGAGCCATGATCGCACCAGTGCACTCAAGCCTGGGTGACAGAGTGAGACCTTGTCAAAAACAAAAACAACAACAACAAAAACAAGAACAACAAAAACACCAGATTCTGCTCCCTAAGTGAAAATGTCTCCTCTGGACCTCATCCTAAGAAAGAATCCAAATTACAGATAGAAAGGCCAAAGTGGCCGGCACGTGGCTTAAGCCTGTAATTCCAGCGCTTTGGGAGGCTAAGGTGGGCAGATCACTTGAGGTTGGCAGTTGGAGGCCAGCGTGGTCAACACCGTAAAACCCCATCTCAACTAAAAATACAAAAATTAGTTCAGCATGGTGGCACATGCCTGTAATCCCAGCTACTTGGGAAGCTCAGGCACGAGAATCGCTTGAACTTGGGAGGCAGAGGTTGCAGTGAGCCGAGATGGTGCCCCTGCACTCCAGCCTGGGTGACAGAGCTAGACCTTGTCTCAAAAGAAAATAAAAGTAGAAAGACAAACGCTTCTGCATGAAGATGTTCATCGTGGTATTCCTTACAGTGGGGAAAAAGGAGCAGAACATAAGAATCCAACGGCAGAGGAGGTGGACCGACTAAGGTCCCTCTAAGGTCCCTCTGTTGGATCAGGGAGTTTTCAAACCTGGGCTCACGAACCCCTGAGATCTTACCCCACTTTTTTTTATATGAGGAGGAGGCACCATCTGACTTCCCAGAAGGTCTGTGACCTGTAAAACGTTCAGAAGCTCGGTGCTGCCAGATAGGAGAAGATGTGGTATTGACAAGGACTGTCAAATGGTCCATGCAGTGTTGCAGTGTGGAAATTTAGAGTGAATCAGACGCAAAGCAGGAAACGGGTTATGATTCTGCCCGTTGCAGTTAAACTCTGTGAAGAGGCCTGAGGTGCAGATGAGGCTCTCAGGGCAGGGCTGCCCAGCAGAGCTTCTGCCAGGGCAGACAGAACCCAGGTCTGCGCCGTCCCGCACTGCGGCCACTGGCTTCATGCAGCTCTTGAACCCTTGAAATGGCGCAAGTGCAACTGAATTTTTAATTTTACATAATACGGATTAATAAAATTGTTTTTAATTTTAAAATGTTTTTAAGTTTCGTTTTTAGAGACAGAGTCTCACCGTATTGCTCAGGCCGGCATACGGTGGCGGCAGCACAATCACAGCTCACTGCAGCCTCCACCTCCCGGGCTCGAGCGATCCTCCCACCTCAGCCTCTCAAGTAGCTGGGATTGCAGACATGCACCACCATGCCCCGTTCATTTATTTTATTTTTTAGAGACAGACTCTTGCTCTGTTGCCTAGGCTGGTCTCAAACTCCTAGGCTCAAGTGACCCTCCTGCCTGGACCTCCCAAAGTGCTGGGATTACAGGCATGAGCCGCGTGCCCGGCCCTGATGAATATAAATGTGGATAGCGCCTGTGGTCAGTGGCCACGGCAGTGGATGGCAGAGGTTGAGAGGAAGGTGTGCCCACGTGTTAGCCTAGTGTGATTATGAGCACTTTTTTTTTTTTTTTACTTTTCTGTTTTCAAAAATGTTATTCTGTGATTATATTAAGCTTAGAATGAAAACCAATGTATAAAAATAGACAGAAGGGGAGAACCTGCACATTTGGGGACGCTAAGCATCTCCCACTGCGCTGCACGCTGCTAACTAGTGAAGAGGCCTCCAGGGCGAGCTGGTCACTGAGGTCCTTCCAGTGACACCAGTGCCGCCGGCCTGCCACCTTGGGTCCCGTGCCGCCAGCGGGGCCTCCCCCTGGGGAAGTGAGTGTTTCGTTCTCTCTCTCCCTGGGTCCTCTTGTCATTCCCGGCATGCGTTCCCGGGGTGGCCAGCCTAGGCAAGATGGTGTTTGGGTGTTGGGATGGGCTGGGTGGCCTGGCCTCAGAGTTTGGCCACTTGTTACTGTGGTTTCTGTCATGCAGTTCCTGCCAGGTCAGACTCAGTCCAAGCGGGTTGGCGCGGCCACAGGTGGGCAAGGGCCAGGAGCAATGTGCTGCCCACCTGGGGGTGCTGCCGGGACCCCCTGCCCTCCCACTTTCCTCTTGCCCTTTCCTGCACACACACTGGGCACTTCACCCCAAGCATAGCCGCTTCCCACCTTGCTGCCCGCAGCTGGAATGTTCTCCTCTCTCCTGCTGAATCCCCAGCCCACCTGCAGGTGGAAGAGACTTTCTTCTCCGTGACCCCTGCTGGGACCTGAGCTTTCTCTCTGGAGAGCTCCTATCAAGGCCGCGTGGTGTTCCCTACGTGCGCCACCGTTCCCGGGTGCTTCCTCACAGGGTCCTCCCAGTGCCTGGGCCAGCGCCGTCAGCAGAGCGTCCTGCAGTGCACGCGGTCCTGTGCCTGTGCCCCACTGTGTGTGGCCACCACGCCCTAGAAATGCAGCAGATGTGGCCAAGCAACTGGACTTTGGTCTTTCTTTATCTTCAATGAATGTGAAGTTTGGTGGTCACAGCGGGAGGCCTCCATGCCTGACAGCACAGGTCTGGACGGAATGTTCCTGGGAGGATGGAAGGTGGACCCTAGAAACGTAGCGACCCTCCCAGCAGGACAGGCCCGAAAAACTCTCTGTCCAAAGTAATGGGGGAAAGACGAGATGATAAGACAAGGCCCCTCTACTCCCTCAGGGTGGCCCCTGTCATGGGGGCGATGGCACAAGGGTTCACCTGGAGCTGGCCAGTGCTTGGACAGCAGACCCCATGGGGCGGCCGCTCCCCACCTCACATGGCTTCCCTGGCAGGTGCCAGCCCACCCCGCAGGGCGTGCGAGGCAGTAATAAACGGCATCTAAGTGCTTTCTGCCTTTAGGAGGAAAAGGCTCCTTGTCGACCGAGTATCAGCGGCAGCGGCTGAATTATTAACGGCGTTATCGTTCATCGTTGGTGTAATGGCCCCTGTCCTCCTACACGGCACAGAGGACAGAAATGAGGCTCTCGGGGAAGAGTCCAGTCTCTGAGAATGAGCTAGAGCCAGTGCGCTTGGTGGGCCAGGACCCAGTGCTGGGAAGCATCCTTGCAGGAGCTCCCACGGAAGGCCCTGGGGGTGTCGCCCTGGACTCACAAAGCTCTGCTCGTTCCGGATCCCTTCTGCGTTTCCTGCCGTTCCTTTTCTGCCCAACCCTCCAGGCAAGCCCGAGGAGGATTAGAAACTCCTGGAGGTGGGCGAAGAAGTGAGCGGTGGCACACGAATCAGGACACACTTTGCCCTTCCCGTCTTTGTTCCGGGGCGCAGCAGCTGCCCAGCAAATCAGAGCCTGGAGCAGGAGACGGGGACACAAAGCAGGGGATGAGGAAGGGAGCAGGAGGCGGGGGGTGGAGGGAAGGGCATGTGAGAGGGTCCAGGGCAAGAGACAGCAGGGAAGGGGGCAAGGGGTGAGTGGGGAGGGTGGGCCGTGCGTGTCTTAGGGGCCACTCCAGCAGCAGCAGGGACCAGGGGCAGGTGCAGCACAGATATCCAGGAGCTGCCGCCACCCAGGGGAGGGACAACTGGGTCCCAGAGAGACCTCGGAGGTGGGATGGCCAGGAGCTGGGAGGGCTGCATCCTCCATTCCTCCCAAATTTCAGGATCAAACCCCTGATCCCGGTCGTGGGCCAACCAGGGCGCCCGGGGATACCCCGAGAGCGCCCGCCGCCCCCTGAGGATGCTCCAGGAACCCCCGCCCACCCCTCCGGGCCCAGCGCAGCCTGGCAGCCGGGAAGCCAGCAGCTCCTGAAGGTCTGTTGTTTGGGTTTGTTTGTGCTTCTGTAACCGGGAGCTGAGATTTATTTCTTTAAAACATCCCATTGCCCGACACCCTGCAATCTGTTCTGTGTGTCGTTCAGACTAATCTCGTCTTGTTTCTGTAGCACTTGGCAGGCTCTGTGTGGCGTTCCTCCCTCCCCCAGACTCCCCCCTGCCCAAGCCAAGGTGGCCACCACCAGCTGCTCCGCCTGCACCCAGAGAGTGGCCGATGCCAGGGGTCTGAGGGAAGCTGTTACGGGAAGGGCAGCTGGCTGGTCAGAGCCCCATGAACTGGCATGTGGCCATAGTCAGTCTAGAAATGGCCACAGGACATAGCCTCGCCCCAGCAGTCTCACTGTCAGGCGGAGAAGCCAAGCAGGCGCCCAGCCGAGCACTGGTCCCCTCCCTGGCTGCCCCTCAGCTCTGGGAGCTTGGAGGGGCTGCCAAAGAATTCGACTGGGATGCCACCGTGCCCAGCCCTCTGGTGTGCAACTGTGGCATGGCTGTTTGGCTCACACATGATGTCTAGGCAGAGAAGGGGCTGGCGGGCTTGGTTGGGTGAGGCCTGTAAGTGAGCTTTGGTCAGAGACCCAGCTGTGAATCCAAGCTCCACTCAAGACCCGCAGGGGGTGGCCTTGGACGGTGTTGAACCACTCTGTACCTCAGTTTACTCCTCTGTGAAGTGGGGGCATTGTGGGGGTTCAGGAAGGCCGTGCGTGTAAAGCTCTGCACAGAGGGCTCAGTACAGGGCAGATAGACAGTCATCATCACTGTGTACCTGACTGAGTTGCCAGCCCCGTTGGACGTGCTCGTATCAGTGTCCTGGGGCTGCTGTGACAAAGGACCACAAACCGGGTGCTTGAAACAAGAGAAATGTATTCTCTCACAGTCCTGGAGCCAGAGGTCCAAAATCAAGGTGTCTGCAGAGCCACGCTCCCTCTGGAAGGTCTAGGGGAGGGTCCTTCCTGGTCTCTTCCGGTTTGAGTGGCTGCAGGCATTCCTTGGCTTGTGGCCACATCATTCCGACCCCTGCCTCTGTTGCCACATGGACAGGGTGTGTCCCTTTGTGTGCCCTCTCTTCTTCTCATACGGATGCCAGTCATTAGATAGGGCCTACTCAAATCTAGGGTGACCTCATCTTAGCTTGGTGACATCTGCTGAGACCCTATTTCTGAATAAGGTCACATTGGGAGCTTCTGTGTGGACATGAATCTTGGGGGAGCACTGTTCACCGCGGCATATGCTCTATGGGTGCCAACCTGAATCCCAGAAACAGCTCCCGACATCAGTGTGGTCATCACCCCGTTTTAGGAAAGGGTGACGCAGAGCTCAAGCCTTCAGCACAAGTGATGGCTGAGCAGTGACTCTGGTTAAAAACAAAAAGCAAAAAACCAAACACAATCAGGGCCCTGAGAAACTCCTTGTTTCTGTCATGTCAGTTGCTCCTCATGGCCCAGCCTCGTCGACCCCTAGAGCTGAGCGAGTGAGTCTGGTCAGGAGTCCCAGACAGGTTGCTGGGGCCCCGGCAAAGACACTATAGAAATGGGCTTCCAAAGAGACAAAAGAGATTGTGTTCATTTTAGAAATTCGAGGGTGGCCAGGCCTGGTGGCTCAGGTCTGTAATCCCAGCACTTTGAGAGCCCAAGGCGGGCGGATCACCTGAGGTCAGGAGTTCGAGACCAGCCTGGCCAACATAGTGAAACCCCGTCTCTACTAAAAAGTACTAAAATTAGCCAGGCGTGGTGGTGGATGCCTGTAATTCCAGCTACTCGGGAGGCTGAGGCAGGAGAATCACTTGAACCCAGGAAGCGGAGGTTGCAGTGAGCCGAGATCACGCCACTGCACTCCAGCCTGGGCAACAGAGTGAGACTCCATCTCAAAAAAAAAAAAAAAAAAAAAAAAAAAGAAATTTGGGGGAAAGGCAGAAGGGAAATATTTGTGATCTTTGATCCCTCTGGTGTTGCCGTTATCATTTTGGTTGGTTTTCTTCCTGGACTTTCAAAGTTGGGAATTGTAATTGTCTATTCCAGGGGTTGGCAGGTGGGCCAGACAGCAAGTATTTTCTGCTTTGGGGGCCAGATGGTTTTGGCTGCAGCTTTTCAATTCTGCCCTTGTAGCATGGAAGCCACCACACAATGTATGTTAATTGGCATGGCTGTGTTCCATTAATTTTTTTTTTTTTTGAGACAGTGTCTCACTCTCTCGCCCAGGCTGGAGTGCAGTGGTGTGATCTTGGCTCACTGCAACCTCCACCTCCTGAGTTAAAGCAATTCTCCTGCCTCAGCCTCCCGAGTAGCTGGGACTACAGGTGCCCACCACCACACACGGCTAATTTTTGTATTTTTACTAGAGATGGGGTTTCGCCGTGTTGGCCGGGCTGGTCTCAAATTCCTGACCTCAGGTAATCCCCCCGCCTCGGCCTCCCAGAGTGCTGGGGTTACAGGCGTGAGCCACCGCGCCCAGCCCCATTCACGTTTTATTAAGGATACTGAAAGTGGAATTTCATATAATTTTCATGTGTTGTGAAATATTCTCCTCTGGATTTTTTTCAACATTTAAAAATGTTCAAAACCATCCTTCACATGAAACCTGCACGCAGGTGTTTGTAACCACTTCATTCATACGGGCGCGGTGGAAGCAGTCAGGATACCCTGTGGTGGTGGGTGGATGTGCGAACGGTGGCGCTTCCCTGCAAGGGAATATTGTTTATGGATAAAAGGAAATGAGCTGTCAAGCCTTGAGCAGATGTGGAGGATGCTGAAATGTACATTGCTACGTGGAAGAAGCCAATCTGGGCCGGGTGCGGTGGCTCACACCTGTAATCCCAGCGCTTTGGGAGGCCGAGGTGGGTGATCACTTGAGCTCAGGAGACCAGCCTGGGCAACATGGTGAAACCTTGTCTCTACAAAAAAAAAAAAAAAAAATTATAATAATAATACAAAAATTAGCCGGGCATGGTGGCTCACACATGTAGTCCCAGCTACTTGGGGGGCTGAGGCAGGAGGATTGCTTGAGCCCAGAATGCGGAGGTTGCAGTGAGCTTAGATTGCACCACTGCCCTCCAACCTGGGTCACAGAGTGAGACCCTATCTCAAAAAAAACAAAAAACACCAGTCTGAAAAGGCTGCAAGCTGCATGATTCCAGCTCTAGGACATTCTGGAAAAGGCAAAATTGTGAAGACAGTAAACAGATCAACACCTGCTGGGGGCTCAAGAGGAGAAAAAGATAAATGGGCAGATACTGGATTCCAAAGGCAGCGACACTATTCTTTTTCCTTTTCTTTTCTTGTCTTTTTTTTTTTTTTTTTTTTTTGAGACAGAGTTTTGCTCTTTGTGCCCAAGCTGAAGTGCAATGGCACAATCTTAGCTCACTGCAACCTCCACCTCCTGGGTTCAAGCGATTTTCCTGCCTCAGCCTCTTGAGTAGCTGGGATTCCAGGCTCCCGCCACCACACCCAGCTAATTTTTGTATTTTCAGTAGAGACGGGGTTTCACCACGTTGGCCAGGCTGATCTTGAACTCCTGACCTCAGGTGATGCACCCTCCTTGGCCTCCCACAGTGCTGGGATTACAGGCGTGAGCCACCGCGCCCGGCTGCAGTGACACTATTCTGTGTGAGGCTGCAATGATGGACGCCTGCCACTGTGTCTCTGAAACCCCATAGACTGTACAACACCAAGAGTGAACCTAGTAGAAGCCCTGAACGTCAGTTATTACTGATAATGTATCAATATTGGCTCATCAGTTACAGCAAATGTACCACGCAAATGCAAGACATTAATGGTATGGGAAAGTGTGTACATTGAGGGGAAACTCGCTGTACTCTGCTCAGTTTTTCTGTGAACCTAAAATCGCTCTAAAAAAGAAAGTCTATTCATTTAAAAAAGTCTTCGTTCATGGGCTGTACAGAGGCAGAGGGCAGCCTCAATTTGGCCCTCGGGCCATGGTTTGTGGATCCCCCGGTTTAGGCTAACAGTGCCCAATAGAAATGTAACGTGAGCCACCTCTGTGATTTAAAATTTTCCATTAGCCACGTTTAAAAGTTTTTATTTCGAAGTAACTACAGGAAGTTGCAAAAAAAAAAAAAGTACCGGGAGGCCCTATACACCCTTCACCCACTTCCCCCCATGGTGACATCCTGCATAGAAGCATAGTACACTCTCCAAACCAGGAAATTGAGGTTGGTACAGTCCACAGGTCTCACGGGTATTACAGGCACCCATCTGTGCTTGTGTGTTTAGAATCCTGTGCCACTGGGATACATGTAGCTTCCGGCAACTACTACCACTAGCTAGACGCAGAACCACTCCCCCACCGCAGGGTTCCTCCACGCTGCCCTGGCACAGGGCAACCACTCCTCTGTAAGAATTTTACGTAACTGGAACCCTGCATGATGTCAGCTTTGAGATGGACTTTTTTTGGTTCAGCATCATCCTGTGAAGCTCTATCCAAGCTGTCCTGTGTGTCAAGAACTTGTTCCTTTCTACTGCTGAGTAGCAGCACCCCACGGTCCACGCGCTCACGGACTGATGGACATGAACCATGGCTTCCCATTCAGGGGCGACTGTGAATAAAGCTACTAGGAACATTCATGTGTGGGGTTTTGTTGGAACCTAAGTTTTCGTTTCTCTAGGATAAATTCCCACAAATGCACTTGCCGAGTCATATGTGGATTGATTGTGTGATTAGTTTTTTAAAATACGTTTTTTATCTAGTAAAAATAGAGACAGGGTTTTTGCCATGTTGCTCAGGCTGGTCTCGAACTCCTGGGCTCAAGCAATCCTCCCGCCTCGGCCTCCCAAAGTGCTGGGATTGCAAGCGTGAGCCACCGTTCCCGGCCTATGTGCTTAGTTTTTAAAGCAATTGCTAAACTGTTGCATAGAGTGGCTGGGCCGTTTTACACTCCCACCAGAAATTTACGAGTGCCTTGTTTCTCCACATCCTCATCAGTATTTGAGGTTGTCACTATTATTTTTTTTAAGCATCCTGATGGGTGTGTAGTGACATCTCATTGTGGTTTTAATCAGCATTTCCCTAATGGCTCGTGATGTCGAATATCGTTTTGTGTGTTTATTTGCCATCCAGGTATCTGATTCTTTGGCGGAAGATCTCTTTGTCTCTTAAGCATCTTCTTATATCTTAATAATATATATCGAAAGGCTTATGGGGACAACCTTTGGTTGGAGGATTTTGGAAAAAGTCATAATATGATTTATTGTGGCAACCAGAAGCGATAATATTGTTCTAGTGACAGGTAACAACCTGCTTTTTTATTCCTGTTAATACATGATTTCTTTTGTGACTGTAATAAAACAATGTATACAAACGATTCACTGCAATGAAGACAGATACCCAAAGAGACAAAGAGACATCGTCTAATCCATTTTTTGTTTGTTGACTACTGAGTTTTGAGAGTTGATTATACACTCTAGAAACTAGTCCTTTGCTAGATATGAGGATTGCAAATATTTCTCCCAGTCTGTAGTTCTTTTTTTCATCCTCTTAACAGGATCTTGCACAAAGCAAAAGACTTTAATGTTGATGAAGTCCAGGTTATGAGTTGTGCCTTTTATGAATCATACTTTTCATGTCAAGCTCAAGAACTCCTGACCTAGTCCTAGATCCTGAAAGTTTTTTTCTTTTTTTTTGTTTTTGAGACAGAGTTTCGCTCTGTCGCCCAGGTTGGAGTGCAGGGGCGCGATCTCGGCTCACTGCAAACTCCGCCTCCCAGATTCACGCCATTCTCCTGCCTCAGCCTCCCGAGTAGCTGGGACTACAGGCGCCCACCACCACGCCCGGCTAATTTTTTGTATTTTTAGTAGAGACGGGGTTTCACTGTGTTAGCCAGGATGATCTTGATCTCCTGACCTCGTGATCTGCCCACCTCAGCCTCCCAAAGTGCTGGGATTACAGGCGTGAGCCACCGCGCCCGGCCGATCCTGAAGGTTTTCTCCTGTTATTTTCCTAAAAGTTTTACGGGGTCGAGGTTTATTTATTTATTTATTGCCTATGGATGTGCAATGACTCCCGCGTCGTTTGTTGAAGAGGCTGCTCTTCCTTCATTGAGACGCTTTGCTCTTTTGTCCAATATCAGTTGGGCATATTTGTGTGGGTCTTATAGGTACAATTTTTTTTTTTTGAAACGGAGTCTCAGTTTGTCACCCAAACTGG
This sequence comes from Homo sapiens, assembly GCF_000001405.40. NCBI lineage: Eukaryota > Metazoa > Chordata > Mammalia > Primates > Hominidae > Homo > Homo sapiens. The sequence goes on along the minus strand of NC_000017.11, from coordinate 79,995,267 downwards.
AGTGCCGTGGTGCGATCTCAGCTCACTGCAACCTCCGCCTCCTGGGTTCAAGCAATTCTCCTACCTCAGCCTCCGGAGTAGCTGGAATTACAGGAGTGCCTCACCACACTCAGCTAATTTTTGTATTTTTAGTAGAGATGGGGTTTCACCATGTTGGCCAGGCTGGTCTTGAACTCCTGACCTCAGGTGATCCGCCTGCCTTGGCCTCCCAATGTGCTGGGATTACAGGCTATGAGCCACGGTGCCCGGCCATAGCTACATTTTTACAAGTCAAAAAACAAAAAGAAAACAAACAAAAAGGTGAAAATTTTTGTAAATTACCCAGCTTGTTCAAAATAGTATCATTCCAATGTGGGATCAGTATACACGGCCGCCGATGGGAAGTGTTTTACATTCTCTCTGTTTACCAAGTCCTGGGAATTTCGCGTGTACTTTACACCTAGACCACGTCTCAAGTGTGATGCCACATGTGGCTTGGGGTCACTGCCTTGGCCAGCACGAGTCTACACAGATTGGCGACCTGCTTTTTTGAAAAAACATTCTCGGCCGGGCGCAATGGCTCACGCCTGTAATCCCAGCACTTTGGGATGCCGAGGCTGGTGGATCACCTGAGGTCAGGAGTTCAAGACAAGCCTGGCCAACATGGTGAAACCCTGTCTCTATTAAAAATACAAAAATTAGCCGGGCGTGGTGGCAGACACCTGTAATCCCAGCTACTTGGGAGGCTGAGACAGGAGAATTGCTTGAACCCAGGAGGCAGAGGTTGCAGTGAGCTGTGATCACGCCATTGCACTCCAGCCTGGGGGACAAGAGTGAGACTTCGTCTCAATAAAAAAATAAACAAAACAAAACAAAACAAAATATTCTCTGGCCAGCCCTTCTTCATGGACTCCCTCTTCCTTTGTCCTTGATGGTTGGGCAGCCTCTAGGAGGAGGGGGTTTCATTGCCTCTTGTCGGGGGTTCACAGCCCTGGCACCCCCCCGGCCCTGAGCTGGGATTCTAGAAGTCACCAGCCAGGTATGTCCCCCAAGGGAGCTGGATTCTAAAGAGATGGGGGCGGAGCCAGTGCATCTGGTGGGCCGTCTTAAACCATGCTGTTATTGACTGTCTTCCGAAGGACTGACAGCTCTTTAAAAAGCTGACCTTTCTAGTAAAACTGTCAGGACAGGGAGGAAATAAGTGCCTCAAACCTCCTGAACCAAAAAGAAGGAAGTTCAGGCTCCTGGAGAGGCAGTGCTCCCCAGGGATGGGCGCTCCCTGCATCAGGAGGGCTGTCCAAGGTCAGGGAAATGAAACTTGTCAGCCTTTTCCACCGCAGCTCAGAAACCATTGACAGCTGCTCCGGGAGGCCTTGACGCAACCCCGGCCGGTGGTTGCATGGGGGCTGGGGGCTCCTGGTGCTCTCGAGGGGCTGAGCTGCTCTGAATACACAGAGCTGCCCTTGGGAGGCTCCCGAGCCCCAGCTCTTGCATCAACAGCCCTGGCAGGGGCCTCACAGGCCACGTGAGCTTCTGAGAGCTCTGAGCATGAGGTCACGGGCTCCCAGAGGCAGTGATGTGGCAGCGCCTGTCTCCCGGTGAGTTGGGGAGCTCACACCGTACCTCTGGGGAACCACGCCTGGCTGTTGCAATGTAACCCAGCACCTGATGAAATCTTCCCTGAAAGTTGCAGGTAGTGGGGGCAAAGGACCTTTTGTCTTGCGGTCGAAAGACTCCCGTAGCTGGTTCTGTTTGGCTTCATATCCTTCCCAGCAGAGTAAACAGAAAGGGCATTTTCACGTGGCTCTTCCTTCCAGTCTGAACAATGTTCCCTAAACACCTGCAAGGCAGAGGACACAGGGCTCCTGGTGCCCGTCCACCTAAGTGCCTCCTGGCCTCAGGGAATCTGCTTTGGGGACCTGAAAGTAAGGTTCCCTGACCATCAAGAACAGACAGACACTCAGCCACACTTCTGGAAACCTCCGCCCTTTGAAAGGGACTGGCTGGTGGAAGCAGGCGGCCTGGGGCATATCCCTGACCTTATTACCCCCAGGTGGTGACAGAGATGATCTTTAAGTGTGGGAGCCTGGAGCCAAGTCCTTGGCCACATCCCAGCTCTGCCTGGCTGTGTGCTGGTGGGTTATTACCCTCATTGCCTCAGTTTCCCCTCTGCACAATGGGGCTGGCGCTAGTGCTCCCCACCCCATAGACTGTCATGAGAAGTAGCATCTGGACAGGCCCTGAGAGCAGTGCCCATCTCTGTGCCATCCGCTGGGACTGGTGTTGGCCTGGTACTGTACCGTCTCACCCTTGTGTCCCCAGGAGGGGAGTGGGGTCGAGACCAGCCCCAGGGGTTACATGGACAATGGGGTTACATGGACAAATGCCTCTTGTTACATTTTGTTCACTGGTTCCCAAAATGAGGTGCAGGCTCTGCAGAGAAAGCAGGCTTTCCCCGAGGGGCTCTGGAGCAGAAAGAGCTGTCTCAAGGTAGGTGCTGGGGCTGGGGTGATGTGAGAGCAGAGTTGGAAGTGGGAATGTTCTGGAAGGAGGGAGAGGGCTAGTGGCAGATATGTGGTCACCGGAGGAGGAGCCCTGCGATATATATCAGGCAGGGACAGGGAGAGGAGAGGCGACCTGGGACCCCGAAAACCGGGTGGGTGGTCGCTGTGGCCTCTCCTGGGAGCCTCGGACTGGCGGTTAGGGCAGACTCCAGTAGATTGTAAAGGCATCAGGATCTGTCTTGCTTCTGTAAATATTTAAACACTGGGAGGATTATTTTTGGTAGCTACGGTCTCTCTCCGAGCCTGGCGGGCTGCCGGGACGGGTGTCAAGTGACATCGGGTGCAAGGATACCCCACCCCCTGGCCCCACCGGCCCCAGGCTCCGTGTGTTCACCTTTCCAACGGCCACAGTTTGATGTGGGTCACGGTTTCCCCTTCTAGGAGACGCAGAGAGATGGTCTCGGGCGCGACCAGCAGGGATTCCTCGTCCACACAGTTTCCTGACAGCGGTTGAAAGGGACGGGTCTACGCAGGCCAAGAACAGCAGCGGAGTGTGGGGTCAGGGGCCCAGCGGGGGGCACCCCGGGGAGGGGCCGCCTCCGCCAGACCCACCCCGGGTGAAAGGACGCATTGTGTGCCCGCAGCATGAGGGGAGCCTGCAGAGAGGCGTCTTTGTAGGGTCCACGAGGGGGAAAGCGCTTCCCGGCAGGCGGAGCACACAAGCCAGCCGGTGGCCACGGCCGGGACAGGCTTGTACGCAGGACATTGAGGTCCGGCGAGGATGGGGGGGCCACCAGGCCCCCGGCCCTTTGCAGAGTGTTGCTCGTTTTCTCCCACCCCAGAATTGGGCTTGGCCAACACGGCCCCCCCAACCATCCCCCCACCCCCGCCAGCTGCCCGGAGCCTCTGTGAAGATGGCGGCACCGCCCCTTGCAAACTCCATCTGCGTGGAGGTGGCACTCCTGCTCCGGGAGGGATCCCGGTGCCCAGCAGATGGCAGGCTTCCCCTAGATCAGCCCAGGGCTGGCCGCTGCCTGCGGTGCACGCCCCCGCCCTCCCCCTCCCCGCCCCGCCCCGCCCCACCCCCACCTGCCTGTGGCTGGAGGGCAGCACTGCCTGCGCGCCTCCCCACCTGACCTCCCTCTTGCCTCCCTGCCTCCTTCCAAGCAGATTTTGGTGAATCCTAAATCACGTGGATATTAACTCGCAAGTGCCTGCAAGCAGTTCTGAGGGCCGGGCTGGGGTGCACACTCACTTGGGCCAGGTCCCCCTGGTCAGGGTCAGCCAGACGCCACTCCTGCATCCTGTCCACTCTTAGCAGCCTTCTGCCTTCCCTGCTGACTTTCCGCCTCTTCTCTGGGTGTCTGGTGGGTGGAGAGGTGGAGAGCCTCCAGCACAACCTCACCCCACCCCACCTCGCGTCAGCCTCAGCCTCCCCTGAGACTACACGGAACCCAGACACGTTTGACCTCTGGCCCCAAAGCAGAGATGCCTGGCTGATGGGATGGGTGGGAGGCCTGACACAGCCAGATGCAGCCTGCTTTGTGTCATTCCTGCTCTCCCGGCGTGGACGCAGGGACCGCCCCCGGGACAGCCCAGCTGGGTCTCCAGGGTGGCTTTGTCTGGAATTTACTTTGTGAACCTCTTGCTTGTCAAAATTATTTCATAGATGATTCATGGTTATATAGAAGTGTCAGAAATAAAGAGAAGGAGCTCAGATACATGACCACCCCTGCCCATAGCAGCACCGTCCACAGTAGCCCATGGTGAAAGCGTCCAAGTTCCCCCGACGGGTGACTAGAGAAACGCGGTGTGTTCACACACATGTTCCACACACACCCAGCGGAACGTTCAGCCTTGGGAAGGCAATTCTGACACGCGCCGCAACACGGATGAGTTGAGGACGTTACGCCGAGTGAAATGAGCCAGACATAAGGGGCCAAATCTGTGTGATTCCACTTGTGTGCGACCCCTGGAGTTGTCAGGCTCAGAGAGGGAAAGATTGGGGTGCCAGGGGCTGAGGGAGGGGACGTTGGGGAGCTGGTGTTTCATGGAGACAAAGCTTCAGTTTGGGAAGAAGGAGAGTTCTGGAGATGGGTGGTGTCATGGTTGCACAAAAATAGGAATGGTATAATGCCACTGGGCTCGACGTTGAAAACGGTTAAGGTGGTGAATTTTATGTTATGGACATTTTACCACAATAAACAGAGAGAAGGAAAAATCAGTTAAGACCTTTTAAGGTGACTGGGACTGTGAGACTGGTGCACGTTTTCCCATCCTTTTGAGAACTGCCTTCTTGGATTAGGTCTGTAAGCCTGTGTAGGTTGTCCCCACCCCAGCAATTGGTCGTGAACTTCAAGCATTGGGAAATCACGTGGGAGGTGGCTGCCCAGGCTCACCTCTGCCCGGGCTGCAACAGGAGGCTCTCATGGGGCAGGTGCTGCGCTGTGGCCAGAGTGCTGGCCGGGGGCGTGGGCTCCCACCACCTGGAGCCGGCCCCTCGCTGGCTGGGCGCCCGAGACCCGTCACCGCACACGCCTTGTGAGGGCTACGGCTGCTGTCCACGCGGCTAGTTCAGGCTGAGTTGAAGCCTCCGTCCGAGCAGCTGAAAGTCAAATCTAGTCGTTAGACTCTGAAAGCTGGTTCATGTCAGAGACCTGACATGGAGTGTGGGAAAACCTTGACGGAAGCTTCCAGAGCCTGGCAAGATTAGATCAGGAAGTAACACTTTACCTAGTGAGCTTAGAAAAATAGACTCTCCCTGTTGTCTTCTGGGAACTGGGAAATCTGAGCGCAGGTTTCTGGGCATGGATGCTGCACACAGGCCTGCCCCTGGGGGTGGGCAGCAACACCCCAGCCACCCCAGGAGGGTGGGGACCCCTCGGCTGACTTTTGGGAATCCAGAGGGGGTCATTACAGAAGGGCTGGCGCTAGAGTGGCCATGAGGGTACAGTGGGTCCCTCTCCGCACCCCTTGACCCCAGTCATCTTTTCAATACCGTTCTCTGGTGGGACTTGCGAGGGCCGATGCTGAGGCTGCTCTGCTTGTGCAGAGAGGACATTCGTGTATTTGAGGATGTTCGTGTATTTGAACAAAGGTTGTAGTGTCTTGGCCTCTCGGCCTTTGGCATTGCCAGGTATCTGGGCAGAACCAGCTAGAGCTGCTGGAGAATACATGAGCAGTATCTAGAACAATTCCGAACTCCACAAGGCCAGTTTGCCATGCCAGACTGTTGGGAAGAGGCAACGACAACTCGTATTTATGACTCTGTCCATGGCAGGCAAAGCGAACCGTGGCTTTTCATCCTGGAAATACCCCAGCACAGTGTTTTTGTGGGAGCCTGTTACTCAAAGCAGGCACAGAGTGGAAAAGGGCCCGATCAAGGCCACAGTGTGGGAGCTGTCAGAGCAGGGCAGGCCCGAGGCCCAGGGCTCTGCTGAACCAACCACCAGTGAGAGGGGCTTTGATGCGTCCAGTGATAAAACCCGTCGGGCAGGTCCTGGGAGGGATTCTGGCTTTGGGGACTTTGCTGTGCTTAAGTCATGGGCAAAAGTTCCTGCGCTGGCCAATTTTGTTTTCATCGAATGTGGGGATCCCTGTTCAGGGGGCACACGGTGCTGCATTTGAGGGTCTTGAGTGGTCCTCCACATTTGGGGTGTCCTTTGGGCCATGTGGAGCCCTGAGAAGGATTGACAGGTGTTTGGGAGTTTGTGTTTGTATCTTGGACGATGGAGGAGTTTCCCTAATCATGGTGTTTTTTCAAGTTAAGAAACTTCCTTTGGAGAAGCCGTTTTCTCTTTTACTGATGAAAGGCTTCTTCTCGGCAGGAGGACTGAAGGTGCTGGGTCCTGAGGGAGGGCCTGGGGCCGGCGGGCAGGTGCGGGTTGGGGAGGGTGGCACCGTCCAGCCCAGCAGAGCCCAGAAGACGGGACCAGGCTGAGGACTTCCACGGGGCTGGCCGGGCTACACAGCACCATGCTTAGCGGGATTGGACTTTGATTTTCTGTGGCTCTAACTGATAAAACAAGCAGGGGCCTTCTAAGTTTTGCTTTGAGGTTGACTGCCAATTAAAGAGCCAACATCTGGTGCATAGGACCCTCCAGAAAAAGTCTTTTTGCCCTTAATGTTAATTTTTTCCCCTTTGTTGGAGTTGATTTGTTAAGTTGCTGGTGTGTGTTGACAACTGTTTGGTACAGAACGCAGGCACGTGCGTTCACCAGGACCCTGGCTTGCCGAGCGGGAGGTGGTCGACTGTGGACTCTGGGCGCGTTTGACTTTCAGCCATGGTCTTATGATTGGGCAGCTTCCGTCCGGTTGCTGCCCCCTCTGCCCCTTGGGCATACGCCCAGTGGAGCTTGGACCTGACTCATAGCTCTCTACAGTCGACAAAAGGAAAATGTTTCAGTTTGGGTAAATCAGCCACAGCTGGAGCCAGGGAGAGGCCCATGGGCTGGTGACTTTTCAGGGTGGTGGTGTTTGTTCAGCGTGTTGTTTTGCTCTGTGACTTTGGAGAGTGCATCAAAGGCTCGGCGGACGCCCACTTGCCGAGGAGCCACGGCCCTGGCTGGTGGCCAGGCAAGCACCTCCCAGGTAGGCGTCAGGGGAAGCATCCAAACTAGTAAATAAAACGGCTTCTGGCAGGACGTGCTATCATCCCCCTCTCCCTTCTAAACACACACACGCTTTCACAGAGAAGAACTTAGAAGTATTTCGTTTGAATCAGAAGGAAATATTGAATATCGTCTCATTCTCCCCCACCTAATTTTTTTTTTAAACCACATTCAGAATTGCTGGGCAACCTCATTTCCCCACATTTAGGATTCTTCCCTCGAAATCTCATGCAGGCGTAAAATCCGAGAGCCTCGGAGGGTTTTTCTGAGCCTCTGCATCTCCCAGCACCCCGCCCCCACCCAGCACTCATGTGTTTGTCTGCTTTAAAAGCTTCAGGATGGGAAATTCCTCACCAGCCCGTAAGCCGCTGTTTGTAGGAGCCCCTAAACTCTGTGGAACCCAAATCTCCCAGTACTGACTTAATTCCCTTTTCCCTGAGAACCAGCTCCCTGCAGCACCCAGGGTTCTGCCCGCAGAGGGAGGCTGTGGCTGGGAGTGGAAAATGCCCAGCCAGGGGCTACCTTCATGGGGACATTCCCTACCCCCATCCCCACCTTCATTCGGAAAGAGTCATGACTCCTGGTCACCAGGCAAACTTCTGTACCTGCTTATTCTGGTTTAAAAATAGGTCAGGCATGATGACTCATGCCTGTAATCCTAGCACTTTGGGAGGCCGAGGCAGGAGGAGCGCTTGAGCCCAGGAGTTCAAGATCAGCCTGGACAACATAGCGAGACCCCATCTCTATAAAAAATAAAAAATTTAGCTGGGCGTGATGGCGTGCACCTGTGGTCCCAGCTACTCGGGAGGCTGAAGTGGGAGGATCGCTTGAGCCCAAGAGGTGGAAGCGGAGGTTGCAGTGAGCTGTGATGTCACCACAGCACTCCAGCCTGGGTGACAGAGCAAGACCCAGTCTGAAAAAAAAGTAAAAAAAAAATTCCTTAAAGAAATGCTTATTCCCCGCTCCCACCCAGACCGAGACGCTCTGGAACAATTTTCTCCAGTGCTTGAGTTTGGGATGAGGGCCTGGAAAGACCATCCAGTCTCCTGCCCCTGGTGGGCAGCCAGTTCTGCCTTGGGCAGCGACACTGGGCACAGCCCGTGACCCATCCTGGCCCTGATCTCTTCTGGCTCTCAAGGGAGGTTCTGTGGCCCCACCTCAAAATTCAGGGTCCCTCTGTGGAAACAAAACATATCCCAGATGGATTTGCTACAAGGCCATCCCGGGAAGGGAGCCAAGTAAACACAGCAGCAGAGACCGGAGGGCGCGAGGGGACGGCTGACCGCAGTCCAGCTCCTCCCATGCATCACGCCCTCCCACCGGCCCGGCCTCAGGCTTCTCGTTCACCCCCATCTTCCCGTGGACCTGATCGGAGGTGTCATCTCCCGCTGCGGGCTGAGGCTCTGAGGAGGGCCGGGTGTGTAGAGCCTTCCTTGGAAGGGAAAACCCAACCAGGATGTTGGTTTCCGAGAGGAAGCCCGTTCACCCACCATGGTGGCTCTGCCCTTTAATAAGAGGCAAAGAACTCGGGTGCTGCGGGTACTGGTCACTCTGTCAGGGCAGACATACCCCTTGCCGTTCATCCTTCAAAGGCCAGGCTTCGGCAGGGGGCGGCACGTGTGGTCTCTCTTTGGCCTTTTCTGGTGGAAGGTCCTGGGGTAGGGAGTCCTCACGTGGTTGCTCTGCAGGGAGGGGCCCTCCAAAAATAATCCCGGGGCCTCTTACCCACCACTGCAACGCTGACGATACTGCACTGAGGAATCCACTCTTGAGCTTTGCTTTGAAACGCTGCACATTTGCGTCTGCCCAGACTTCTGTCTAAGAGGTGCTCAGAGATCACCTTGCGTTTATGAAGCGAACGTGGCCTTGGGATATAGACCTGGGGCCCCAAGTCCAAGACCAGTGAATAAAGTGAGAGATGGCTTTGCCCCAAGTGGGTGAGGTGGACCCAGCACCCATGCTTGCCGCCTCCTGCCCTCCCTCCCGCACTTTGGGACCACGAGGAAATTGGCACTGCAGTGATTCATGCAGCTGCTAATCAAAAGCTTTTATTTCCTGATTATCTCTCCGTTTGAGGGATGGCAGATGCCAGTGCAGTCAAAATATAAACAGATTCTAGTCAGGACCTTTCAAAGCAGACACCAGCCGTTCTGAAGAGCGGAGGGCCGCGCCCCTTATGCCGCCTGGCAGAAGAGTTTCGTTGGGAAAAATGGTTTTTCATAACCTTTCTGCTTTCTTATTTAAATTAAGCTTTGCCGGGAGAGTTTGGTAGTAGCAGAGGGCCCCTGATTTGGTCCCCTTTGACCTCCACAGCCTTGATTGGCAGTTTGTTGTGGGCATTGAAGTTGTGGCTGCGAGGTGGGAGCCAGCAGAACAAATACTCTAGGACAGCTGGGCATCCCCGAGGACCCAGCCGAGGGGGGAGTGTGCGCAATTAGAGAGGTCTTCACACAGAAAGTTAATTAGCTACTAAATGGCATTTAGCACAGTTTATGAGAATTGCATGTTTGAAAAGCAAATGGAGATCAATGCGGAATGGCTGCCACCGGATGGGGACCCTTGGACCCAGCACCAGTCTCAGGGCCTGGGATGCCCCCCACCCCGAGCGTGAGTGCCAGGCCAGTGCCCGCTGAGACTGGACTGGGAGATGCTCCTCGAGGACCTGCCTGGCCTTGGGGGGCAGTCCTGCTTCGCACCCACAGCCGAGCTTCCCTGTCCAAAAAAAGTGAGTAAACACGTCTTCAGTTTCGGGGAACTGTGTCTGCCGTGGCCTGGATAGTGACTCCCTTCCCCGCAAATTCATGGCCACTCAGAACCTCAGAATGTGACTTTATTTGGAAATAGGGTCTTTGCTGATGGGATCAAGGGAAGGATCCAGTTGAGGTCTTCCTGGATTAGGGTGGCCCTAAATCCAACGGATGTCTTTAAAAGACACGGACGGACACACAGACACAGGAGGGGCAGGGAGATGGAGGCAGAGATGGGAGTGATGCTGCTGCAGGCTTGGGGGCTTCCAGGATCCAGGACGAGCACCTCCAGCTGGAAGAGGCAGGAAAGACTCTTGCCTGGAGCCTTCAGAGGGGGCGCGGCCCGACTAGCACCTTGACTTTGACCTCCAGAACTGCCAGACAATACATTTCTGTTGTTTTCAAGCTTCTGGTCTGTGGTCCTTCATTACAGCAGCCCTGGGAAATGCTGTGTCACCACCAAAACGCAGCCCCCAAAACATAGCCCCAGCTCCATCGCAGGGCTGTGTCCGAAGCTGGAGGATGGTGGGGTGGGTGGGGGGGAGCCAGAGGGAGGCCTTAGGACCTGCTTTTTGTTTCTGTTATGATCTGAGGTCTGACTTCAGTGTGGTCTTTTCACCTGCTTGTCTTAGTTCCCTGTTGATCCTATGGAGGGATTGCTTGGGGCTATTTTTGTTTTGGGGAGGGTGGTTTTTGCTCTTTTTAACTGTTTTTTTTTTTTTTGCCTTTACTGTTTTCCATGTTTTGGAGGGCTTTTGTTTGTCTCCTTTCCTTCCTTCCTTCCTTCCTTCCTTCCTTCCTTCCTTCACTCCCTCCCTCCCTCTTTTCTTTCTCTTTCTTTCTTTTTCTTTCTTTCTCTCTCTCTCTTTCTTTCTTTTTAATTATAAAAGTAGCACCTGCTCCTAAGGAAATTCTGGGAGATAGGGAAAAGACAAAAGAAGGGTGTGAAGCCCCACCATACCCAGCTCACCACCGTTAACTTTTTGGTGTATTTCCTTCAGCCTTGTGTTTACTTTTATTTTTTATTTTTGCTTCCGATGCCTAAGTTATTTTACAGAGTTGTAGACAGGCAGGCTGTATATAAAATTCACTTTCTTGGTTTAAAATTTTTTTTGATTTTAGGCCAGGCACAGTGGTTCACACCTGTAATCCCAGTGCTTTGGGAGACTGAGGTGGGAGCATCACTTCAGGCCTGGGCAACATTGTGAGATCCCATCTTTACAAAAAAGTATTGAAAAATTGGCTGGGCGTGCTGGCAGATGCCTGTGGTCCCAGCTACTTGGGAGGCTGAGGCAAGAGGATGGGCTTGAGTCTGGGAGTTCAAGGTCAGCCTGGGCAACAAATGAGACCCCCGCCCCCCCACCCCGCCATCTCTGTAAAAAATACAAAATAAATAGTCAGGTGCTGTGGTGCCTGCCTGTAGTCCCAGCTACTCAGGGAGGCTGAGGAGGGAGGATCCCTTAAGCCTGGGAGATCAAGGCTGCAGTAAGCCGAGATCATACCCCTGCACTCCAGCATGGGTGACAGAGCATGACCCTGTCTCTAAATAAATTTAAATTTTTTTTAAATTTTGTCATATTTGATACATGCCAAAGAATATTTGTAGCATGTAAACCATGAAACACAATCATAAATGAACCCCGTGACCCAGCGCCCCCTGTGTCTGAACTAGAGCTTCCTAGGAGGCCAGTGCTCCACTCCTTCCTCCCCAGTCTGGTCGTTCCGTGCCCCGGTCTCCAGAAGGAACCACCTTCCGGAATGCCGTGGGCGGCACTTCCTTGCTCTCCTAAAGCAGGCTTTGCACACATGTGCACTTCTCAACATTCTGCCTTGCTTTGAGCCCTAGGAAAGCGTCCCCGTCTTTGTAGCCGTCGGTGGCTCAGCTCCCCGTGCCTGAGGTGCTGCGGGTGCTCACTCCAATAGGGGGACACTGTCTCCATGGCTGTTCCCCAGGTTGTCCACACTCCTGTTGATGACCATGTGGTTTAGTTTGGGTTTTTCTCTGTGAATGATGTCACCTTGACAGCTTCTGTGCACACCTTTGGTGCAGAGGGACAGGAGCCCCTCCGAGGGGCCCCTGGGCCCTGCAATGTGCACTCAACCTCCTAAGACACACCGACTGCATTTCCTGGGGTGGGGCCAGCTGAGAGTCCCTGAGATTACATGGTCTGTCTTGCCATTCTCAATTCATGCCCTGCCATAAACCCCTCCCGCGCTGCCACGTCTTCTGAACCGCCACTGGGTTTCACGCCTGCACAGCGGCCTGTTGGTGAGGGACGTAGCATTTCACTTGCCCATGCCCCTTCCATGGACATGGAGCTGTTCCCGGCTTCCCGCTTGTCCTTGATGAACACGTCTGTGCTTGGAGCTCTGCACACAGAGGCTCGGGGTGGATGCGTGTGCACACACACAGGGATTCCGCACAAACGTGGATGACGCAGGTTCAGTATTTACGTGTACACACATATGCATGCACAAAGAAGTTCAATGTCATATTATTTATTTTACAAAAAAGTGGAATGAGTAACATCCCAATTCTTGCCTACAGGGAATTTTTTTGTTTTGTTTTGAGACAGAGTCTTGCTCTGTCGCCCAGGCTGGAGTGCAGTGACGTGATCTCGGCTCACTGCAATCTCCGCCCCCTGGGTTCAAGTCATTCTCCTGTCTCAGCCTCCCGAGTAGCTGGGATTACAGGCACCGGCCGTTACACCCGGCTAATTTTTGTATTTTTTTTTTTAGTAGATGCGGAGTTTCCCCATGTTGGCCAGGCTGGTCTCAAAGTCCTGACCTCAGGTGATCCACCTGCCTCAGCCTCCCAAAGTGCTGGGATTACAGGCCTGAGCCACCACCACGCCAAGCCTCAGGGAATGTTTAAAGAGATGCACGGTACCTGTACACACGTGCACACACAGGTTCGGTGTATTGTGTGCAGACGTGAACACACAAAAGTTCAATGTGATATTATTGACTTTACAGAAAAATGAAGCTGGGCACAGTGGCTCAGGCCTGTAATCCCCCTACTTTGGGAGGCTGAGGTGGGTGGATCACGAGGTCAGGAGTTCAAGACCAGCCTGGCCAACATGGTGAAACCCCGTCTCTACCAAAAATACAAAATTAGCTGGGCTTGATGGCGGGCGCATGTAATTCCAGCTACTCAGGAGGCTGAGGCAGGAGAATTGCTTGAATCTGGGAGGCAGAGGTTGTGGTGAGCCGAGATCGTGTCACTGCACTCCAGCCTGGGTGATAGAGTGAGACTCGGTCTCAAAAAAAAAAAAAGAAAAAAAAACCACACAAAGAAAAACGACAATGGAAACAACCCAAGTCTTTGTCTATAAGGAATGTTTAGAGAAAACGTGGAAGCGGCCCTCAAAAAGAGGTGCAGCTTATCCCTGCATACCGACAGGGCTAAGGCCCTGGATATAGTAACTGAAAAATTCCAGGCGTAACACAATGTTGACAGCACAATCTCACTTTTGCTTTAATACATGTGCATGTGTGTGTGTGTGCGTGTGTGTGTGCGCACAGGGAAGCCCCGGAGGGCCGCGTCCTGCTGTTCCCTGGCGCGCCCTTGGAGGAGTGGGATTGAGGTTGGGCCGAGGCTGCTGCTGCAGGGACGGATGTGGGTCTGCTTCGTGCCCGTGGCAGGTTCAGCGTTATGTGCAGTGAGCACGTTCTTGCTGAGATTACAGAAGAGCCGAGGGAGCCGCTCCGAGGGTGGCGCGTCCCTTGCCTCCGGTGTGGGAGGTGCTTCTTTGACTGTAGCCCTCCCAGCTTTGGAGGTTTGGCCTCCCCGCTTTGGAAAACGAAGTGTTGCTGGTAGGATGGCTTAAAAATCATGTTCATGCGCATTTCTTTATCACCGACGATCTTGAATATGTCTCTGCGTGCTTGTTCACCTGGTGTCTTCTTTTGTGAAGTGTGTGCCAAAGAAGGAAGGGGTTAAACTTGTCGGGGGCACCCAGAGCTTCCCTGGCTTCCTCCCTTCTCTCCGGAAAGCTCTGAGGAGGTATTAGAGGATTGCTGGAGGTGGAGGCCCGAGGCCTTCTCCCAGCAGGGCCCGGGCAGATGGAGGGTCTAAGAACATACCCGCCGCTGGTGAACAGCCATTTTGCTCTAAGAATTTTCTGTCGGCCAGGGCCCCAGTCCTGGTTTGCGTCAAATCCTCTGAGCCGGGCCAAGCAGTGCATTGGTGCGGAAGATGCTGGCTCCCCTGAAACTAGGCCCAGGGGATGGGAAAAGCCGAGTGGAGATTAAGGAGGGAGCGAGGAAACGATGCCTAAACAAGTTCTGTCCTTCCGTCACTGCTGCCACGAGGGGCTAGATACAGAATTCAGCTTTGCTGTGACAAGTGTGTGGATGGAATTTAAATGAATATAAATGAGTAGCCAAGGTCTTATCAAAGGATGTTGGTGATTGGTATCATGACTGTTTGCCCTTTGGGGTTGGGGTGCTGGAGAGTACCCACCAGTTCCCTCAGGGCCTCCCGGGGCCCAGGTCACGTCACAACCCCTAGCCATGGTCCCAGCAGCTCCCGGTCAGCTCTGGCTCAACTCACAGGCTCCCCTTCCAGCCTGCAGGAACAGTAACGGGGACCAGGGCACAGATTCGGGCAGTCCCAGGTGTGCCACTGAGTCCGAGAAGATTTTTGGGAAGCACCAGTCAGTCCTGCACGTTACGTCTCTGCTGTTGGGGTGCGCGGAGGCGGTTCGAGTGAACCCTGGGGGGCTGAAAGGCGGGACCAAGCCATGTGGGATGTCACAAAGCCCAGCAGCTCAGAATCTAGAAGGTTCTGGCTTTCTGTTCCCCGTTCCTGCCACCCACTGTGTCTCTTCGCCAGTCCCTACACTGTCTGCACCACAGTGTCCTGGTTAGGGAGAGGAACAGACTGGGCCTGGTGATCTTCAGGGTCCTCCAGGGCCTGCGGGTTCTGTGTCTTTTTCTGGACAAACCCTGGTTACACCACCCCACAACGTAGCGGCCCAGACTCCCACTGCATGTTCCCCTGGGAACCTCTTCTTAGTGTCTTGTTCCTCCGGGAAGGAAGGAAAGCTCCGGCTTGTTAGGCGGAATTTGCTGACCCTACATGGTGGTCAAGAAGCCCGTGCCGTGAAGCCAAGAGAGAAGGGGAATTTGGGCTGCAAGCCTGAAAAAGAGTTCATGAAATTTAATCAGATGCCTAAGGGGAACACCTAAATTTAGTCAAATTATTATCAGTATTCACTCCATTTTTAAATTGCCTAGGGGAACGTCACGGAAAAGTTGGGAAGCCACCAGCCTGGGTGGTGATTATTCTGTTTCTGCAGAGCAGTGGGATGCGCTGGGAGGCTCGGAGGCCCAGATGAACCTCGCGGCCACCCTCCACGGCACGGTGAGCTGCTCCTCCAGGTGCAAGGATGGGCTGCCCAGAGGGTCTGGGGAGGCACCGGTGCCCACAGCCGTGTTGGGCAGGCCTGAGGGCTTCTTGTGTTTGGCCATAATGGATGTGTCTGGGACCTGGACCTTGGCCTCCTGCGCCCCAAGCTCTGGCCCGCAGAGCCCACCACCTGGAAGCCAGAGCCCACCCATAGCAAGGCCTCTGTCTGTGAAGACCCCTCCCCTCCTTGCTACTTGGTTATTCTCTGGCCTCAGTCTCTGCTTGGTTCTCTAGTCAGGGTGAGCTTTTGGTGGATGTGAAGGGAGACCAGGGTCCTTTCCTGCTCCTAGTGAGAACCGTGGGATTTGCGGCCTGACAGGTTACATTCCTTTCCGGGCTGATGTCCCAGCTGTGTTTGCAGGAAACAGTGAAGGTCGACGTGTGCCTTTTTATGGCACCGAATAACCTGGACCTGCGACAGGAACCGTGAGCGTCTTTCTGTCCCCTAAAAGTATTTGGATACTAATTGACTGTTTGGTCCTGCAGAGATGACACAGGGACGTCTTCACGCCCAGATGCATTTGCAGCTATGCGGTCCTCCCGCCTCCCGCTTCAGGCCTCTCCCATCTCCCCTGGGTTTCCACACAGTGTCGCAGCTTCACCTCGAGAGGGCCACGTGATTGGCGGCACTGGGGATGCCTGAGCCCTTGATCCCTCTGCTGGGGTCCAGGGCGTGGGTGTGCATCCCTGGAGCGTGTGTGCTCTGGGCGTGGGTGTGCGTCCCCGGAGCGCGTGTGCTCTGGGCGTGGGTGTGCATCCCCGGAGCGTGTGTGCTCTAGGCGTGGGTGTGCGTCCCCGGAGCGTGTGTGCTCTGGCCTTCCCTGCCCAGCTCCTATGGCTCCTCCTTTCCCTAGGTTGGGCAGAATCTCCCAGGTGTGCTGCTGATGGACAGGCTGAGAGCGTGGAGCCCACGAGGGCGCTTTGGTTTAGAATCATCTCATTGGTTTGCCCACGTTAAGCTCCTATAAAATCTAGGGGAAAAAAAATAAACATTCTTTTTGGGTTCAGAAAAATCTCTTGGCTGTTTTCTTCCCAGTAATGTGTATTTCAAGGACGAAGTCGAGAGGGAATGAAAACAGAACGATTGGCTCTCAAAAGCCTGGTTCAGGAGCAACTGGGAGTGGTCTCTAGACTGCTTGAGCTATTAATTATTTTGCTTTATTTATTAGATGTACCCAGCGTCCCTTTGCCTCCAAGCATATTTGCAAATGCCTTAAGGGAAAAAGAAAAACAAATGATTCCTGCCATCAGAGTCTCCAGCCCTTAATGAATAACACCGTGTAATCACGCTGAATGGAAAAAGCCCAGTACGGCATCACGTGCACGTCCTGAGTCTAAGTCGTCACAGTCGTAAATGCACGGGACCCACGGAAGCTCAGAAACTCGTAACAGCTGTGAGATCTGTTCAGTGGAATTTTTCTTAATTTCCCTGGGAAATCCACAAGGTCACTCCATATGACTAAGAAAAAATTAAAACAGAAACAGCACTCAAAGGCCTGGTACATTCTCTCCTCCTACCTGCCGCGGATTGTTGCCCGCCCGCCACGGCCCCCACCCCGCCCCCACGGCTGGCAAAGGAACAGAAGAAAGGCCGGGCCTGGTTATCTTTTCCTAAACCGTGCTGGTAATCAACCTGAAGGATGTGCCTGCCCGCTTCCTCCCAGTGATTTACACCTTCCCTAATTAGCCGTGATGTTGCAGATCGGCAGAGTTAATCGCCGGAGCGGAGACCCTGCCTTCCCAGTTCCCAGCAGCTCTGGCTCTGGGAGTGTGCCGCCCATGCCGCGAGGAGCTGCGATTCATCCCCGCCCCGCTTGGCCCTGTATTTTCCGGCCTTGCTGCTCCCAGTCCCTCTGGCTGGAAAAGCCAGGCTGTCTCGGTGCATGCGGGATGTCGGCGCTCCCGAGCTCGACCGTGACCATGGGGCAGGTTCTAGGCCTGGGATGGCAGAATCCGGCCGGCTGTGCGCCCATCACTTAACATTGCCACTTATGTCAGAAATGGCAGCTTGAGCCTAATAGAGCCAGCTTCCCGTGGGCCCCCCTCAGCATCCAGGCCTCTGAAAAGCTTAGGGGTCCCACCCCGGCAGCAGAAGGCACCGCAGTCGCCGAGGCTTTATTGCTCTGCCTCTTCGAACTGGCAGCCGCATCAATCGCCCTCCCGTGCACAGCCGGCTGGGCTCTGCGAGCAGACTCCAGAGCTGGGTCTGGCTGCCTCTGTGGTCAGCGGGAAGCTGGCAGAGTCCAGCCTCTCGGCTGGATGAGTCCAGTACCGCCGTGTGCACATGTGTGTGTGATGCTAATTATGCCAGACGTGCTTCAGTTTTGCTGGGAACAGTTAGCTTACTGTGCATTTTAGAAACTGCCAGGATTTTAGAGCCTAATGGGGTTCCTAGAGATCGTAGCGTCCAGCCAACTCATCGCCGTCTCACAGGTGGGGGAAGGAAGGTGCGGAGAGCTCTCTCTCCTCCGTCACCCCCATCCTGCTGCGTGCCAGGCCCTGTGGGGCAAGGGTTGCAGAGATGGCTGAGACATCACCCTTGCCTGGGGGACCAAGACACACCAGTGGGTTGCAGATGCTGGGAAGGGGCCAGGTGGAGGGATGAGGCGTCAGGGAAGGTGGTCTCTGCCTCGTTGGAGTCAGAGACCCGGAGGTGGAGGCTGCTGCTCCACACGGACCCCTTCCCATCCCATCCCCTCCTCAGCCTTGTAATCTGTGTGACCTGCACGTCCCTGTGCACCGGGCCGTCTCTGGGATGGGGCGGGGCTCCATGCATCTTCCCTTCTCTTCGCTTACTGAGGGTGGTGGAGGCAGTGGGGCTTCAGGAAAGCTTTGGACGTTGGGCTGGGGTTCGCCTCGTTGGGGAAGGCGTGAAATGACCCAGGCAAAGTAGGATATTCTGGTGGACGGATCACTGAAAAGGATGAATTCATGGGCAACAGAGATGCTTGGGTTGAATGCTGGATTTTATTCCTCCCTTCCTCCTGCCAGAGGCTCCTGACACTTTTGTTTTAAGTCACCAGAGCAGCTCAGCAGGCAGGTAGAAACTGCCCCATCCCGTGTTCCCTGTAGCCTTCTGCAGGGCAGGCCTCACCTGGGCTGCGTGAAGCAGGAGAGGATGGGATGAGAGGGGCTGGGATGGAGCAGCAGCCTCCACCTCTGGGGACCGATTCCATAGAGAGGAGTCCTTCAGAGTTTGTTTCAGATGAATGGAAAGGCACTGTCAACGGAAGAGGCTTCAGAAAAATCTCAAGCTTGCTGTTCCCTTTGGCTCCTGCCTCGGGGGACTTAAACCCTCCAGGATAATGACGTGGAGAAGACCCCAGGGCCCAGTGTATCAGGGCCAGTTTGCATCCAGCATCCCTGCTGAGTCAGGAGCGGCGGGGGTCTTGCTGTTTGGATCTCTGGACATTCACCAGAATCCCCTAAGCTGGTCTTTGCACGGTGTGTTTCCCTCACGCTTTTGAGCTCATCTTTGTTGGGAAGGATGTGGGCACACCGCACATGTGACCGACGCAGTCATTCGTTTCAGGCGTGTAAACACACACACGTGCACACACAATACCGTGACTCTAGCCTTCCTCCATCCTCTTCTCTCTAAAACTCCTCTTCCCAAATGTCCAGTGGGCTTCTTGTCTGTGGGCCAACATTGGAAAGCCCTGCGTGAGAAAATGCCTTATGGTTAAAACATAACAGAGGCTAAAGAGCCATTTTCCCTTGCTGCAAGAGAGACAGCCTGGGACAGTGCAGGGGCCGGTGTGAGCAATGACCAGACCTCTCTGAGCCTCAGTCTCGGCATCGACATGTAGGGTACCAACAGAGGAGCAGGGCTCTTGCATAAGCTTTTAGAGTAATCACTGCCCAGTATAGGTTGGTTCTTATTTGATTCCATCTCGCTCCCAGGTTTGCCTAGACAAGGGTTAGTAAGGCCGAGGTCACAGGTTGACCTGGATGTGCACCTGTTCTGCCTGGCGGGGACAAGAGAGAACTTGGCAATGGCCAAGTCTGACACTGCTGCCTGGCGTCCCCATGCCCTGACTGGCTCCGTTGCCTGGGGAGCCGCAGAAGCTGTGAGGGTGCAGGAAGGTCTGTGCCCATCTCGTGGCCTGGAGAGCCGCCTGCCGGAGCTGCTGCTGCCATCCTGAAGCCCAGAGCTCTGCCCGGTCTCTGCACAGACCCCGTCATTCCAAAGTGGGGCTCATGCTCTGCAGGTGTGGGCAGACGCAGGCATTGCCTGAATTTGTATTGTACTAAGGGCTGCTGGGAGCGTTAGTGGGCAGCCAGCGACAGGTTTGGGCTGGCTGGGGGTCCCGAAGCTGTGCACAGTTGGTTGCAAACTGGAGGAAAAATGATATTTGTCTTTTCACTTCAGGGTGGACCTGTTGTGGGCGGTGGCTGTCTTCATGCACGACCCCCCCAGTCCCCAACCCTCTGTCACTCGTTGATCCTTTGAAATCAGGAGCTGGGTCTCCAGAGGGCATTGCGGTTGCTCCCGGTCCCATTCTTTTGAGCAAGCTTTTTGTGTAACTGATCAAGGAATCTTCACAGGGGCTTAAAGAACACCTGGCTGGCTCTCAGCAGCCTTTTAAGTAGGCCATGTAGGAGGCAAGGGTTCCCAGGAAACCTCACAGCCAGCTGGGGCCAAGGGTGTGAATAGGACCTGGCAGAAATTCCAGTCGGCCAGAGCTCAGGCTGTACAAAGCTGGGCGTTCCAATCCAGGTAGATTACAGGAGATCGGGTTTGTTTTGTTCTTCCTTGAATCCCAAAGACTAGCTTTCCTGACACGGAGTTCACCAAATGCAAAGGGAAAAACAAAACAAAATGAAACAGAACTCGCTGTCCAAAAATCCAAAGCCCTGCTGGAGGGTGAGGAGTGACGCGGCCTGGCGGATTGTTCCGGGTGTTTGTGGCCTTGCAAGTAACGTTGCGCCCACTGGCAGTGGGGACGGCATGGCGAGGAGGTGACGGAGCAGAGGGCTTCTTCCTTGGGCCTTCTTACCTATAGAGGGCGCAGTGGCTGCGGGGGTGGCCCCAACCCCAGGTCAAAGGCAAAAACCGAGGCCAAATCAGGAATCGGACAGGGAGGTAGCCACAAAGTCACTCTGAAAGCAAGGCGCCCAGGCTTCTCCCTCTTTCAACGTTTTTGAACCTATTCCACAAACTCCTCAGCATCATAAGATAAACCTGAGCGTGAACCCAGCCTCCTACCAGCCCCACCTGTGAGTTGGTGCAGCCTTTGCTGGGTCCCCAGGGTTAGCTAGCCCTACTGTGTGGGTGCCACGCCTGAGAAGAGCCTGGGAGAGCCAGGGAAGATAAGGGAATGTGCTTTAGGGTGGAGGAAGCCAAGAAACTCTATGGTTCACCTGTTTTTTGGTTTTTAGTTGCAATAAAATACATATAGTCCCCCCTCACTGCAGCTTTGCTTTTTGCAGTTTCAGTTACCCTCGGCCAACCATAATCCAAAAGTATTAAATGGGGCTGGGCACAGTGGCTCACACCTGTAATTCCAGCACTTGGGGAGGCCAAGGCAGGTGGATCACCTGAGGTCAGGAGTTCGAGACCAGCCTGGGCAGCATGGGGAAACCCTGTCTCTCTAAAAATACAAAAATTAGCCAGGCGTGGTGGTGTATGTCTGTAATCCCAGCTACTTGGGAGGCTGAGGCAGGAGAATCGCTTGAACCCGGGAGGCGGAAGTTGCAGTGAACCGAGATTGCACCACTGCACTCCAGCCTGGGCAACAGATGAGACTCCGTCTCAAAAAAGAGAAAAAAAAAATTAAATGGAAAATTCCAGAAATAAACAATTCATGAGCTTTAAATTGCATGCCATTCTGGTAGAGTAATGAAGTCTCCTACCCTCCCCCTCCATCCCGCCAGCTGTCTGGGTGATCAGATCGGCTGCCCTAGGATCTCAGTGCTTGTGTTCAAGTCACCTTTATTTGACTGAATAATGGCCCCACAGCACCAGAGCAGTGATGCTGACAATTTGGATATGCCAAAGAGAAGCCATAAAGCGCTTCCTTTTAGCGAGAAGGCGGAAGTTCTCAACTGAATAAGGAAAGAACAGAATTCTGTGCTGAGGTTGCTACGACCTCTGGTAAGAATGAACTTTTATTACAGTATATTGTTTTGGGGGAGGGTTTTGGTTTTGTTTTTGTTTGAGACAGGGTCTTGCTCTGTTGCCCAGGGTGGAGTGCAGTAGTGTGATCATGGCTCACTGTAGCCTCCCAAGTAGCTGGGATGATGGCATGCACCACCATGCCTGGATAATTTTTTGTTGTAATTTTTTTTTCTTTTTTTTTTTTGAGACAGAGTCTCGCTCTGTCGCCTGGGCTGGAGTGCAGTGGCGTGATCTTGGCTCACTGCAAGCTCCGCCTCTGGGGTTCATGCCATTCTTCTGCCTCAGCCTCCTGAGTAGCTGGGACTACAGGCGCCCGCCGCCACACCTGGCTATTTTTTTTGTATTTTTAGTAGAAACGGGGTTTCACCATGTTAGACAGGATGGTCTTGATCTCCTGACCTTGTGATCCGCCCGCCTTGGCCTTCCAAAGTGCTGGGATTACAGGCGTAAGCCACTGCGCCCAGACTTTGTTTTAATTTTTTTTATAAAGACGGGGTCTAACTGTGTTACCCAGGCTGGTTTTGAACTCCTGGGCTCAAGTGACCTACCCGTCTCAGCCTCCCAAAGTGCTGGGATTACAGGCATGAGCCACCGCGCCCAGCCACTTCTATTTTATTATTATTGTTGTTCATCTCTTACTGTGCCTAATTTGTAGATTAAACTTTATCATAGGTGTGTATGTATAGGGAAAACATAGTATTTATAGGTTTTGGCACTATCCAAGGTTTCAGGCACCAACGGGGGTATTGGGTTGTATTCCCCTTGGATAAGGAGGTACCACTATAACATAAAATTTACCATTTTTGTGTTTTGAGACGAAGTCTCGCTCTGTTGCCCAGGCTGGAATGTAGCAGGACGATCTCGGCTCACTGCAACCTCTGCCTCCCAGGTTCAAGTGATTCTCCCGCTTCAGCCTCCTGAGCAGCTGGGATTACAGGTAGGCACCACCATGCCTGGCTAATTTTTTGTATTTTAGTAGAGACGGGGTTTCATCATGTTACCCAGGCTGGTCCCGAACTCCTAAGCTCAGGCGATCCACTCCTGCCTCGGCCTTCCAAAGTACTAGAATTACAGGTGTGAGCCACCGCACCCAGCCTTAATCATTTGTAAGTGCACAGTTGAGTGGCAGTGGGTATATTCACATTGTTATGCAGCCATCACCATACTCTCCACCTCCAGAACTTTTTCATCTTCCCAACCGAAACTCTGTTCCCGTTAAACAACTCCCCATCTCCTCTCCCCCAAGCCCCTGGCAGCCTCTATTCTACTTTCTGCCTCTGAGATTGACTGCTCTGGGGACCTGATAGGAGTGGAATCATGCAGGGTTTGACCTTCTGTGTCTGGCGTCTTTCACTTAGCGTAACGTCAGGTGTCATTCATGCTGTAGCCTGTGTCAGAATCTCCTTCCTTTTTAGCAGGGCGCAGTGGCTCACACCTGCAATCCCAGCACTTTTTTTTTGGGAGGCCAAGGCGGGTGGACCACGAGGTCAGGAGTTCGAGACCAGCGTGGCCAACATGGTGAAACCCTGTCTCTACTAAAAATACAAAAATTAGCCAGGTGTGGTAGTACACGCCTGTGATCCCAGCTACTCAGGAGGCTGAAGCAGGAGAATCGCTTGAATCCGGGAGGCGGAGGTTGCAGTGAGCCAAGATTGAGCCACTGCACTCCAGCCTGGGTGACAAAGCAAGACTCCCTCTCAGGGGGAAGAAAAAAAAAGAATTTCCTTCCTTTTTATAGCTAAATAACCTGCCATTGCATGCAGGGACAACACTTTCTTTCTCCATTCACCCATCGATGGACACTGGGCTGCTTCAGCCTCTGGCCATCATGAATGATGCTGCTGTGAACACGGGGTACACATACCTGTTCGAGTCCCTGCTTTCAGTTCTTTTGAGCGACCCTTTTTAAAAATCAATGCCAGGGCCGTTTTCAGAGCACTCCGACCTGTCCTCCGCAGACCTTCCTTGTCCCTGCACCCACTCAGGCTCTTTCTTCCCCACAAAGACCCCCACAGCCAGCCCCCATGCCACCTGCTCCGAGAGGAAGCCTTCCAGAGCCCCCATCCCTACCCCGTGGGATGCTCCTGTCTGACACCTCCCAGCAGCTCACAGTCCAAGTGGTGTCCAAATTATCCACATCCTCAGCTCACCTCCTATGAGGTCCATGTCTCCTGGTGGGTCGGGCACCAGCTTCCTCAGGTCTTCCTTGAGAGAAGTTGACTGTTGTAGAGAAGAGTGATTGACTCTACTTTTATGAGTCAAGTTGAAGAATACGTTAAAGACTCTTCTTTTCTAATTGCCCCTGAGCCATTATTCCAAAATGGTGTCTACCAGCAACATGGGAAGATACCTTCAAGTGTGTGTAAACCTGCAGAACGAACTTTGGAAGAAGAGTCACTCAACTGCTGACCAGGATGACCTGGGGGACAGGGCTTCCAGACCAGGATGACCTGGGGGACAGGCTTCCAATGCCGATTCTGCACACTTCAGTCTTTTTAAAATTTTTAACCACAACGTGAATTTATTTACCACTTGCAAATGTTAAGCAACTTAAAAAATACTGGGAGTGTGGGCCGGGTGCGGTGCCTCACACCTGTAATGCCAGCACTTTGGGAGGCCGAAGTGGGTGGATCACCTGAGGCCAGGAGTTTGAGACCAGCCTGGCCAACATGGTGAAACCCCATCTCTACTAAAAATACACAAATTAGCCGGGCTTGGTGGTGCACGCCTGTAATCCCAGCTACTCAGGAGGCTGAGGCAGGAGAATGCCTTGAACCCGAGAGGTGGAGGTTGCAGTGAGCCGAGATAGCGCCACTGCACTCCAGCCTGGGCAATGGAGACAGACTCCATCTCAAAAAAAAATAAAAAATAAAAATACAGGGAGTGTATATTAATGTAAAATTATTTACAATATGAGATCACTTCCATTCCCACACTGGGAGGAACGTAAAACTCAACAATGCAAGAGCAAACTGCATCTCTGTTTCCAGAGGGTGGCGCTGTTTTTGCACCGGGCTGACTCTCCGTTTCCAGGGTGGCGCTGTTTTTGCACTGGGACTCGTACAAGGACTGGTGCTTTCTCTGATGTGCTTAGCTTATTTCAGGCATGCATTTCCCCTGGGCTCTCTGCTAGCTCTTCACCTTTCTGCAGGCTTCACTGAGGACCCCCAGGTCCACCTCTCTAGAGTGGCCGTGCCCAGCCCCTCCACCTCCCACCCTGTGCTCATTCCCTTAGAGCACCCCATGACCCGTTTACCGTTTGCTGCCTGACTTCCCACCACAATGAAGCTCTACACAGGTGGCAACCTTGTCTCGTTGTCTGCAGGTTGAGAGGGTGGGGGACACCCAGAACTTTTTATTGCAGAACAAATATTTTCTGAGGCCATGCTTTGTACAAGACCCTTTGGTGGGAGATGTACAAGATAAATCAGACGGGAGAGAGCGGGTGCATAGTGACCTTTTATTCACATAGCATAAAAGTCACCCTTTTAAAGTGTACAATGCAGTGGCAGTTAGTACATTCATGAAGCTGTGTAATCACAACCTGATTCCAGAACATTTTCATCCCCCCAAAAAGAAACCTCATACTCTAGCAGTCACAGCCCAGCCCTTCCTTCCCCAGCCCTGGCAGCCACTAACCTGCTGTCTGTCTCTATGGATTTACCTATTCTGGATATTTCATATAAATGAAATCATAGAACACGTGGCCTTTTGTGACTGGCTTCTTTCGCTTAGCATCGTGTTTTCAGGATTCATCCGTGTTGTAACAGGCCGGTACTTCATTCCTATTTATAGCTGAACAGTATTCCATTGTATGGATGCCACGATTTCCTTATCTGGTCATCAGTTGATGGGCATTTTTCTCTTTTTGGATATGATGAATAATGCTACTATGAACATGTGTGTACATGTTTTTATATAGACATCTATTTTCTTTTCTTTTCTTTTCTTTGAGATGGAGTCTCGTTCTGTTGCCTAGGCTGCAGTGCAATGGCGTGATCTCGGCTCACTGCAACCTCCGCCTCCCGGGTTCAAGCGATTCTCCTGCCTCGGCCTCCCAAGTAGCTGGGATTACAGGCATGCACCACCACACCTGGCTAATTTTTGTATTTTTAGTAGAGATGGGGTTTCACCATATTGGGCAGGCTGGTCTCGAACTCCTGACCTCAAGTGATCCACCTGCCTTGGCCTCCCAAAGTGCTGGGATTACAGGCATGAGCCACCGTGCCCGGCCCTATTTTCTATTATCTAGGATATCTACCTACGAGTGGAATTACTTGGTCAAATGTTAACACTGTGTTTAATTTTTGAGGACCTACCAAACTGTTTTCCACAATTGGCTGCTCCATTTTATATTCCCATCACCATGGAATGAGGGTTCCGATTTCTCTAGGACCTCCTCACCAACACTTATTATTTCCCATTTTTTTATTATAGCCATCCCAGTGGGTGTGGAGTGGTATCTCAACGTTGTTTTTGACTTGTATTTCTTTTTGTTTGTTTGTTTTGAGATGGAGTCTCACTCTGTTGCCCAGGCAGTAGTGCAGTGGTGCAGTGTTGGCTCACTGCAACCTCCACTTCCTAGGTTCAAGCGATTCTCCTGCCTCAGCCTCCCGAGTAGCTGGGATTATAGGTGTGCACCACCACACCCGGCTAATTTTTGTATTTTTAGAGAGATGGGGTTTCACCATGTTGGCCAGGCTGGTCTCGAACTCCTGACCTCAGGTGACCTGCCCACCTTGGCCTCCCAAAGTACTGGGATTACAGGCGTGAGCCACCACGCTCGGCCTTGATTTGCATTTCTCCAGGGAATAATGATGTGGAGAATTTTTCATGTGCTTATTGGCCATTTATATCTTCATTGGAGATATGTCTATTTAAATTATTTGCCCATTTTTAAATTGAGTCATTTGTCTTTTTATTCTTACATCTTAAGTGTTTTTAAAAAATATTTGGGTACTAGTCCCTTGTCAGATATATGATTTGCAACTATTTTCCTCCCATTCTATGAGTTGTATTTTCACTCTTTTTTTTTTTTTTTTTTTTTTTTTGAGACGGCATCTGGCTCTGTGGAGTGCAGTGGTGCGATCTCAGCTCACTGCAAGCTCCACCTCCCAGGTTCCTGCCATTCTCCTGCCTCAGCCTCCCGATTAGCTGGGACTACAGGCGCCCGCCACAATGCCCGGCTAATTTTTTGTATTTTTAGTAGAGACAAGATTTCACTATGTTAGCCAGGATGGTCTTAATCTCCTGACCTCGTGATCCACCTGCCTCGGCCTCCCAAAGTGCTGGGATTACAGGCGTGAGCCACCGTGCCCGGCCTCACTCTCTTGATAGTGTTGAGTTTTAAATTTTTATGAAATCAGATTTATCTATTTTTTTCTTTGGTTGATTGTCTTTTTGGTGTCATATCAAAGTATCTATGTTTTCTTCTAAGAGATTTATAGTTCTAGCTCTTACACTTAAGTCTTTGATCCATTTTAAGTTAATTGTTGTAGACAGTGTGAGGTTATGGTCTGACTTCATTCTTTGTATGTGGCTATCCAGTTGTCTCTGTGCCATTTGCTGAAAAGACTATTCTTTCACCCGGTTGGGTGCAGCGGCTCATGCCTCGAATCCCAGCATGCCTATAATCCCTTTGGGAGGCTGAAGCAGGCAGATCACTTGAGCTCAGGAGTTTGAGACCAGCCTGGCCAACATGGTGAAATCCTGTCTCTACCAAAAAATACAAAAATTAACTGGGTATGGTGGCGCACGCCTGTAATCCCAGCTACTCAGGTGGCTGAGGCATGAGGATCCCTTGAACTCAGGAGGCGGAGGTTGCAGTGAGCCGAGATCTCGCCACTGCACTGTAGCCTGAGTGACAGAGTGAGACCCTGTCTCAAAAAAATTTTTTAAAGATTATTCTTTTATCAATTGAATTGTTTTACCAAGCTTGTTGGAAACAATTGACCATAAACTTGTGGATTTATTTCTGGACTCTCAATTCTATTCCATTGATCAATATGTCTATCCTTATGCCATTATCACACCATATTGATTACCGTAGCTTTGTAGTTAAGTTTTGAAATTAGGAAGTGTGAGTCCTAATTTTTCAATGTTGTTTTGGCTATTCTGGGTCCTCTGTATTTCCGTATGAATTTTAGGGTCAACCTGTCAATATCTGCAAAAACGGTAGCTGGGATTTTGATAGGAACTGTGTTGAATCTGTGTATCAATTTGGAGAGTATTGCCATCATAACAATATTAAGTCTTCCAATCCATGAACGTGGGATGCCTTTCTGATTATTTAGGTCTTTAATTTGTTTCAACTTTTATAGTCTTAAGTACACAAGTCTTGTACTTGTGTGTGTACGTGTATTGTGAAGAGAATTGTTTTATTAATTTTATTTTTGTGTCGTTCATTGCCAGTGTATAGAAATACAATTAATTTTTAGACATTGATCTTATATAATGCAAACTTACTGACTTCATTTATTGGTTTCAGTGGGTTTTCTGTGTGTGTATGTGTGTAGATTCCTAATGATATTCTATATGCTAGATCATGTCATCTGTTAATAGAGATAGTTTTACTCCTTTTTTTCCAATCTTCTTCCTTTTCCTTTTTAAAATTTTATTTCTTTTAAAGATTTTATTTTTAAAATCTTTTTGCATTTTATTTCTTTATCTTGCCTAATTTCCCAGGTAGACCTTCCAGCACAAGGTTGACTAGAAGTGGTGAGAGTGAATATCTTTGTCTTGTCCCAGTTATATGGGGGAAAACTTTTAGTCTTTCACACTTAAATTTGTGGGGTTTTTTTTATAGTTGTTGGTTTTTCATAGATAACATTTATTAGATTGAGGAAGTTCCTTTCCGTTTTTAGTTTAGTGAATGTTTTTATTTTGAAATGCTGTTGGATTTGTCAAATGTTTTTCTGCATCTGTTGAGATGATCTTGTGTTTCCTGTCTTTTCTTTTACTAATCTAGTGTCTTACATCCATCTATTTTCATATGTTGAACCAGTCATGCATTCCTGAGATAAACCGCACTTGGTCATGGTGTACAACTCTTCTTATATGTTGTTGGGTTCAGCTTGCTAGTATTTTGTTGAAGATTTTTGGGTCTATTCAAATGGATCTAAAGTTTTATATTCTTGTAATGTCTTCGTCTGGTTTTTGTATCAACAAATGACTTTTATACAAAGTCAAAAGCAAAACACATGAAAAAAAAGACTGATAAGTTTCTAAGGATTTTCCAAGGGATAAAGGGAAATTAGCATATGTTGGACCTGCTGTATGTTTCAGACACTTTGCTTAGTGGCTTCCCTGGGGATTGAAGGGAAGCAACCTGGAGGAAGTAGTGTTTGAGCGGGGCCTTGGAGAGTGGGAAGAATTAGAAGAGAGAGAGAGGCAGAGCAGGCCGACCAGAGAGAGGGACCCACATAAGCAAATCCTGGGGAGAGGAGGTCCTGGGGTATGGAAAGGAAGTGAGCTGTCATGTTTGCCTGTGATCTAGTGGGGGCATGGTAAGGGGTATACTGGATTGAAGAGTGTTCCCTCAAATTCATGTCCACCTGGAACCTCAGATTGCAATCTTACTTGGAAATAGGGTCTTTGCAATTAGTTAAGATGAGGCCATTCTGGATTAGGGTGGTCTCTAATCCAGTGAGTGGTGTCCTTCTAAGTAGAGAAAACAGAGACACAGTAGACCCATATACAGAGGGAAGAAGGCCACGTGATGATGGAGCAGAGACTGGAGTGATACAGCTGCAAGCCACGGAAGGCCACAGATTGCCAGGAACTGCCCGAAGCTGGGGGGACTCAAAGGAGGAGTCTCCTAGACTTTCAGAGGGAGTGTGGCCTGCTGGCACCTTGGCTTCAGGCTTCTGTCATCCAGAAGTGTGAGAGAGCACATTCGTGTTGCTTTAAGCCATGCAGCTGTGGTGTTTCCTGCAGCAGCCCTAGGAAACTCATGCCAGGGAAAACAAGGAAAGAGGCGACCAGGCCAATGTGTGGGGCGGGCTCAGTGCCCATCTATGGATGGGAGCTTGACTGGCAGACAAAGCTGACTGTTGATAGTTTCTGAGCCAGGAGCAGGGGTGAAGGGGAGAAGTGGACACAGTTTCAGAGGCATTCTTTCATAGATGTTGTTTTTAGAGTGTTGTCTTCTTTTCCAGTTGATGTGACTGCTGTCTCTGGAAGGCATATGCCAAAAGAGTCAGGAATGTGAGCTTCCCATAGGTCACGCCTAGCTGTCCATCCTGCCCTGCTGTGGGCCATTCTGAAACCCGGGGACATGATTCCTGGCCTCGGTCTCCTTAGCTATAAAATGGAGTGCTGTCTCACCCACAAGGTTTATGTAAGGAAGTCTTCAAAGCAATTAGGAGAGCTCCTGGCACACAGGAAGCTCCAATAAATGGTAGCCATGACGATAATTGGTTATTTTGCCTCACCTTTTTCTTTTCTAAATTATTATTTTTTTGTTTTATAATATTAAAAGAAACACAGGCTTCTTTTTTTAAAAATTAGTACAGGCCAGGCGCGGTGGCTCACACCTGTAATCCCAGCACTTTGGGAGGCCGAGGCAGGCGGATCATTTGAGGTCAGGAGTTAAAGACCAGCCTGGCCAACATGGTGAAACCCTGTCTCTACTAAAAATTCAAAAAAATTAGCCGGGCGTGGTGGCACATGTCTGTAATCCCAGCTACTTGGGAGGCTGAGGCAGGAGAATCGCTTGAACCTGGGAGGCGGAGGCTGCAGTGAGCCACCAAGATCACGCCACTGTACTCTAGCCTGGGCGACAGAGCAAGACTCCGCCTCAAAAAAAAATTAATACAGAAAATTAGCTTATTATTTCTGATTATCAGAATGATACATTATGCCTTTTAGAAAATTCTTTTAATGCGGTGAAAGTATATTATAGACATGCCATCTAGATATGATCACATTATAGTTTTAGTATTATTTTCTACTTCTACACTTGCATAGGTATAAAATACCTGTCAATATATATTATATATAAAACAGTATTGATAGTATATTTTTATATAGTTTTGCAACCTACTTTCCTCATTCAGCATAACAGTGTGAGGATTTCTCTGGTCATCACATACTTTTATTAAATATTTTATAAGTGCTTAATGGCGTTGTATCATATGAATGTGCCACAATATATTCAAATATTCTCCTATGGTTGAAAATTTAGCAATAGTACTGAGAGTTGAATATTGGTGGTATTTTTTACAAGTTTATTGAAGTATAACTGTACAATCAACTGCACGTGTTTAAAGTGCACAATTTGATCAGTTTGGACATAATATACACTCATGGAGCCGTCATCACAATCAAGATAATGAACAGATCCATCACCCCCAGAAGTTTCTTCGTGTCCCCCCAATGTCTTATCTGCAATTTGGCAATGATTTCTTGGCTATGACACCAATAGCACAGGCAATAAAAAAAATAAACTGGACCTCATGAAAAATTTAAAAATGTGCGCATCAAAATATACTATCAGCAGAGTATAAAGATCACTCACAGAATGCGGGAAAATATTTGCAGATCATGTATGTTTAATAAGGAATAATTGTCCAGGATTTATAGAGAACTCCTAAAACTCAACAACAACAAAAAACAACTGGCCGGATATGGTGGCTCACGCCTGTAACCCAGCACTTTGGGAGGCTGAGGCAGGCGAAATCACCTGAGGTCAGGAGTTCGAGATCAGCCTGGCCAACATGGTGAAACCCCGTCTCTACCAAAAATACAAAAATTAGCTGGGCGTGGTGGTGCATGTCTGTAATCCCAGCTACTTGGGAGGCTGAGGCAGGAGAATAGCTTGAACCTGGAAAACAGAGGTTGCTGTCAGCCAAGATCATGCCACTGTACTCCAGCCTGGACGACAGAGCAAGACTCTGTCTCCAAAACAAACAAACAGACACACACAAAAAACAACCAAACAACCAAACAAACAAAAACAAACCCCAAACAACCCAATTCAAAAATGGTCAAAGGATTTGAAAAGACGTGTCTCCAAAGAAGAGACACGAATGCCCGATAAGCACATGAAGGTACTCAATATCATTAATCATCGGGGAAATGCAAAATCAAAACTCCAATGAAATACGACCTCCCACCCATAAGGATGGCTACTATCAAAAAATAAAAACTAACAAGTGTCGGTGAGGATGTGGAGGGATTGAAATCCCTATGCATTGCTGGCGGGAATGTAAGGTGGTACAGCTGCTGTGGAAAACAGTATGGCAGTTCCTCAAAAAATTAAAAATAGAATGACCATATCATCCAGCAATTCCATTTCTGGGTATATACCCAAAAGAATTGAAAGCAGAGACACAGAGATATCTGGACACCATGGCTTCACAGCATTATTCACATAAGAACATAGAGCAACCCGTCAATTGGTGGATGAAAAGATAAACAAAACGCGGTCCATCCGTACAATGGAATATTATTCAGCCATAAAAGGGAAGGAAATTCTGACCCACGCTACGGCATGGATGAACCTGGAGGACATTGTGCTAAGTGACATAAGCCAGTCACAAAAAGACAATACTGTATAATTTCACTGAGATTAGGTGCTAGGAGTAGTCAGATTCATTGAGACAGACAGTTGATGTTGCTTGGAGTGTGAGGGGGGAATGGGAAGTTATCGGGCTTTTTTTTTTGCTTTTTTTTTTTGAGATGGAGTCCCACTCTGTCACCCAGGCGGCAGTGCAGTGGCACAATCTCGGCTGACAGCAACCTCCAACTCCTGGGTTCAAGCACTTCTCCTGCCTCAGTCTCCCCCAAGTAGCTGGGATTATAGGCGCCCACCACCACACCTGGCTAATTTTTTTTTTTTTTTGAGATGGAGTTTTGCTCTTGTTGCCCAGGCTGGAGTGCAATGGCGCGATCTCGGCTCACTGCAACCTCTGCCTCCTGGATTCAAGCGATTCTCCTGTCTCAGCTGGGATTACAGGCTCATGCCACCACACCTGGCTAATTTCTGTATTTTTAGTAGAGATGGGGTTTCATCATATTGGTCAGGCTGGTCTCGAACTCCTGACCTCAGGTGATCCGCCCACCTCGGCCTCCCAAAGTGCTGGGGTTACAGGCATGAGCCACCATTAATTTTTGTATTTTTAGTAGAGATGGGATTTCATCATGTTGGTCAGGCTGGTCACAAACTCCTGACCTCAAGTGACCTGCCCACCTCAGCCTCCCAAAGTGCTGGAATTACAGGCATGAGCCACCGCGCCTGGCCTGGAAGCTATTGTTTAATAGGTATAGAGCTTTTGTTTTACAAGATGAAAAGAGTTCTGGAAATGGAAGGTGATGATCATTGTACAATATTAGAAATATATTTAATACCTGAACTGTACATTTAAAAATGGTTGAGATGGGGCCGGGTGTGGTGGGTCACACCTGTAATCCCAGCACTTTGGGAGGCAAGGTGGGCGGATCACCTGAGGTCAGGAGTTTGAGGCCAGCTGGCCAACATGGTGAAACCCCATCTCTACTAAAAATACAAAAATTAGCCAGGCGTGGTGGCGGGTACCTGTAATCCCAGATACTTGGGAGGCTGAGGCAGGAGAATTGCTTGAGTCCGGGAGGTGGAGGTTGCAGTGAGCCAAGATCTTGCCACTGCACTGTAGCCTGGCCAACAGAGTGAGATGACTCTGTCTCAAAAAAAAAAAAAAAAAAAAAAAAAAAATAGGTTGAGATGGTAAATTTGATGATAAGTATTTTTTAACACAATAAAATAATTGGAAAAAGGAAAAAAGTTGCATCTGCTTTGCATCACTCTAGATTTGTTTGCCTTTTCTAGAATTTTATGTAAATGGGATCATGCAGTATGTGCTTGTTTTTTGTCCTGCTTCTTTCAATCAGCATAATAATTTTGTCATGCGTCCATGCTACTGCGTGTTACAGCTGAGTAGTATGCCATGGTATGTACAGACCACGATTCATTACTGCATTGGCTGTTGATAAACCCTGGGTTGTTTTCAGTTCTTATCTATTTTATTTTATTATTTTTATTTTTATTTTTTTGAGATGGAGTTTTGCTCTTCTTGCCTAGGCTGGAGCGCAGTCTCGTGATCTTGGCTCACTGCAACCTCTGCCTCCAGGGTTCAAGCAAGTCTCCTGCCTGAGCCTCCCGAGTAGCTGGGATTATAGGCGCCCGCCACCACGTCTGGCTGATTTTTTGTATTTTTGGTAGATACAGTGTTTCACCATGTTGGTCACACTGGTCTCAAACTCCTGACCTCAGGTGATCCACCAGCCTCGGCCTCCCAAAGTGCTGGGATTATAGGCGTGAGCCACTGTGCCTGGCCAGTTCTTAGCTATTTTAGATAAAGCTGTTACACACATTTATGTGCAAGTCTTTGCACGTGGACATATGTTTTTATTTCTCTTGGTAAATACTTGGGAATGGAATAACTGGAAACAGGCATGTGTTTAATTTTTAAGAAATTACTGAACTGCTTTCCTAAAGTGGTTTGCCGTGTTGCATTCCCACCAGCAGTCCGTGAGAGTTCCAGTTCCTCCATGTCCTCAGCAACACTTGCTATGATCAGTCTTGTCCACTGTAGCCATTCTAATAGGTGAGTAGGAGTATCTCATTGTGGTTTTAATTTGCATTTTCCTGACTACAGAGGATGCTGAGTATCTTCTCATGTAGCCTTTTGTGTCTGGCTTCTTTCACTTAACATAATACAACTGAGATGCTTCCATATCGTCATGCATATCAGCAGTTTGCTCCTTTTTATTGCTGAGGCGTATGTATTCCCTTGTTAAGATGTACCATTGTTTGTTTAGCCATTCACCAGCTGAAAGACGTTTGTGTCATTTCCTGTTTTCTGCAATGATGAATAAAACTGCTATAAACATTCACACACAGATTTCGTGTGAACATTTTCCATGTATTTTGGGTAAATACCTAGGGGGCATTGCTGAGTCATATGGTAGGGGTGTGTGTGACTTTATAAGACACTGCCAAACAGTTCTCCAGAGTGGTTCTGTCATTTGACTTCCCGTCACATTGTAGGAGAGTTCTGTTGCTCGCCTCCTGGCCAGCACTCACAGTGTCAGTTTCATTCCTTCGTTTTTTTTTTTTTTTTTTTTTTTTTTTTTTGGGTTTTTGTTTTTTGGGTTTTTTTGAGACAGAGTCTCACTCTGTCGCTCGGGCTGAAGTGCAGTGGCATGATGTTGGCTCACTGCAACCTCGCCTCCAGGGTTCAAGTGATTCTCCTGCCTCAGCCTCTGGAGTAGCTGGGATAACAGAGGTGCACTGCGATGCCTACTAATTTTTTGTATTTTTAGCAGAAACGGGATTTCGCCATGTTGCCCAGGCTAGTCTTGAACTCCTGAGCTCAGGTGACCCACCCGCCTCAGCTTCCCAAAATGCTGGGATTACAAGCTTGAACTGCCTTGCTCGTGGCCTCATTCATTTGTTTTTTAGTCATTCCAATAGATGTGTAGTGGATCACATCATGTTCCTTTAGATTGCATTGAGGTTTCTTTCTATTTGCATTTCTCTAATAATGAATGCTGTCGAGCACCTTTTCATAGGCTTCTTGGCCATCTGAATATCCTCTTTGGTGAAATGTCTTTTCAAATCTTTTGCCCATGTTTGGATTGTGTTTTCTTATTACTGTTTTGAGGACCTTTTCTATATTCTGTATAGAATGATGATTTAAAGCATATTACTGACTTATATGATAAGCCCTTTATCATATAAGCATTTGGCAAATATCTTTTTCCCAGTCTGTGGCTTATCTTTTTATTTTCTTAACAATATCTCTTAAAGAGTAGAAGGTTTTCATTTTAATGAAGATTAATTTTTTTTTTCACTTATGGTCATATGTTGGTGTCTGGTCTAAGAAACCTTTGTGTAACAATAGTATTTCATTTTAACAGTTTCTTATACATACTCTGGATACAAGTTTTTTGTTGACTATATGTTTTGTGAATATTTTCTCCCAGTCTGTGACTTGCATTTTTGTTTCCTTTAATGGAGTATTTTGATGAAAAAAAAAAGTCTTTAATTTTCCAATTTATTATTTCTTTTACAGTTTGTATTTTTTGTGTTCTATCTAAGAAACCTGGGCCTATTCTAAGGTTACACAGGTTTTCTCTTACGGATTCTTCTGGAAGTTTCCTAGTTAAGGTTTCACATCTAGGTCCGTGATCCGTTTTGAGTTAATTTGGGGGAGTGATGGGAGAAAAGAGTTGATGTTAATTTTTTTCATGCAGATATCCTGTTGATCCAGTATCGTTTATTGAAAAGCCATCCTTTCTCCACTGAATTGTCTTTGCACTTTTGTAAATAATCAATTGATATTTTTGGACTCTGTTATGTTCCATTGATTATTTGCCTATTTCACCATAGTTATCTTTTCACCAATACCAAACTTTCTTGATGATAGCTATGTAGGTCTCAAAGTCAGATGCATCCTCCAACTTTGTTCTTCTTTTTTATAGTCGCTCTGGTTATACTAGCTCCAAATTTTAGGGTCAACTTATCAATTTTCACTAAAAATTCCTGTTGGAATTTTGATTGGGCTTGTGTTGAATCTGTAGATCAGTTTGGCAAGATTGTCATCTTAACCAAGTTGACGGTTTTATTCTATGGACATGGTGCATTTCTGCATTTCTTAAGATCCTATTTGACTTATCTCAGCAATTTTTGTGTTTTTCAGTATGACGTTCTTGAATGTCTTTTGTCAGGCTTATTCCGAAGTATTTTATGTGGGGATTTTTTTGCTACTATAAATTTAATGTTTTATTTATTTCATGTTCCAATTGTGCATTGTTACTGTTTAAGAATACAATTAATTTTTCTCTATTAACCTTTTATCCTGCAGTTTTATGAAATCCAGTTATTAGTTCTAAAGATTGTTTTATAAATTCCATGAGGTTTTTCAGATGAACAGTTGTATCAACTGAAAATAGGGGCAGTTCTGTTCCTTCTTTTCCAGTCTTTATGCCTTTTATTTCCTTTTCTTGCCTGATGCAGAGGCCAGGGCCTCTGTGAGAGCATGGACTAGAAGTGGTGGGAGCAGAGGCATTCTTACCTTGTTCCTGCTCTTGGGGGAAAACAATTCCATCTTTTACCATTCAGTATGACGCTAACGGTGGAATATCTGTGGGTGCCTTTATCAGCTTGAGGAGCTTCTCTTCCATTCCTAGTTTGTAGACAGGTTTGTCATAAATGAGCATTGGATTTTTGTCGAATGCTTTTCTGCATCTGTGCATGTATGCCTTTATTGTGGGCACCTCTGGCTATGTCCTTAGGATTCATTCCTAGGAATGGAAGTGAAAAGTCAAAATGTATAAACATTTTTAAGCCTTTGGCATCTTGTTTCCAAATTGCCATTCAGAAATATTTGGTCAGGGCTGGGCGCGGTGGCTCACGCCTGTGATCCCAGCACTTTGGGAGACTGAGGCAGGCGGATCACGAGGTCAGGAGTTCCAGACGAGACTGGCCAACATGGCGAAACCCCATCTCTACTAAAAATACAAAAATTAGCCAGGCATGGTGGCAGGCGCCTGTAATCCCAGCTACTCGGGAGGCTGAGGCAGGAGAATCGCTTGAACCCGGGAGGTGGAGGTTGCAGTGAGCCGAGATCTTGCCATTGCATTTCAGCCTGGGCAACAAGAGCAAAAAACTCCATCTCAAAAAAAAAAAAAAAAAATTGGTCAGTTTATATTCTTTCTCCCCCTGAGCTGAATGAGAATGTCTGTTTCCCCAAATCCTTTACCACACTAGATTTTATAATTTGTTAATTGATGCCAATTTCATAAACCATCCCCCCACCATGTTATCCCGTTTCTATTTCCATTTATTTCATTACCCTGGGCCTGGAAATTTTATTCATTATTTGTATTTATTCTCTACTAAATTTTTTTATTTTCCTTTTGCCAGTTTTCTGTTGGGCATTTATATTTTTCTTTTTAATTTACATACTTTTTTACATACTAAAGATGTTAATCTTTATCATATATGTGTCCCAGTTTCTTTGGCTATTCATTTGTTTTGTTGGTTTTTTTTTTTTAATAGATGTTATTTTTTGAAGCTGTTTTAGTTTCACAGCAAAACTGAGTGAAGGGTACAGAGAATTCTCATCCACCCCCTCCCCCACCACACGCACAGCCTCCCCCACCAGAGTGGGACACATGTTACGACTCATGAGCCCACACGTCATTGTCACCCAGAGTCTATAGTTTGTCGGCATTCACACTCGGTCTTGTACATCCTATGGGTCTGGACAAATGTATAAAGACACCTGTCACCGTGACCACTCTGGTGTCATGCCGGTGTGTCACTGCCCTAAAAGTTCTCCGTGCTTCACCTTCCTACCTCCCCGCCAGCTCCTGGCAACCACTGGTCTTGTCACTGTCTCCATGGTTTTGCCTTTTCCAGAGTGTCCTAGAATTGGAATCCCACAGGGTGCAGCCTTGTCACAGTGGGTCCCTTCACTTAGTAAACCCCTTCGTAAGACGCACTGAAGTTCCCTCCGTGTTGTTCCACAGCTCGACAGCTCATTTCTTTTTAATGATGAGTAATATATTCCCTTGTCTGGCTGCACCACAGTTATTTAAACTTATTTATCCATTCACTACCAAAGGACATCTTGGTGGCTTCCAGGTTTTGGCAATTATGGGGGACCACCAAAGGGTGTCATTCTTTCCAGCCTCCTCTCCCATCACAGCCTCCTCTCCCAACCCAGCACACCGAACACGCCCTGCTCACTCCTCCAATACCTACACATCCCTCCCAGCATACTGTGTCCCACCCACCCTACAGGGCAGGGCAAGGTTTCCAGAAACCAGACAGAACACAGAGACTCGCTTTGGCAGTCACGGGTGGAGGGCCCCCTCCCTGCTGCTGTGGCCACAGAAGACTGGTCCCCTGGAGGGCCAGTGCCAGTTTCTATCTAGGCAAGAGTCCTGGACCCAGGAGCCACCGCACACCTCCCCCAGCAACGTGCCTCCAGGCAGAAGTTGGCTTAAACCCTCTCACAACCCCTTAGGGGCAAATTATTTGCATTAATTAATGGATTGATTCATTAATTCAGGACACTGTGCTTGGGACCTACAGCTGGGTTCTCATCGACTTTTTTCAGCAAACTTAAAAGGCTCAGGATGAAGAAAAGCAAGAGGAAATTTAGCAGTTTAGGTATTTTAAATAATGCTAAAATCTGGCCCTGGTAACCTTGAGAACCACAGCTCAATATGTTTGAAGGTTTCTTCCTCCCCTTCAAGCTTTTTCTGAGAGCTGGCTTGTCCTGCGTGTGTCAGTGATCCGTTGCTGTGAAACAAACCGCCCTCAAACTCAGCAACTTAAAGCGACCACCGGGCCCAGCGTGGTGGCTCACGCCTGTAGTCCCAGCACTTTGGGAGGCCAAGGCAGACAGATCGCTTGAGCTCAGGAGTTTGAGACCAGCCTGGGCAACATGGCAAAACCCCATCTCTATAAAAAATACAAAAATTAGCCAAATGTGGTGGTGAGTGCCTGTAGTCCCAGCTACTTGGGAGACTGAGGCTGGAGGATCGCTTGAGCCCCGGAGGCTGAGGCTGCGGTGAGTTGTGTTTGCACCACCGCACTTCAGCCAGGGGGATAGAGGGAGACCTTGTCTTTAAAAAACAAACAAACAAACAAAAAACCGCTTCTTTGCTCACAGACCTTTGGTTTGGGCTGGGCTGGGACAGGCTGTTGCGCTGGGCTCCCTGGAGTTCACTCAGGTCGCTGCAGCCACCAGGAGGCTTGGGTGGGCGGAGGGTCTGGAACGGCCTCCATTGACAGGTGTCGGGGCTCTGGTGCTGACTGCCAGTTGCGTGTCTCTCTCATGAGCTCTCGTCTGTCTGTCTTGCCTGCACTGTGCCAAGAGGAAGAGTGAGGGGCTGCCTAGGCCCCAGAACTCACCTAACACCATGTTTGCCACATTCTATTGGTCAAAAAAGGCCCACCTAGATTCAGGGGTGGAGAGACAGGTGCTATCCTTGATAAGATGAGCTGTGAAGAATTTGAGGCCCTTTTAAATCTCTATCTCTGTATCTGACATGGCATAGTTTACTGTGGTGGAGGGAGAACCCAGTGTTTGTGTTTGTTTTCCAGTGATAGTGCTGACTTTTTTTCATTACTGCTTTTACATTTGGGTGATCTTCAGAAAATGATAGAAATGAAGAACTGCTACATTTCTTAAAGTTTAGCGTCTTCTAGTTTTATGTGTGAGATCTTTCTAATGTAATAGCATCTTGGGAGTTATCGCCTGCAAAACCCATCCTTTTAGTTCCAATGCATCACATAATTTTATGAACAAGCTAAATTATTTGCAGCATATATGAATATTCTTAAAACTAAATTGCTTTACGTGTGTAGAAAGATAAGCAAAAATAAAACACTGTACATATTTCGTTTTCCCTGTAGTTTATTTTCTTTAAACATTTTTTTCTGTGACTTCAAAATTCCCAGACACTTTACATTTTCACTTCAGGCATGAGTATTAAATGTCTGTGTGTTCTGCGCCAAGCCAGGGCTGGGAGCTGAAGATGAAGAGACACGATGCAACCCCCACCCCACAGCAGCCGGCCTCGAGGGGCACCAGACCTCGTCCTCCATGACCACACAGGGCCTGGGGTACCTGCCAGACGTACCCCAATGAAAGCGAACTGAGGTCTCCATCACCTTCGCTCTAGTTTGAGCTTATGGAACCCCAGCTGTAGGTCCCAAGCACAGTATCTTGAATTAATGAATCAATCCATTAATTAATGCAAATAATTTGCCCCTAAGGGGTTGCGAGAGGGTTTAAGCCAACTCCTGCCTGGAGGCACGTTGCTGGGGGAGGTGTGTGGTGGCCCCTGTGTCCTGGACTCTTGCCTGGTTTGAAATCGGCTCCGGCCCTCCAGGGGACCAGTCTTCTGTGGCCACGGCAGCAGGGAGGGGGCCCTCCATCCGTGACTGCCAAAGCGAGTCTCTGTGTTCTGTCTGGTTTCTGGAAACCTTGGCCTGCCCTGTAGGGTGAGTGGGCCACAGTGTGCTGGGAGGAACAAGCAGGTTTGGGGGATTCTGCTGTTGGGTGTGGTAAGAAGGCTGGGGGAGGAGGCGGGAAAGGATACCACCCTCTGATGGCCCCACTGGGTGGGCCGGGCCAGCAGGCAGCACACGGGGCAGCAGCTCTCACAGTCACAGCAGCCCCGCGGTTCAATGAGCAGATGACAGAAGGGGGCACCCATGGGTGCGGTGGGGCCTCAGACTCGAGACCTGCCCTGTGTTGTGAGCAACGATTCTGAAGCGCAGCTCCCGCAGGGTCCACTTGGGAAGATGTCAGGAGCCCTCGGTCTTCTGGGCCCGTCCGCGGCGCAGCCACGGCAGTTCAGGTGATGGCCCCACATGCCCATCTCTGATCTAGTTTTACCTGACTCAGTTTCCTTGAGAGCCCAGGGGCCCCAGCAGTGGGAGGACCTGTTCGGCTGACTTCCTTAGGCAGGTGGGGAAGAAAGGCCACCTGCCACTCACCAGGCCCAGGGCTATGCCTGACGCAGTAGAGGGCTCTAGAAAGGCCAGTCAGGTTTCTCTGTGTGAAGTTCCCAGTGGGGAGGGATTGTGCTGGAACCCTCCAAAGGAGCTTTATTTACTTAGACCTGGTGCTTCTTGGAGGAGGAAGTGCCTCTGGATTGATTGCCTCTAATAGTTTATGTTCTGAGCTCAAACGGGAAGGCAGGTGCGGTGAATGCGGCTGAGTCTCTGTGGGGTGCTGCAGTTGGGGTCCAGAGCTGAGTCTTGCCTGTACTCCGGTTTTATTTTAGCAGACATTTGCTAGACATTAAATCTCAAGAGAGTGTCAGGCGCGATGGCTCACGCCTGTAATCCCAACACTTTTGGAGGCTGAGGCGGGTGGATCACCTGAGGTCAGGAGGTCAAGACTAGCCTGGTCAACATGGTGAAACCTCGTCTCTACTAAATATATAGAATTAGCTGGTCATGGTGGTGGACGTCTGTAATCTCAGCTACTCAGGAGGCTGAGGCAGGAGAATCGCTTGAACCCGGAAGGCAGAAGTGGCAGTGAGCCGAGATCGCACACTGCACTCCAGCCTGGGTGACAGAGCGAGACTCCGTCTCAAAAAAAGAAAAAAAAAAGAAAAAAGAAAAAAAGAAAAAATCTCAAGAGACAAGATTTAACCTGTGAGGTGGCTGAATCCATATAATAAGATATTTTGCAATTTGGAATGTAACAAACTCATAAAAAATAACAGAATAAATGGGGTTGTACTGCTGAACTGCAGACAGCTGCACAGTATGCTGGTGAGAACATGGGCCACAAAGCTTGGGTTCTAATCTCAGCTCTACCACTTGCCAGCTGTGTGACCTTGGGCAAATTACTTAACCTCTCTGGGCCCCAGTTGCCTCTTCTTTACAATGGGGTAATACCACTATTCATTTCAGAGGATTTTTGTGAAGATTAATTGCAATAAAAGCACCTGAGAAGCATTAGCTCAGGGCCAGGCCCATAGTCAGTGTTTTAATAAATGCTGATGATGTTATTAATAGTACTGAGAACCCAAATGTTTCCTAACCAAAAGCATAAACTGAACCAGTACTTTTCAGGAATACAGTGAGCTGGTTTAAACCACGCGGAAGCCCCATGCTATCTAAAATCATCCCAAAACAACCAGTTTTAGTAAAGCCCAGCCCCACGCTGTAGGGAAACCCAGCCTTGTTATTCTCCTGCCTTCTTTATCCATGGGAAAACGAAGGCTGAGAGAGGCTTGGTGGCTTGGCCAAGGTCACACAGCGAGGAACCCCAGTCAGTGTGACCTTGGCTGTCAGGACGATGATGACTTACTGCCTCTATTGAAGTGGAATGGAATTTGATCATGAAAATGCTTTCCCATCCAAGTGGAAGTAGAACTGTGCAGTGGGGTTCATACATTCATTTATTCACAGGTGTTTACAGGGCATATTCAGCCGTGCCTGTATGTGTGTTTAAGCTTGGTGCGTAGGTTTAAATGACTCCCCCATGACCCCCGTCCCCCTCTGGGTAGTGTGGGCAGGGAGAAGTGTGGCGATCATCACATAACCTGTTCCACCAGCCCCCCGTCCAGCTCCGACGCCGGCCTGCGGTTCCCGGACAGCAACGGCCTCCTGCAGACCCCACGCTGGGACGAGCCGCAGCGGGTGTGCGCCCTGGAGCAGATTTGCGGCGTGTTCCGCGTGGACCTGGGCCACATGCGCTCCCTCCGCCTTTTCTTCAGGTAGGAAGCATCTCTGGGCGCCTCCTGGGAGTTGGCCTGTGTGTGTTTTCCCTGGCAGCCTGGGCTTTGCAGCCGGTGCAGTGCACGGCTTGGGGACACAGGGCCCTGGATGGAGTCTTCCCAAGCGTCTGCTTTCCTCCCTCGCTGATCTTGTGGGCAGTGATTCCCCACTGCAGCTCCCTGACAGTTCTCAGGCTGGGTGAGCTACCGAACTCACTCCCCTACCTTCAGCGTGATGGTAGCCAGCGGTTGCTTGCAACTCTGGCTTGGGAGAAGAAACCAAACCAGGGCAGAGGGTAGCAGCTGCCGGCGGCTCTGATCGCCGGGGGATGCTCTGGAGCTCGGCCACCTGTGCGGGACGGGCCGCAGCTTTCCGGATGGAGGCTCCCTTCCTTTCGTGATGGGTGGGCGATGCCTAGTTTCCTGCAGTCATTCCCCACACCAGATCCTCCTCCTTATAGTCAGGGCTGCCCAGCCGCAGACATCACCAATGAGAGGCCCGGGCTTAGAAGAAGCCGGCGTGTCCAGAAGCTGGGGGGGTTCCCAGACCCAGAGCCACATTCCAGCCTTTCATCTAAGGGCAGCCGGGGCTGGGCTGACAGCACTGACGGATGTTTACTGAGTTTCCCTGGAGGGTTCTCCCAGAGTTCCACCCACACGCAACGAAGGAGGTCTGTTCCCAGGAGGTTCTCTTAGCACATGGCCTGCCAGGGCTCAGAACTGGATTCCAGGGCACTCAGCGTTGGGACCCAGGTCTCCCGGACTGCAGGGACCATGTTGCCGGGCAGGGGGTGGTGGGGAGAAGGCCACTCTGGCAGGTCTC
This sequence comes from Homo sapiens, assembly GCF_000001405.40. NCBI lineage: Eukaryota > Metazoa > Chordata > Mammalia > Primates > Hominidae > Homo > Homo sapiens. The sequence continues at coordinate 79,951,833 of NC_000017.11, read as the reverse complement.
CAGAGAGGAGCTCCAGGGCCCCCCAGGAAGGAGCAGTTTTGCCATCTTCGGCAAAGGGGGTGGTGGTTTTTGTTCGGTGTAGTTCTGTCCCCTCCCGCTAGCAGCCAACTCCACTGGGACTCACTGTTTCCTGCTTCTGAGGTTGGCGACAGTGGCCTCTGATTATACTTGGAAATAAAACCCCCGTGTTTACATATTCATCGGGCTTCCCTCTCCCCCTTCCAATGGCCCTTCAGCGACGAGGCCTGCACCAGCGGCCAGCTGGTCGTTGCCAGCCGAGAGAGCCAGTACAAGGTTTTCCACTTCCACCACGGCGGCCTGGACAAGCTGTCTGACGTGTTCCAGCAGTGGAAATACTGCACCGAGATGCAGCTCAAAGACCAGGTAGCCCAGCAGACGGCCCCAGAATGCCCAGCGGTTGACACTCCCCACCCCCCACGGGCCCCATCTCCCTCCTGGGTCCTGTGTCTGGGGTCCCCGGGCCCCGGGGGCTTACGGGGTGTGACCCACGGTAGTTTTTGGCCGTCAGAGCAGCAACTTTGGGTTTGAAACCTTTGCCCAGGGCTTTCGGTAAAGTCAGTGCCCTGCACTTGAAAAATCATGTTTTGACAAGACTTCCTGCCATATTTTGCTCAATCTACGTACAAATGTAATAAGAGCTCTTTAATTATCTGTTTAAGGTACTGTATGTGCTTATTAGAAATGGGGCCGATTTTAAAATTCCCTTCCTTCCCGCAGAGCCTCCTGCTGGCTTCCCTTATTACAGTAGCATGGCTTTTTTTCCCCCTACATTGAACAACCTTTGATTTTTGAATTAAATGTCAGCTGCAGTTTTGCCCTGGATTCGTGACTGCTCGCGGAGGCAATCTGACAGGCTGGCTCCCTGCTCGCAGAACAGCGATCCCTTTGTATGTGGCCAATCACATGTAATTCATTGCAGGCCCTCCCGGCAGAGGGAAGTTAGGCCGAACGAGGCATTCATTCCGTTTTTGCGGCTGGGGTTGGAGAGAGTGGGGGGCGGCGGCACAGTGGGCCGGGGAGGAGAGAGCCGCAGAGGGAAACCGATTTTAAGATGAAGGTATTTTCATTTTAATTGCGCCTAATTACACTCGCCATTTAGGGGTTTGTATGCAGGGGACGGCCCTTGCCCTCCTTTCAGAAGAGAGAGAGGCTTTTATTCCTGGGAAAAGCACTGCTGGCCTCTGAAGCCGCGCGGCTGAGATCCTGACCTTTGCCCAGTTTTCCTCCCGTCCAGCAGGTCGCCCCCGATAAGACATGCATGCAGTTCTCCATCCGCCGCCCCAAGCTGCCGTCCTCCGAGACGCACCCCGAGGAGAGCATGTACAAGAGGCTCGGCGTCTCCGCCTGGCTCAACCACCTGAATGAGCTGGGCCAGGTGGAGGAGGAGTACAAGCTGCGGAAGGTGAGGTCCGGGTCCGCCCAGCTGGCCCCGCGGAGAGCCGGCCGGGAACCGGGAACGAGCGAGAGGGAAGGAGGGCCGGGGCCTGGCCGCCCGCCCGCACCCACGGGCCACCTCCTCGTGAGGGCCCCGTTTTCTTGTGTGAGGCTCTCTGTGAACACACCGATAAAGCAATCAAAGCTGCTGCGTTGAAAAAAAAAAACAAAACACAACACCTCCCTCGAGGGTTTGGGGGGATACCGTGTCAGCCTGCATAGAAGGGTTTGCAGTGAAATGCAGCATTTCCAAAACCAGGGATTAGGCCATGACGTGAGAACGACACGTTAATCTGAGCGCCACCCCAGGGGGGGCATTGACATTGAAATGAGCCGGGTTTGTGTCCTGTATGGGAATTGAAGGCCACTGCTTTCCCCTTGTAAATATGTGCAAATTGCAGAGATCTGAATCAAGGCGCACCAAAAACCACCAAAACACACATCTCTGGGGATTTGGGGGTTCTTTGAGCTGCCCCATTTTATCCCCTCCCCAACTTTTGCCGCTTCCTCCAGGCCATTTTCTTTGGCGGTATTGATGTGTCAATCCGCGGGGAGGTCTGGCCCTTCCTGCTGCGCTATTACAGCCACGAGTCCACGTCGGAGGAGCGGGAGGCGCTGCGGCTGCAGAAGCGAAAGGAGTACTCTGAGATCCAGCAGAAAAGGTAACCGCCGGGGCCAGCCCGGCCCACCCCGCCGAGCCGCGGAGGAAAATGTCATTTGAAAAGGCAATTTGAGGTGCAATTCAGCATTGATAATATGTTTCGTGACCCATAGTTTCTTTCAAAAATGGGTCTCCCAGGAACGTGAGTGATAGGGTGGGATAAGTGCAGTCATTAAACCAAGCACTCGGGCCTCGGAGCTGCGGGGCTCGTTAGCTCACATGTCAAGGTTTTAGAATTCTCGTTCAACAGACTTAACTAGGCGCTGACGTCCCACAGCTGAAGGCTGGGGCTGGGAGCAGGGCCTGGAGGGGTGAAGGCATCCGGAGACTGTGTCCCACTTGGGATCTGCTAACCCGGGACTGGGCTCAGCTCTCTCTCCAGGAGGCTGGGACTGGGTGAAGCCCCTGGGCTGTGCTCAGCTCCCCTCCAGAACGCTGGGCCAGGGCCAAGGCCTCATTACCCACTGGGCTGCAACTTGCTCTCCTTCCTGGGACGCTGGAGACTGTGAGGCTGAGTTAATATCAAGGAGAGCCTTGGATACACGCCACCCATCCGCCGCATCCGGGGAGGGTCTGCAGCCGGCAGCAGCCGCCCAGCTCCCGTCCAGGGAACGGGGGTTGGGAGGAAGGGTGGCTTCCTGCAGTGTGTGCGCCACACGATGCCTCTGGGTGCCACCCGCTGACCCCGGCTGGGTGCTCGGCTCCACACAGGCTCTCCATGACTCCCGAGGAGCACAGAGCGTTCTGGCGTAATGTGCAGTTCACTGTGGACAAAGACGTGGTCCGGACAGATCGGAACAACCAGTTCTTCCGGGGGGAAGACAATCCCAATGTGGAGAGCATGAGGTACTCCCTCCCCAGCCAGCTCCTTTCCCATCTGCAAGTCTGCAAGCCTCACCTGACCGCTCTGGGAAGTGGATGAGCCCCCAGCGAGTTTCTGCAGGGGCTCTCTTCCAGGTTCATACATCAAAGCCCCAGAAGTGAAGGATACGCTACTCATGAGCTACGTCAGTTGGCATCTCAGAGCCATGGCATCCCAGGGAAGCCACCCAGGTCCCTGCCCACAGAGCCCCTCTATCCCCTGGGCACCACCAAGCCTGTCCTTGCTTGGCTCACACTAACCATGGACCAGCTTCCCCATGCACCCCCTCCATCTCCCCGTGGGTGGTCCCGTAGTCATACAGCCACACAGAGCCAGAGGCTGGCATCTGTGACATTCTGCTACAGCCTAGCAAATAATTGCACAAAATTAGCAGCCCACAGAAATGTCCCTGCCAGCCCACCCCTTGTCACAGGCAGTCCACCCTTCAGAAAATCAGAGCCATGTTCCCCCTTAACCCCTGCTCTCAAGATTCTGGGCCTAGACAGCAGCTAATAGCAGGCCATTACTTTTTTTTTTTTTTTTGAGACGGAGTCTCGCTCTGTCATCCAGACTGGAGTGCAGTGGTGTGATCTCGGCTCACTGCAACTTCCGCTTTCCGGGTTCAAGCGATTCTCCAGTCTCAGCCTCCCAAGTAGCTGAGATTACAGGCGTGCACCCCACCATGCCCGGCTAAGTTTTGTATTTTTAGTAGAGACAGGGTTTCACCATGTTGGCCAGGCTAGTGTCGAACTCCTGACCTCAGGTGATCTGCCCACCTCAGCCTCCCAAAGTGCTGGGATTGTAGGCGTGGGCCACCGCGCCCGGCCAGGCCATTACCTTTTGCAAAGCAAGGGTCTGTGTGTCTGGAAGCTAAGCTTGGGCTCTGAGATGGTGGCACAGCTGCCTTCCACTGAGGTGAAGGCAAGCGAGGGAAGGCAGGGTCCACGGCCCAGGGTTCTGCAGGCTGGGCAGTGTGCCGCGGTGAGGGTCATCCCCACCCACTGCTGTCTCCACCGCCTCCCAGGAGGATCCTGCTGAACTACGCCGTGTACAACCCTGCCGTCGGCTATTCCCAAGGGATGTCGGACCTGGTGGCGCCCATCTTGGCCGAGGTCCTGGATGAGTCAGACACCTTCTGGTGCTTTGTGGGTTTGATGCAGAACACGATCTTCGTCAGCTCACCCCGGGACGAGGACATGGAGAAACAACTGGTGAGGCTCAGGGGGATGGGTGCGTCCAAGGGCATGTGAGGGCCCGTGTTGCCTCTCCCGTTGTAGCCGGGGTTGCCGTGGTGATGCGTGGCTTGGCTGCTGTAGGTCAGTGGGCAGTGGGAACGCCAGGATAGGACTTGCCCGTGGGATATGGGCGGCTTAGCCTATCTCGGCCTCCGGGGATGGCCCTCTGACTCCCTGCAGGTCCAGAGGCCGCGTTGTGTGGGCCGCTCTGGTGGCCTTCCACCCCTGCACGTGACAACCTGGCCCAAGCTCCCTGGCTGGCAAGGAAGACGTGGCACCATCACACCCAGCCCCCTCTGAGCCTTAGAAAATGGGTCCTCAGGTGTGTCTAAGCTGCTCCCTGCAGGAGTCAACACAGCCAGGGCTTCTGAGTGCAGACAGGAAGAGGAGGGGCTCCTGAAACCCCCTGAGGTCTCTGGGGCAGTCCTCACACCCCACCCCTCCCCTGGGGTGCCCTGCTGACACCTCTCCCGTCAAGGCCTCCTCAAAAGGACCAGCCCTATGTAGACCAGGAAGCACTGAATGTCGGTGGTGGGGCTGAGCCCAGCTGGGTAAGGCAGCGCCGGAGGGCCAGCGTGTGGGACCGAACCAGGGCTGAGCCAGGGCACCTGCTCACTGTTCTCAGCACACATCACCCATGTCAACCAAGTGCCTGCCGGGTGCAGTCACCAGACATTCACCCTCCTGGCTGGGCCAGGAAGCTGGCATTGTGAGCAGAGGACGCTGGGTGTCGGGGAGCACTGTGGGAGGTGCCCGTGATAAGGACAAGAGGGCTCCTGCACCGGGGACAGCTCCAGGGTGTGTGGGGTCTGGCCCTGAGTGTCGCTAAGGCTGGGCTGAGCAGAGCAGTCCCAGTGGTGGGACTGAGTGACCTGGTCTTCCTGGACCAGACCCGTCACAAGTAGTGAGGGTGGAGCTGATGGAGGGCCTTGAAGGCCAGGGCCACAGAGTGTGTCTCATAGAACGGGGGTCCCCACCCCCAGGACACAGAGCGTGTCTCAGAATGGGGTCCCCACCCCAGGACACAGAGTGTGACTTGTAGAATGGGGTCCCCACCCCAGGACACAGAGTGTGACTTGTAGAACGGGGTTCCCCAGCCCCAGGCCACGGAGTGTGTCTCATAGAATGGGATCCCCACTCCCAGGCCCAGGACTGGTACTGGTCCATGGCCTGTTAGGAACTGGCCGCACCGCAGGAGGTGAGCGGTGGACGGGCCAGCGAGCATTCCCGCCTGAGCTCCACCTGCCGTCAGATCAGCGGCTGCATTAGATTCTCACAGAAGCTCGAACGCGAGAACCCTACTGTGAACTGAGCATGTGAGGGGTCTAGGTTGTGTACTGCTTATGAGAATCTAATGCCTGATGATGTGAGGGGGAACAGTTTCAACCTGAAACCATTCGCACTACCTTGTCCGTGGAAAAATTGTCTTCCAGGAAACGGGTCCCTAGTGCCAAAAAGGTTGGGGACCGCTGCTATAGACTGACTGTTAGTGGGTCGCTGATGACAGGCTGGGAGAGCTGATGCCAACAGAGAGGATTTGAAGGCAAAGGAGCCCAAGCAGGGAGGTGCAGGCACCTGCACAGGGGGCGGGAGTGGAGCATCTGCAAGGGGGTCAGCCACACGAGTGGGCTTGACCTGGCCGTAGGCCACAGGGCGGAGGGCTGGCCGCACAGCTTCAGCGCAGTCTCCCGTGGGAACAATGGGCCACCTGTGTGGGAAGGGGGCATGTGGCCCCGAGCTCTGCCCCAGGATCCCCCCAGCTGTGATCTAACTCCACCTGGGCCGGGGGGCTGAACCCAGCCAAGCCTGCTCACTCTGCATCAACGGGTGTGTGTGACGTCGGGTGTCCACATTGCTTGGGGAGGCAGTTACAGTGTCCAACGCCATTCGCCTCTGACGGCTCATGGCAGCGCATGGCTGGGTGACTCACTGAATGCTGGAGATTGATTTTCCAGCGGCATTGATGAAGTCAGCGGCCTGGGCCCGAGTGCTGCCAGAAATAGCCCCGATCTTGTCCCACATCATTGGGAGATGACCTTAATGGCAGGAATCGAGCATCCTGGGGCTCAGATACGTCCCCTTCCTGCCCTAAAACAGCTCTGGAAGATGATAGATCTGGGTGAGCGTAGCCGAAGAGGGGTGGGGGGGCTCCCTGGATGATCCACTCACCTCACCAGGAGGAGTGGACGTGGGAAACAGCCCCCAAGTGTGCACTGAGGGTGGGGAGCCTTCCTGGCCATGGAGCGGCTGCCAGCGTCCTGCCACGCCCGGGCACAACACTCTGCCTCACCCTGGACCACACCACAGCCTCCGGAACAGTCAGATCTGGGAGGAACTGGCAGAGGCAGGTGTGAGCCGATTCCAGCGGCGGAATGGAGCGTTGGGGGGGCAGGCACATGCAGCAGGTAGAGGCCCCTGGGTGTGCTTTTCCAGGCTGGGGTGGCCCAGGGAAGGGCCCCAGTGGGAGTGGGCTTCCTGGGCAGCAGGCCGCATGGGACCGGAGCTAACTAACGCGTGACGGCCTCACCCCCAGCTGTACCTGCGCGAGCTGCTGCGGCTGACGCACGTGCGCTTCTACCAGCACCTGGTCTCGCTGGGCGAGGACGGCCTGCAGATGCTCTTCTGCCACCGCTGGCTCCTTCTGTGCTTCAAGCGGGAGTTCCCCGAGGCCGAAGCGCTGCGGATCTGGGAGGCCTGCTGGGCCCACTACCAGGTGACCAGGGCAGGGGCCAGGGCTGGGGAGGTTGGGACCATGGCCCCTGAACCACCGTGGCCACCCTGCCTGCTGCCCCTGTCCGCCTCGCCGCCCCCCACCCACAGCCACACATTAGCCCCCCATACGGCGACTGCCTTCCCGTCCCACGTGGCTGGCTTCAGACCTTACAGCTCGCCTCCCCAGTCACTGAAATCGATGCAAATTGCCCGCTGACTGCACTCATTACCACTTTCTGGGGCTGAGCTCCCTCCTGTCACAACCAATCAGTGTGAGTGACACTGTGGGGGGCCTACACTAGGCCACAGCAGCCCAGGACGCTGGTGCCCACGAGCGTGAGCCAGCACCGCTCCACCCCCTCGGGACCGCCCTGCCACGAGGGCCGACTCACCCGTTACCCTGCTGTGCAGAGAAAGGGCCTGAGATCCCACTTCCCTGTCGGCCCCTCCAGAGGGCCCCAATCAGTGATACCGACTTCCACTCTCCGTCCACCGTCACCAGCATCTTCTCAGCAAATTCCCCTTGGAGCACAGCACTGGCTCTGTCACATGGCCTTAACGCCCAAACTAGGGACAAGCTGGAGATGTCAAAAGATAAGCAAGTCTCTTTGAGTCCATCAGCCTTTTAAAAAAAAAACTCACATCGACGCATCCAGGAGGGCTGGACCCTTTTGCAGGAGCTGGCTCTATCCACCACGGCAGCTCCAGCAGCCTCCGTCAGAGAACCCTGAAGATGGAGGCAAACACCCATCTGCTGGAAGACATTTGCGTCAGCGTCTCCTGTCCTCACTCACACCGCAGGGGGCTGATGTCTGATGAAAGCGAGTCTGAAGCCACCGAGTGCCGGTACCACACGCCGCCTTTGCATGCGGTCATCGGCTCGCCCCTGGCCCGGGTCTAGGTTTCCCTCCTGGCTCAGCCTGCTGGACGTGGACGTGCAGGGTGGACGATCTGCATTAACGAAGGGAAGCACGGCATGGACGGTCTGAGAGGCTTCATTCCCACCACTCCCGAATTAAAAAAAATCGTGCCTCATTGCACGTTTTCCCAGTGGCAGATTTGCCGCCCTCATTCCTTTACGTTCAGGCTGATGTTACCCGTGAACTCAGCGCGTGGCCCGGCAGATGGGTCCCTTTCCCATGGACACCTACTGTGTCCCAAGTGTAATGAGATCTAGTCAGAATTCCAGCGGGAGGCCCACGTGACGTGGGATCTCTGTTGGCTGCCATTGTGTTGGAAGTCCACAAAGCAAGTTTCTGTTGTTTTCAGACTGTGGGCTTGATTTAGCCACGGTCGGTCCCATCCCTCGATCAATTTGGTAGTATTACGGGGTGGGGGTGGGGGTGGGCTGCTGATGAGCTGAGAGTGAGCTCTGTGGAATGGGAAGGTTGCTGCCAGGTGAGGCCTTTAACTGTTCAGTGACCCCTGAGCGAGAAAGGCTTTTGATGCTATCCGTCCGCTGTCAGCATGTGGTGGGGCTGGACGGCCCTACGCCCTGCCTGTCCTGGGAACTGAAATCTGCCTATGCTGTGCAGGCTGTGGAGATCGTGCCCTCCCTCTCCCTCCCCACATTCCTCTCCCAGAGAAGCTGGGCGTCCACCTTCCTGCAACCCCTCCGCTGTGTCTCGCACCAGCCACAGTTCAAATCACTGCAAAAGGATCCGTCAGAGCCAAAACAAGACCGTCCCAGATTAGTTCAGAGGAAGCAGCCGGGCAGCCTGGTGCATGGTCTCTCCAGGAGCAGGCTGGGGCGTGGGAGTCACCTGTAGCCTCTGCCCTCATGGTGTGCTCCGCTCAGCCTGGGCCGGGGACACCGTTCCGTCTGGTTTGTGTGGTCGACGTCAGGAGACTAAACATGGACTTCCCAGTGCCCCCGTCCTTCCTGTGCCTCCGGAAGCGCGTGTGCATCAAAGGTGGCGTGTCTTGAGGCGGCCAGGCCGGAGAGCACACAGGATGCAGCCGTCAGGACCTGGCGTGGGCTTCCTGCTGCACACAGCGCGTTGCTGGCAGGCCCCGTGAGGCGGTCTTTAAAGGGAGGGCTGCGGAGTCCTCAAAGTATGCCCGAAAAGAGGCTCAAGGACAGGGCGATCATTTCAGCCACCCTGTGGGTGAGCTGCTGTGCCCGCTCTGTTAGGATCTTCCCACTTTTCTAGCCACAAACCCTAGAGTCATCTCTGGGGCATGATTGGGGGGTGTGGCCTGGAGCCAGGAGGACAGGCTGACCCGTGGGTGGCTGCCAGAGGCGCATTCCATGACCCGCTGGAGTGAGTTCTGACCCAGACTTCCGCACACACCGTTGCTCAGGACCATTACAAATGAGTCCTCCCCATGAGCACAGGCCAGGCCTTCTGAGGAAGGGTGCTCTTTGTACCCCCCCACCCCCACCCTGTCATGGAGACCACCCACATCACCACCCAGGAGAGCAGCAGCAGCCCGTGGGGGCTGAGCTCAGCATCGTCCCCTCTGGATGTCACAGCAGCCTGGGCATGCGGGTACTGGGACAGACCCCATGTGCAGGTGGGGAAACTTAGGGCCGAAGAGGCGGTGCAGCTTGCCCAGGGCCACACGGCCCCCGAGCTGGGCTGTGAGCCCAGACCCCTCGCCCTGGAGCCCTCACTCGCACCCTGGCACTCAGTTTCCCCCTGAGTGCAGGGCCTGGGGCTCGGTCAGAGCCCGTGTCTGAACTCTACCCGCCTCCACAGACGGACTACTTCCACCTTTTCATCTGCGTGGCCATCGTGGCCATCTACGGGGATGACGTCATCGAGCAGCAGCTGGCCACGGACCAGATGCTCCTGCACTTCGGAAACCTGGCCATGCACATGAACGGGGAGCTCGTTCTCCGGAAGGTGAGGCTGCCCCAGATGTGGGCCCCACCCCGCCCCGCCCCCAAAGCCCCACCCCACCAGCTCGTTCTCAGAAAGGTGAGGCTGCCCCAGATGTGGGCCCCGCCCCCAGAGCCCCATCCCCACCATGGCCCCCCAGCACGTGCCCTCCCCCACCCATAGCACTGGGGGCTCCCCACTAAGGCCTCGTGGTCAGCACCTGTCTCGGCCTGGCTGTGTCACCTCACTTTCCTGGGGTGCCAGCCCTGACACAGGAGCCTCCCTCGCTGGCTGAGGAGGGAACGAATTCACCGGGGCTGACGGACAGGACAGGTTCCCTACCCTGGGGTACCTCGCTTACAACCCAGAACTGGGAACACTGAGAAGGAGGCTGGACCTGGGGACAGGGTGGCCAGAATACTGGGGACCTTGGGCTTTGGCCCCCTCCCCCACTTCCCAGACGCCTCCTGGAGATGCTGCCCGTTAGCTCTCTGGTGGTCCTCAGGGCACTGAGCGGGGGTCCCGAGGTCGGTGGTGTCCTCTGGCACAGGACACAGATCCTGCAGGAGCTGAGAGGCTGCTGGGGGTGGGGGGTGGAGCAAGGTGCGGGGGAAGAAGAGAGGGGTGCTGCCAAAGGGACAGGTGGGCTTGGCTGGACGCCACCCGGCCCTGTGCTGGTGTTGGTCCTGTTCACCCTCCTGAATGAAGCCCATTCAAGGGCCTTGTTCACCTCGAGCCACCTGTGAGCACAGCCCGAGTGCCTTGTGGGTCCCATCACTGCAGCCACCTAAGACCCAGGGCCCCGTGGTGCCGGTGATGGTGGGAGATGCAGGCAGAGCCCTCAGTCCAGGACTCGGTGAGCCCCCGAGGTGCAGGCCGTTGTTGCTGCTGTTGCTGTCTTTGGCCACTCCCATGGGGACCCTAGGCTGCCAGGCTGTCCCCCGGCCCCTCCTCACCCCCCGTCCTCTGTCTGCAGGCGAGGAGTTTGCTGTACCAGTTCCGCCTCCTGCCCCGGATCCCCTGCAGCCTGCACGATCTGTGTAAGCTGTGCGGGTCAGGCATGTGGGACAGCGGCTCCATGCCCGCGGTGGAGTGCACCGGCCACCATCCCGGCTCGGAGAGCTGTCCCTACGGGGGCACGGTGGAGATGCCTTCCCCCAAGTCCCTGAGGGAAGGCAAGAAGGGCCCAAAGACGCCGCAGGACGGCTTCGGCTTCCGCAGATAGGTCGGGCCCCCGACACCGGACAGGGGTTGAGGGGACCTCCTCAGAGGCCCTGGGCACGGGAGGGGGTGGGGCTGGGCGTGAAGGGGACAGGGGACGGTAGAAACCTAAGGAAAATGCTTTTGGGCAACATGAGAGGAACCTTTTCATATTAATGACAAAATTAGAGTCTGGAAGTGACAGAAGTCAGATCTACAGCCACCCAGAGGAAAGTCAGCTCCTGAAACGCTGCAGTGGAACGCGCAGCCACCGCACCTGAGACGCAGGCTGGCTGGGCTCTCCTGCTGGCTGCCCTGGAGGATTTCAACATGTCCCAGGATTTGCTCCACCCTCGAGGGCAGCCAGACAGCGTCGCCAGGCAATGAGGAAAGCAGAGACAGGAGAGGAAGGCCTCACTCACCCACTGCGTCGAGGGCTGCAGAACACAGCGGGGTCCTGTCCAGGCCCAGGGACATCTTTGCAAGCCAGACACACTTCCTCTTGAGACCTCGTTCTCTCGGAGTGAGCCAAACACACTTCCCAAAACGTCCCCAGCCACAGCTGGGATGCCGATGGAAAGGCATCTGCCATAAAAGAAAAGCAAAAGATAAAAAGCCCAACCGATGTGGGGATAGAGAGGCGGAAGAGCAGTCAGGCTTGAGGAGCTGGCGCTTGTAATGTTTATCCGTTTAAACATTTCGTCCTCCTGGTACACGAAGGGAACTGTCTGCCCAGGAGCCTGAGCCTCAGGCTGTTGGAGAAGCATCTGATGCCTTTTTCTTTGCTGGGGGTCTTCTACGT